>NC_000001.11:43796259-44099289 GCF_000001405.40 Homo sapiens
TGGCAGAATGTGGTAATTAAAGCCCCAGCTTTCTGGCCAGAGGCCCAGGAAGGGGAGTCACAAGAAACCAGAAGGCAGGAAAGAGAAAGCAAAGGGAAAGGGAGCTCAGGAAAGCAACCGCTTTAAGTTATTTATGGACTTCAGGATAACCCAAGCTGTGCAGGTATGCATCTGATTCTAAACAACATACCAAAGACTTTCAGAACTGACCTAAGGGACAGACCACTGCCCAAGTCCCAGACTGGATGCACACACAGAGGACTCTTCTGAACAGGCTTTGAAAATGGAACTGATGTTGAAACCACAACCCACAGAAGGCTAGTTGGAATTTGCTGCCCGAACCCAACCTGGTCGATTGTCTGCTAAAACAAAAATATGAACATTCTCCACTGGATTTAAACAAGATGTAGAGTCTCATAATAAGATTCAGAATATCCCAGATATGAACCAAAATGAAGAACCAGGAAAATTTGAACTTGCATGGGAAAAGTTAATCAACCAATGCCAGTGCTGAGGTGACACAGATGTTTGAATAATCTAATAAAGACTTTTTAAACAGCTATGATAAAAATGCTCCCCAAAGTAAAGGCAAAGTCTGTTGAAATGAATAGAAAACTAGAAAATCTTTGCAAAAAAAGTAAAGGTTAGGTGCAGTGGCCCATGCCTGTAATCCCAACACTTTGGGAGGCTGAGGCAGAAGGATCACTTGAGACTAGGAGTTTGAAACCAGCCTGGGCAACATTGCAGAGAACTCTTCTCTACAAAATTAAAGAAGAATATTAGCCAGGCATGGTGGCACACACCTGTAGTCTCAGCTACTTGGGAGGCTGAGGCAGGAGGATCACTTGAGCCCAGGAATTCAAGGCTGCAGTTAGCTATGATCACACCAGCCTAGGTGCACTCTGCACTCCAGCCTAGGTGACAGTGAGACCCTATCTCTAAAAAAATTTAAAAATATTAAAGATTTTTTTAAATGAAGGTCTTAGCAAACAAAAAAAGAGGAAGAAAATATAAAGAAGAACCAAATAAAGCAATAAAACTATCCAATTGGAACAACAGAGAAAATCTTTTAAAAGTTGAACAGAGCCTAGTGACTTGTGGCACAATACTAGAAGATTTATCATTCGTGTCTTCAGAGTTCCATATGAAATTTTTGAAGAAACAATGGCTAAAACGTCCCAAATTTGGTGACCAAGTGTGGTTTATCCTGGGAATGGAAGGCTGGTTCAACAATGAAAAAATCAATATAATCCACCGTATTAACTGTCTAAAGAAAAAAAACTGCATGGTCTTATTAATTGATGAAGAAAACGCATTTGACAGAATTCAACATCTATTTATGATAAAAACGCTCAGCAAACATAGAAAGGAACTTCTTCATCCTGACATCGGCCATCTACAAAAACCTACAGCAAACATCATACTTTATGGTAAAAGACTGCTCTCCCCCTAACATCAGGAAATACTTCTGGAAGGTCTAGTCAATGTAATAAAGCAATAAAAAGGATACAGAATGGAAAGGAAGAAACAAAATTAACCGTTTTCATAGATGACATGATTGCCTACATAGGAAATCCCAAGGAATCTACAAAAACATTCCTAGAACTAATAACTGAGTTTAGCAAGATGACAGGATACGAGGTCAAAACACAGAAGTTCATCATGTTTTTAAGTACTAGCAATGAGCAGTTGAAAACCAAAATTTAAAACACATAGCAGCTTCCCGAAACCAAATACTTATGTGTAAATGCTTATATATAAATCTGATGAAACATATATAGGAGCTGTATGCTGAAACTAGTTCCTCTCCCACTTTTTCTTCCCCATCTACCCAACTGAAAGTTCAGGCTGCAAACCTAGAATCACCCTGATTGTTCCTCTTCCTTTACCCTCTCCCCCTTTCCTGTCTTCACAATGTGTTCTTCTCTAGCCGCTTCTTTCTAGCACCACTGCCCAAGGTACCATCTTCTCTTCCCTAGACTAGAAACATCTCCTGACTGGCCTGTCTGTGCCACTTATTGCCTTCTGTACCTTGTAGCCAGAGTAATCTTCCAGAAACCTAAATCGGATCCTGTCTTGTTACCACTGAAGCCTCTCCAGTGACCTTACAGTACATTTACAATAAAATCCAAACTTGTCCCTCCTTCCTGAGTCCTACTTAACCTCTCCAATTTCCCTGTAGTTCATTTGCCTTCAGCCCACTGCCCTCACGCTACATTGGCATGCCTGTGGCTCCTTGAGGATGTCAGGTCCTTTCCTGCCTCAGGGTCTTTGTGCTTGCTGTTCCCACTTCCTAGACTGTTCTTACCTCCTGCTTTGCGTTGCTGTCTTCAGGCCTCTGTCCCACTGTCACCTCCGCCAGAAGGTCTTCCCAGACCACTTCATCTAAAGTAGTCCACTCCTCTAACCAGTCCTTCTCTAAAAAAGTATGTCTTCAGTTTTTCTTAGCATGCCTCCTTCCTTCAAACTATTTGCTTATTTACTTGCACACTGTCAATCTCCCCTACTAAAATGTAGGCTTCATTTTGGCCAAGGACTTGGTCTGTTTTGTTCATCACTGTATCGCCGGTATTTAGAATGCGTCTGGCACATAATAGGTGCTAAGTAGGTGTTAAATAAATAGGTGTTAAAGAATAGAAAATTAGGAACAACAATATTCACTAATTAAGGAGTGCTTGAGGTCAAATAAATAATGGCATATCCATTCATTGGAGTAACTGCAGTCATTTAAAATGATGATGCAGTTTTACTTTTATTGACACAGACGATGTCGAGGATATTGTTGAGTGAACAAAACAAACAAACAGCATGCATATTAAGGCCAAGTGTAGGTAAAATTATGTATGTACGTTCATACATATACAGTATTTATGGAAAGAGATTTCTGGGAAAATAGTCACCAAAATATTTGTAGCAGTTAGCCCTAGGTAAATAGGGGTTTCAAATGGTTCTTACTTCATTCTTTATAAGTGTTTTGGATTTGGATTTTTGTATTGAGCATATGTTATTTTAATAACTGGGAAAAAATTAAGTTATTTTTGTTTGGGGAGTAGAGCTCTCTCTTATTTTGTTTAATAATTGCTTTGTGATTGTCGTAGTCTCTTTGGGCTGCTATAACAAAAATACCTTAGACTGGGTAATTTATAAACAACAGAAATTTATTGCTCACAGTTCTGAAGGCTGGGAAGTCCAAGATCAAGACATCAGCAGATTCAGTGTTTGGAAAGGGTCCATTCCTCATAGATGGAACCTTCTGTGTGTGTCCTAACAAGACAGAAGAGGCAAATAGGCTCCCTCAGCCCTCCCTGATAAAAATATCAATCCCATCCTAGGGGTGGAGCCCTCATGACCTAATTACCTTCTAAAGGCCCTACCTCTTAATACTATCACATTGGATATCAGGTTCCAGCACATGAATTCACAGGGGACACCCAACATTCAGACCATTTCAGTGAGTATTTATGCCCTATCTATCCCATGAGGTGGTAAGCTCCATGAAGTTTAAGATACAAACTGCAGAGTGAGCCATTTTTTCCCATTTCCTGTACCAGCAGCTGTTTTGACATGCTGTCCCTCCTAATCCTCCTGCAGCTTAGTGCAAGATGCCCTGGGATGGCCCGGACACAGTTGATGCTGTGAATAGGATTAAATTCACTGCAGTACTCAGCCCTAGATATCTGCTATTTTCCCAAGACAGAAGAGAGATAGATGGGTGCAGTGACATTTTTGGCTGCTGTGGGAGGGGGCTTCCAGGGCTCCTTCTGTAGCCTGTGATTCTCTTACCTGGGGCCAAGGACATGTCATGCTCCCTTGGCCCCCAGTATGCCACGTTGGAGAAGAGCTGTGCTGTGCTCAGATGGAGGCCTGATAGTCACAGGGGACTCTGTTACCAGAAGCTTCCTACTAGGCCTCTCACCTCCCCCACACCAACATACACCCATTTGAGATTGGATCTTAGTTTGTAAACTTCTAAGTTATTTTACTGAATCAGTTAATTTAGTCTAGGTCAGTGGGCTTTTCTGTGTTTATTTTAGAAAAATGCTTTTCCTTTTAGTTTCTCTTTGATTAATTGATCCCATGTTGTGGTTTATTTCCCTGACTTGAGATGATGTGGGAGCTATTTGCACTTTGGCCAGACCTTCTCAGGCCTCTTTTGACTCCCATGATTCATGTGTGGTATGGCCAGGGCCTTCTGACATCACCCTGGGGCAGGAGATGGGAGGTAATAGTACATCATTGCTGTCATGGAAACTGTGCTGCTAATGTGAGGGTCTGCTTTTCTTGTTTCCTCTGAGAGTCATTGTGGGCATAACGTAAAGGAAAGAATCAGCCCTGGGTTGGTTCCACGGCATCCCTGCTAGCCTACTTCATGATTGGGGGATCTTGAACATATCTCCCCTGTCTAAACCTCTCTTTCCTCATCTGTAAAATATAGTACCTGCCTCATGGGGCTGTATAGGTGACAGTACTGAGAACAGCATGAATACAAAGGAAGATGCTCAATAAATAGTAGTTCCTCTCAGTCCCTTCATTCTGCAAGCCTGACAGCCCATTTGGAACTATTGCCAACTTCTTCCTCCACCCAAGCCATGGCATATATTACATATGTTTAATATACCCCATGACTTTTTTTTAGAGATTGTACAGTGACATTTCTTAAGAAATGATAGAGCTGTTTTGGCTAGGGTAGGTCCTCATTCCATTTACTGCCATTCCCTTCGTACTTAGCAATTCATCATAGCCCAGAGATTGGAGCCAAAGACCACTTTAAAGAAGATCTGGCAGCAGAGCTGCTTCTCTGGGTAAATGGAGTTTTCTTGCCTCATGGACTATCCTGCCTATGTGGCTTTGTGAATTATAATTCGAAGCACGGCAATTTCTGATAGAACCAAGTTCATGTTTTTATCCCATAAAATACCAAACTTTATATACCTCAATAATGCTCCTTAAATTGGTGTTCATGGGCAATATTTGTGGTTGTCATCAGTAGCAGTCATTTAATAAGCATCTTCTTTGTGCCAGGTACAGTGACAGCTGATTGGAATTTGTGGTGGTTCATTACAATGAAAAAAGGAAGTGGGTCACTCACAACGGAAATGCCAGTAGCATGTTAGGCTCATCATGTACAACCGTATTCCTTGAAATTCCATTCTGGGGCTCAGTAGCCTGAAGGTGAGGCTACAGTAGGACACCTGGCTTCAGGAACCTTCAAGAAGCTCTCTCTTTTGTCCTGGAACAGGATGTGACTGCACAGCCTGGTGCTCCCAACTGCACGTCAGAATGTAGGTAGGAAGTAATACTTATGTGCTATACTAGGACAAATAGGAGAGGACTTGGAGTTGTCTACATAGGGCATTGTGAAAACATTTGTGATTTTTTTTTTTTTTTAATATTACAGAACTGTGATGAACAGGCCAGGTATGGTGGCTCACACCTGTAATCCCAGCACTTTGGGAGGCCAAAGCAGGAGGATCAGTTGAGCCCAGGAGTTTGAGACCAGTCTGGGCAACATGGTGAAACCTGTCTCTACAAAAAAATAAAAAATTAGCCAGGCGTGGTGGCATTGCACCTATAGTCCCAGCAGCATTGCACCTCTAGTCCCAGCAGCATTGCGCCTTTAGTCCAAACTACTCAGGAGGCTGAGATGGGAGGGTCACCTGAGCCCAGGAGGTCAAGAGTGGGACGATCCGAGTTTGCACCACTGCACTCCAGCCTGGGTGACAGAGTGAGACCCTGTGTCAAACAAACAAACAAACAAACAAACCAAAAAGAACTATGATGAGCAAAATGAAACACAAAGTATTAAGAAATTTATTAAATATTGAATTGCTATACCATAAAAATCTTTTCAAGTTTTTAATTAAAAACTAGAGCTTGTTTCGGTGTTCATAAATTTTTATTCAGGAGTTTTGTCTGGGAAGGCTTCACATAACTCCTGTCAAGGCTTTTTAATGATACTCTCTTAAAAAATACTCAGTTATCATCAAAAACTCACACAAATAACTGACAAAAATATAAAATCATTTTTATACTTATTCAGATGTTTACAGCAGTTGAAATTATATTTTAAAAATCCAACAGTTCTTCCTTTTCCTTAATCAAAATTGTAAGGTTGAAATTTCTTCAGTTAGAACAAATGGATTTCAAATCTAATCTCACTTTTTTGTATCAGGTATTTCAAAATAGCGTGAAGCTCTGTTGCAAAATGTATATGAATTCTTAGAGCAGTCACCCTGGAGTTGGTTGGAGATCATAAAAGGCTACATTCAATGCACATAAGCAGCGATACTACCCAATATGTGAGAACAGGTGTGTTGCCCTTCACCTGGAGCTGTGCTCCCCTGGGAGTCCCCACCTGGCTGGCCTGCCACTGACCAGCAGCCTCTTGGGCAACACTCTGCTCCATGAGTTTTTCATGCAACATTTTTCATGGAACATAATTTTTACTTGAAAGTACAATTGACAGACTGTGGTTTTTTCAGACTTTGGAATTTGGCAGACATTTTCTCAGTAATGAAAGTGAGCATTATCACTTCAAGGGAAATAACTGACAGTATTTTGTTGCCGGCAATAAAATGTTATTCCATGCAATAGCTTCTCAATACTTAAATTTTAAATTAAGAGTTGGAGGCTGACCCTATGTTATGGCCTCACAGTTGGTTGGTTTTTGTTTTGTTTTGTTTTTGTTTTTGAGACAGAGTCTCACTCTGTCGCCCAGTGCAATGGCGCCATCTCGGCTCACTGCAGCCTCCACCTCCCGGGTTCAAATGATTCTCCTGCCTCAGCCTCCCAAGTAGCTGGGACTACAGGCACGTGCCACCACACCTGGCTAATTTTTGTATTTTTAGTAGAGACGGGGTTTCACTGTATTGGCCAGGCTGGTCTTGAACTCCTGACCTTGTGATCCGCCCGCGTTGGCCTCCCAAAATGCTGGAATTACAGGCATGAGCCACCATGCTTAGCCTGGTCGGGTTTTGTAAATGCTCCCTACATGTCTTGTAGGCCGGGCACAGTGGTACGCACCTAGAGTCCCAGTTACTCGGGCTGAGGTGGGAGGATCACTTGGGCCCAGCAGTTTGAATCCAGCCTGGGCAGCATAGCAAGATCCCACCTCAAAAAAAAAAAAAAGGAATGTGCATTCACCATTTGTTGGATGTAAGGTTCTCTGTATGTCTGTTAGTTTAAATTTAGTAATTGTTCTGTTCAAATCTTCTGAATTCTCACAGACTTTGTGAGCCCGATTTTTCAGTGGTTTATGATGGTAGACCAACGGTGTCATTTTCTTTTAGTTCTGTTAATTTTGCTTTATATGTAACAAGGTTTCATTATTACATGTATTCACACTTTAATGCATGGGATCCTTTTGTTTATGTCCAGTTTCTGAACCTTTTAAGAGTTTACATCAGTGTTCCAGTGTTCATCCAACAAGTTATATGAATCTTTTGCTATGACATCTAGACTGACTTATTCCTTTAAGGCGGCAATGGAAGAGTTAATGGTTAATTTCAAAGACGTCTGAAAAAGCACTTTGTGCATTCACAGCTCTGACTTGGTGCACGTGCAGGAGGGGAAGGTCAGGGATTTGCATCAGCCATGTCACTCCCCACCTGGAGCTGGGCAGAGACACACGTGCTCCTTGGTCAGTGATTTTTGTAATCCTGGGCTTTCCAGCCTGGCCAAAGCAGGAAGCCTAAGCCATCAGACTAAACACTTCTGCTGGCTTTCTGCTTTCATACCTGGGGAGGAGAGTATCTTCAGGTGCTAGGAGAGCTGGAATATGAGTGCATATTGTGCCTGGCTGGCCTGGGATTCCTAGAGTGTTCTGTTCTTTGTACAGATCTGGGATCATTGGGCTGCTGGTGAGACCCAGACTTTCATGCCACTACCCGAGAGGTGAATAGTCCCTGAAGTGTTGGTACACTCAAAATAGCAGTTCCTCTGTATAAGGCAAATTCACATGCAACTCTAAGAACACATTTGTATAAAGGAGATGCGCTGGGATCTGTAACCTTGCCCAACCCCAGCAGTAGAGAAGCTCTGCTCCTGTATTCCTGGAGTATAATGCCTATGCCTTCCTGATTGCTTTCTTTTCTCATTTACACTTCCTAAAGATGATGCTTAAATTTTCCTGCTAGTCAGGGAACTCTGTGAGGGGCCACACACAGACTGAATAATCAGTAACATGACTATGAGGCTGGGGCTGAGAGTAAAGTGCTTGTCAGGTAAAGACCTTGGTTGAGATGGAGCAGACAGACGCCAGTGACTCAGGTGACTCAGGAAGTCTTTGTGGAGAGGGTTAAATTTCAGGCCTTTATACATGATGGGAGGGAACTACCTTGGCAAACTGGGAGTTCTTAAAAGGGAACCCCAAAGCAAAACTCAGAAAATAGAAGGTGTGAAGGGCATTAAATAAACAGTGTGGCAGACAGTTAGTTGCGCCTAAGAAGAGCCAGAGGAGGCTCGCTGTGGGCAGGTGACAGTGATGTAATCAGATAGGCTGGGAGCCAGGAAGGGCCAGAGCAAGGGAATCACTGCAGTCGAAGATGGCAGGCGAGGGAGAAGGAGAGGGAGAGGAAGCCCCTGCTGCTGCCATCACTGCTACCACCAGCACTGCCCCCTCACTGCAAGGGGTGGAGGAAGACAAAGACTCCAGGTCTCAGGGCACTTACTAGGCTGCCTTGCTTATTTGGTCACTCTTTCCACTCTTCCATCCATTCAGTACATTATGGAATACCAACTCTGTGCCAGATGTGATATTGGGTGCAGAGGTGAGCCCTGCCCTTTATGAGAACCCAAATACATGTAAGCTAGGATAGTTTAATTGAAAGCAACAAAAACTGACTGGGGATAACTGTTTTTAAAAAGGAATTTACCAGAAGGACATGGGTACCCACAGAATCCAATTGGAAGCTAAACATCGAGCCCTCAGAAAGAACATGAAGGGCAGCCCCAGGAATCTAGGTTGCAGGAACAAGTGGTCCCCCTCTTCAGCACATTATTTTTCTCCCTCGTGTCGCTGAGTTTAGGGAAGAAATTGTCCCACTAACCTAGCTTTTGTCAGGTGCCTACACTTTGGACATAAATCCCATCGACAGTCTCACCACTTGCCTGCAATGGGAGAAGAGCAGTTCCCTGAAGGAAACCCAAGGGGCTTGTTTCTAAAAGGACAGAAACAACAGATGTGCATTGCAGGTTCATGAATAAGTTCTGGAAGGGCTGGAGAGCACAGATAAGGTGCATTTAGGCTAACAAGTTAGATCAGAGAAGATGTTGTTCGTTCAACATTCCTTCCACATGCCAAGCATAGTGTTAGGTGATGCACCTGTGAGGAAAAGAAGAGTCTTAGTGGAACTTCTAGACTAGCAGAGGAGAGGCGTCTGTCGGTAAATGTATAATCACAAACTGGAGAAAGTACACTGTGGCACAGGAGCATTTGAAGGGTGAGGTCTACATAGGGAGGACAAGGAACGCTCTTCTTTTTTTTCTTTTCTTTTTTGACGGAGTCTCACACTGTCACCGAGGCTGAAGTGCAGTGGTGCGATCTCGGCTCACGGTAACCTCCACCTCCTGGGTTCAGGCAGTTCTCCTGCCTCAGCCTTCTGAGTAGCTGGGATTACAGGCACGCACCACCACACCCGGCTAATTTTTGTATTTTTAGTAGAAACGGGGTTTCACCGTGTTGGTCAGGCTGGTCTTTAACTCCTGACCTTGTGATCCGCCCACCTTGGCCTCCCAAAGTGCTGGGATTACAGGCGTGAACCACCGTGCCCGGCAAGGAATACTTTTCTAAAAGAGGGCCTTCGAACTAGGGTCTAAAGAATGAGCAGGAATTAACCGAATAAAGAGGTGGCTTATTCAGGGAACTGAAAGAGGCCAAAATCACCAGAGCACAGAGCAGGGGAGACAATAGTATAAGACAGGGATAGAAATTTAGGGAAAAATGTAAAATTCCTTGTTGTACTATAAAAACATCTGTGAAATTGAGCTTTAGTGATGGCTTTATCTTGAAGGATGAGCAAGATGAGTGAAGGCATTGTAGGAGAAATGTCACCTGCAGTAGCTCTCAGGCATAAAGGCTCTCAGGCATAAAAGAAGGGAGTGGCAGGAGATGAGGCTGAGAAGACAGATCAAGAGGTTGCCACGTGAACCAAGCAACAGTGAAGACTCAAGCAAAAGCAATGACGGGATAGGGAGGGGAACAGGGTCTGCATGTAGAAATGAGAGACATTAGTGGTCACCAAAAATTTCCTTCTTGGAGGACTGGATGGTATTGCCATCATTTAAAAACAAGAAGGATCAAGGCTGGAAGGCTGGGGAACAGGCAAAGATAAGTCTGATTTGTACCATTTTGAGCTAGAGGTAACTGTGGATCATTTAGGAATAATGTGTAGGAAATAACCAATGTGAAAAGGGATTGGGAAATTATTTAATTTAATTTTTTTATTTTGAAACAGGGTCTTACTCCCGTTGCCCAGGCCAGAGTGCAGCAGTGCAGTCATGGCTCACTGTAGCCTCGAATTTCCGGGCTCAGGTGATCCTCCCACCTCAGCCTCCCCAGTAGCTGGGACCACAGGTGCACACCACCATGCTCGGGTAATGTTTTGTATCTTTAGTAGAGACCAGGTTTCACCATGTTGCCCAGGCTGGTCTCACACACCTGGGTTCAAGCGATCTGCCTGCCTTGGCCTCCCAAAGTGTTGGGATTACAGGCGTCAGCCACTGTGCCCGGTAGGGAAAATACTTTAAATAAAGAGAAAGATATGTTCAAAGGCCTGGAGATGATAAAGTTATGTTGGAGAAAGATAAAACAGTTCAGCCTCGCAGGAACATTGAATATGGCAGGGGTGATGCTGGGAATCAAGAAGTGAAGTAGGAGGCTGGGCACGGTGGCTCACGCCTGTAATCTCAGCACTTTGGGAGGTTGAGGCAGGCGGATTACCTGAGGTCACGAGTTCAAGACCAGCCTGGCAAACATGGTGAAACCCCATCTCTATTAAAATACAAAAATTAGCCGGGCGTGGTGGCACACCCCTGTAATCCCAGCTACTCGGGAGGCTGAGGCAGGAGCATTGCTTGAGCCCAGGGGGCAGAGGTTGCAGTGAGCCGAGATCGTGCCACTGCACTCCAGCCTGGCCGACAGACCGAGACTCTGTCTCAAAAATAAATAAATAAATAAATAAATAAATAAATAAAGTAGGAATGATATCTATAGGCCAGGTCTTGGGGGATCTTGTAGGTGAAGAGATTGGGATTTGTTCTGAGAACAGTAGAATCCAACCAAATGTTTTAAGCAGGATTGTGATATGGCCATATTTATCTTACAGAAAGATAGCTCTGATTACAGCACAGAGCATCTATTAGACAGGGGCAGGGAGACCTGGCTATAACAGGAGGCTAGTACAGCAATCCAGGTGAGAAGTAAAGCTGGCTTGGCCGAGAAGAGTAGAAATGGAGAAAAGTAAGTAGATTTGAGATCCATTTAGATTTGAGATCCATTTAGAACATGGAATTAAAAGGTCATAGTAATGAATTAGAAGAAAGAAGAGAGAAGCAGGAATAAAGGAATTCTCTCAGGTTTCAAGTTTGGGCAGCTGGGTGAAGAGTGGTGTTGTTCGTTAAGGTGGGAAATCCAGAAAGAGGTTCTGGGTGTGTGTGAGGGTGATGAAGATGAACTCTAGGGGGTGTGGTTTAGGTTTTAAGTGTCTGTAGGACACCGAACTGGAGCTGTCCAGGAAGCAGCTGGATATACACATGTGGAGCTCAGCCAGGCACAGCAGCTCACACCTGTAATCCCAGCATTTTGGGAGGCCAAGGCAGGTGGATCATGAGGTCAGGAGTTCGAGACTGGCCTGGCCAACATAGTGAAACACGGTGTGTACTAAAAATACAAAAAAATTAGCCAGGCATAGTGGCGGGCGCCTGTAATCCCAGCTACTCGGGAGGCTGAAGCAGGAGAATCACTTGAACCCGGGAGGTGGCGGTTGCAGTGAGCTGAGATCACGCCACTGCACTCCAGCCCAGGCGACAGTGTGAGACTCCATCTCAAAAAAAAAAAAAAAAAAGTGGAGCTCAGGAGAGAAGGCTGAGCAGGAATGAGAGATTTGGTTTGGGCGCAATGGAAAGATAATTGGGCAGGCTGAACTGAGTGTTGAGCAAGGTGAGGTCTAGACTGAATGAAGGAAAAGTGAAGAAAGGAGAAACGACTGAGAAAAAAACAGAAAAAAAAATATGGAAATATTTTCAGACATTGAACAATTGGTAGCACAGGGCACTGATCTCTGAAAGAAGGGAAGCAGATGAGGTTAGCCCTGTAATTGCCCAAGCCAACTTCCTGGAGAGTTTGCAGTCCATGTCGCAGGGAAGGAGAACCCAAGAGTCCGAAGCTGAGGTAACAGTTGAGCATTTGAGGAGACCAGGGCAACTAGAATTCACAGATCATCAGAGAGGAGAGACCTGCACAGAGAGAGAGCTCAGGGGATTTGTTACAGTTCCCCCTTGGACTTGTCAGCTGATGAGTACATGTGGATGGGAAAACTACCAGAATCTGGGGAAAGAACCACTGGAAGGGGGCAGCCAGGATAATCCCTAGCAGTCACACAGGACTGGGAATTGTGGGAAAACTGTATAATGCATGGGGTATCTCATAGTGTACTCAGGAAGGTATTGCCTTAGCAGTGGGGCAAAATTAGTAATAGTGCAAAATTAGCCTTAGACTAGCCTTTAAAGGATCAAACTGTTTCCAAGTGACTTAATTGTATCTCAAAAATACTTAAGGAATGCACAGGTATCCTGTCCCCAACAAGGTAAAATTCACATGGTTGGCAGCCAATCAGAAATTACAAGGCAATTCGGAAAAGCATGAAAATACAACCTATAAAGAGGGAAAAAAAACAATCAGTAGAAGCAGGCTTAGAGATGACACAAATGAGAGAACTGGGGGCATTACATCATATTCCTATGTTCAATAAGGCAGGGGAAAGCATGAGAATATTAAGGAAAGGCACGGAAGATATGAAAAAAAACTCCCAGAGGTGAAAAATACAGTGTCTGAGATGAAAAATGTACTGGATGAATAATCAGCAAATTAGACACTGTAGAAGAAAAAAATAGTGAACTAGAAGATATAGCAATAGAAACTATCTAAAATGAAACAGAGTGAGGGCTGGGTGCAATGGCTTACATCTGTAATCCCAGCACTTTGGGAGGCTGAGGAAGGAGGATAGCTTGAGGCCAGGAGTTCAGCCTGGCCAACATAGTGAGACCCCTGTCTCTACAAAAAGTTTAAAAATTAGCTAAATGTGGTGGTGCTTGTCTGTAGTCCTAGCTACTCAGGAGGCTGAGGCAGGAAGATTGCTTGAGCCCAGAAGTTGGAGGCTGCAGTGAGCTATGATTGTGCCACCACACTCCAGGCTGGGCTATGGGTTGAGACCCTGTCTCTTAAAAAAAGGAAAAGGGCCGAGCGTGGTGGTTCACGCCTGTAATCCTAGCACTTTGGGAGGCTAAGGTGGGCGGATCACTTGAGGTCAGGAGTTCGAGACCAGCCTGGCCAATGGTGAAACTCCGTCTCTACTAAAAATACAAAACTTAGCCAGGCGTGGTGTTGCATGCTTGTAATCCCAGCTACTCGGGAGGCTGAGGCAGGAGAATCTATTGAACCCGGGAGGTGGAGGTTGCAGTGAGCCGGGATTGCACCACTGTACTCCAACCTGGGCCACAGAGTGAGACCCTGTCTCAAAAAAAAAAAAAAAAAGAAAGAAAGAAAAAAGAAAAGAAACATAGAGTGAAACATTACTGGGGAAAAAAAATGAACAGACCACTGGTGAGCTATGGGACTTCAAGCAGCCCTAATACATGTGTTATTGGAGCCCCTAAAAGAAAGAGGAGGGCAGAAAAATATTTGAAGAAATAAGAACCAAATTTTTTTAAATGTGATTAAAACCCACAGATCCAAGAGCCCCAAGGATGCCAAACACAGGAAAGATGATGAAAATCGCAGCAAAGTATGTCATAAGCACCCCCCTCTCATTCCCACAGGTGCTTGGCAGAGGAGAGGAAAAGCAGCCTCCCCTGGAGAGCCTCAAGAAAAGCCTCGTAGGGTCTGCCAGGCTTCAGCTGTGGCAGGAGGTAGAGACGGGTAGGCCGGGTGGTTGGAATCGTGAGTCAGAGGGCATTATGAGAAGGGTTTGACAGAGGACTGAGGTTGAGAGAAATGGGGTCCGTGGCTCATTGTAGCTGGCTATGCATTTTCCTGGGAGATTTACTAGCTCTTTAGTTTTCCAAAGATTATTCCTATTGTTCGCAAGGGGACTTTATTTGTTCAGGACAACACATTTCTTCTGGTAATGCTCCTTGTAACCATGTGTATCACATGGGAGTCATCATTTTCCACAAACCCCATATCCTCAGTCTCTGTGACTAGAACAGAATGAAGTACTGGTACAAGCTCCGCCAGCCCTAGCCTTTCCCCAGGAGTTTCGCCCTTGGGAGCAGAGGGGCGAGGGGCGAATGCAATCCCTTGCCAGTGGCAAAGCAGAAGATGTTTGCCTACAGGTTGCTGGTGGTCACATTGCCTCATTTACGAAGAAAGCTCACCAGGAGAGAGTACAGGCAATAGAGGGAGGCCCGATGGCCTCCCTCTATTCCAGTCACTTTCGGTCACCCCTGAGACCCTCTGCACTCTGGCCCCTTCCTATGTTTTGGTTATGTGAACCACTAAATCCATTTGCACTAACTTCCCCTGAGTTAGTGCAACCAGTATGTTGAGCATGCAGGAAATGTCAAGGATCATCACAGACATCTTCATTTTGTCTCCTACTGTTCCCTTAAAATGTTTTCATGTCTTCAATACATCTGAAGTAATAAAAATTCCATGGTCACAGTGAGTTGCCATTTCCAAACTTAGAGTGCCCCATCTTGTGTAACAGTCACAGCTTTCAACTCACAGTGCCGGCAGGTGCCTGGTGGGGAAAGGGCATGCCCTGCCTGTCTTTCCTCTTCCCTCCTCTCCCAGCTACTAGCTGCTGCCTCTGACCTCTCCGTGATTGCTGTTGGAGGGAGAGAGAATGAGCAGTAGAGACCTAGAGTGTTTGCACTCTCTGGACCTGACAAATAGTTAAAGCTGACTCTGGTGGGGTGCTTTTGTGAGTGTTCTGATGACCCCTTTCCATTTTAGGGGCCTCTTCTCTGCGGTTCCCCCAGTATGGGTAATGCCCATGCCACTGCCTTGCTCCTCACTTCTGCAGCTCCTGGAAATCCCAGCATCTACCTGTTGCTTCTGTTGGCCGAGGGCCTGTCAACCCTCCAGGCAGATCTTCTGGAAAGGACCTGAAACGAGCCCACAACAGCTCCTTCATGCATTAGTTTTTGCCACAGATTCTGGGAGTGCAGGCCAGTCCCCATGCAGTGTTCTCCTGCAGCCAGCCCGCCCATTGCCCATTGTGTCCTCTAGACTTGTTGGGTAGGAGGTGGGCCCCAGGCAACCCACTGTGTTCTCCAAACCTTAAGGACGTGTTAGGCATCCTTCAGAGGCTGGAGTGAGAGACAGGTACCCATCCTGCCCTGTTCATAACACAGCTCCCCACAAAGACGTTTTTTGAAATCCTCTTTCCCTTCATCTCTAGCAACCGATTGCTATTTATATTTGATGTAGGGAAGGCCTTTAGAATTACGTGATAAGTATTAAGAGATTTCCTTTGAAAATCCGCATCTTAGTCTAGCACTTCACTGTGGTGTCTGAAATGTATCACCTTATAGACCCGGCTAAAATTTTCTTTCTAGCATCCTGTTACACTAATTTGATTTGGACTTGAGACTGCTGTGACCAAATAATCCCGATAACAGTCAACAAATATTTATTGAGCATCTACTGTGAGCAGCCACAGCCCTCATGAGCTGTCAGTCCACATAATCTTTACATTTTTCTTGAATCCATTTGCCAATGTTTATAAACTTAGAAATTTTACCTTAAAAATCCAGATTCCTGGCTTGAAAAAAATCTGAAGATGTGGTAATGCGGGGCCTGCGTTGCTGCCTGGCACAGTTAGCAGGAGCTGGTGGGAGCCGCCCTTCAGCAGGGCACACACTCTCCAGATGGACTCAGTTCCCTCTGGGCTCTGACGCTAGAGCCAAGGGCGAGCTGTCATTTATCATCAGTGGGTTCACAATTACCTTTTCTTAAATTATTCTGGTACTCATGTCTCTTTTCTGAGGGCTGTGGGGATACAGTGACTCTTCACCGTGTTGCCCAGGCTAGGGTGCAGTGGCGTGATCACAGCTCACTGCAGCCTCGATCTCCCAGGCTCACGCCATCCTCCTACCTCAGCCTCTGGAGTAGCTGGGACTACAGGTGTGCAACAACATGCTCAGCTAATTTTTTAAAAGTTTTTTGAATAGATGAGGGCTCATTATGCTACCGAGGCTTATCTCAAACTCCTAAGCTCAAACAACTCTCCCAGCTTGGTCTCCCAAAGTGCTGGGATTACAGGTGTGAGGCACTGTGTCCTGCCCTCATGTCTCTTAATGAAAGAGAGAAAACAATAGATAGACCAAGAGAGACGTGAAGGGACAGACTTGCTTTAGAAATGCAGAGTTCTTAGAAATTTAATATGCAGTGTGTGCGTGTGTGTGTGTGTGTGAAACAAAACAAAACTTAAGATGCCATTGACAAATAATAAACCACAGATATAATTATTTTTACTATACAGAAAATATATGGGAGGAAAAACAGTGAATTGAAAAGAAAAGACATTGCAACAGGATTTGTTTTTTAATGCAACTAAAATGAGTAGTGTGAGCCGCTGTATAAGAGTATTACATTCTCCTACTTCCCTCATTTGTGTTATGCTCTTGCTTGGCCCCTGACATTTGAGTTTGCAACCATGAGGGAAACATTCTCTGGCCTCTCTGGAAGGAATCCGCCTAAGTATGGATTAATTGTCTAAGGGAGTCTTAGCTCAGGTCTGAGGAGCACGGCATGAGAGTTCCCCCAGGGTTTTCACCATACAGGGAAAAAGTAACAGGTATTTGGCAAGCTGAGGCTTCCTTTTTATGGAATGGTAAGATAGGATTGTTGAGAGGGCACTTAACTTTGACACTAACTCTTTGCAAATTGTATTTTTCGTTTTATTTTATATTTAAGCCTTTTTTTGTTTTTCTTACCAATGTTTGTAAGTTCTTGATATGTTAAGGCAAGTCTTTCATCCATTCGCCTGCGTTAGAGCAAAACCAGAATTATTTTGAGGAAAGACTTTCACTTGCTCAAGGCCATTCTCTTGGGAGGCAAGCCTTACATTGAGTTGTGTGTCCTAGTTGATATCTTCAATTTTAAGAAGAGGATTTATTCTCTCTTCACAGCTCAGATGATTTTGAAAGCAATGAGTCTGGCCTTAATTGGCCTTGCAGAACGACTCCTGGGAGGTACTTGTCAGCATGTGTGACTTCCCTCTTTTTGCTGTTCACTGCTTATTAAAGCCTGAGTTCCTCGAAAGCTTTGCTGCCTGGCCTTTTCCATCCAGTATTTTGGTCTTGGTATTCTGTTTTATCCTCAGATTGAGCCAGGCCAGCTAAGAACTGCATTCATAGGCCACTTTATTTTTTGGCTAGACACACACACACACACACACACACACACACACACGCACACACGCACACACACACACACACACACACACACACACTGCAACTATGGAGCAGAGCCATAAGAAATAATCCCATGACACTTCATATCATTTTCCTTATACAAATGTTTTTGAGGACACAGGAAATTTCCCTCAAGTCTTAGTATCAAGAATAGCTGTGATTCTCCTGGTTTATTTTCTGGATACTGCTGAACCATGAAATCAGTGCTTTGCGCTTAGTTTTAGCTATGGAAAATCTTGGGGACAGATCTGTAATCTTCCTCCAGCAAGCACACAGAGCCCTAAGATATTCACTTTTGCTCTTTTCCTTACCCCACCTGCATTTTCCTATGTTTATGTCCACTTTGGCCCCCAGATTTCTTTGTACTCCATACAATTTTATAGAACTGCTTCAACCTCATTTTAGAATGAAGCAAGATGCAAAGAACTTAAATAAATTACAATACTGATTGATCACTTGTTAGAAGCATCAATTTATCTTTAAATTTTATTGTAAACTTGCTATTCTTTATGTAATCTGATCTACTGGTTCTTTATGATGACCATGAAGAGAATTGGCATGGATTTGGGGACCCGTTGGCTGCCACATCCTCACCCCATGGCTAAGGTGGCTGATTCAGCAAATGCTGTGTTTAGAGCTTAGAGGAAGCAGATACTGCATCTGAGCCTCTTGCTTTTCCAGGTTCCAGTTTCATGGTTTACTAAATTTCAGTTCCAATTACCACATTTATACAGGAAGGAAGACAGTTGTATACCAACATAGGACTGGCTGCCCTAGAATGCATAGGAAATACCTGGCATTGAACTTGGTCCATCACAAAACAGGTGTTCAGCTGGTGTTTTGTGGTTTATGTATTTAGTTACGTTCTTTGAAGCAGTTGAATTGTGTTCTTTTCCAAGGGTGGTCTGTCCCTGTGGTCTAGGTCTGGGGGATGCAATATGCTAGTATCATCAGTGACTTGACTTCAGTGACATTTTCTGCTTTTCTTTTTCAGAGTATGATCGGTTGGGCTTCCTCCTGAATCTGGACTCTAAACTGTGAGTAGAATGAGAAGATACCTTGGCTCTGTGGCAGAGAGGTCTGTGAGAGCTGGGTCTCACTTTGAAGGGTCAGCTCTCATCACTCTTCTGGTGACTGGGGGACTCCCTGGGGCCTCTGTCCTCAGGCTGTCAGCAGAATCTTGGGGCATGTTACAGTCTGCAGCGGCCAGAGAGGGTGGGATGATGGGTGCAAACATAAGGCCTTCGATTTGGCTGGCACAGGCAGCTCATTATAGAAGGAGGCCACTGCCAGGAGTTTGAAGGACTAGGAGTCTCCTGGAAAGGCTTCTCCTGCAGGGTAGAGGACAGTTGAGTCACAGCAGGAGGTAGGGGCCTCTCAAAGATGCTCTGGCACCTGACATGCACAGCCTTCTGTGATCACTCCCTGTCTTACTCTCCAGTTTCAACTCCTGCCACTCTTGCCACAGATGAACACTCCTTTTCCCTCTACCTTTGCATGTGCTTGTTATCTGTGCCTGAAATTTTCTTTCCTTGCTAGCCCACTTGGAAAACTAAAAAAACTACTTCCTCCCCACACAAAGTTGTCTCTTCCTCTGTGCTTCCTTTAAATTTTCTACCTCTGTTACAGTTATCTCACTATACTGTAATTGCATAATAATTACTAATTTTTTAAGGGCACAGGCTCAGAGCTAGGCCTAGTAGATAGCTTGGTTCAAATCCCAGACTGACCTTTATTCTCTTTATGATTTGGGTCAAGCTACTTAACCACTCTGAGCCTCAGTTTCATCTGTAAGATGATGACAATAAACTTATTTCACAGAGTTTTTGTAAGAATTTAATTGAAATTATTAATTCATAGAGGACTGTCAAGTATTGAGTATCTAATCCTTCCAGGATCCTTCCCTACTAGGCTTCTTGGTCTCTCTAGCACCTAGACAGTATTGGCGTATGTTTGTCAGGTGCCCGTTAAACACTGAATGCTTGGTTGGATGGATGGATGGATGGATGGATGGATGGATGGATGGATGGATGGATGATGGTAGGATGACTGCGTACTTTCCTATTTGACAAGCATGCCTTGAGTTGCAGCTCTCTCTACTCTGTGTGTTCATGTCCCTGCAAGCCTGCTCACATGGCCGATGCTCAATAAATCCTTGCAGAACCACCTTACTACCTACTGTGATTCCTTTCTATTGTTAGTCATCTTTGTGCACCTGTGTCCCCTGCCCTGTACCAGGCGGACATCATGAAGGATCAGAATTGTGTCTCTTTCCTTTTCTGTCTTGCATAAGACCTTTTCCACAGTTGACTCTGATGACGATGGCCACACCTACGTACAAGACATCAAACCAGGGGCTGGTTGGTTTTCCCACTGAATGGTCTGGCGTCTGGCTTCTTGGCTCTGGTGCCTCATACTATGAGTTCAGGCATTGTAAATCTCCCAACTTTTACACATTATGAAGGCAACTATGAAGGAAAAAGTGTGTGTTCTGTATACCAGGCTAGTAGAGAGATGTCAGCCTCATGTTAACATCTAGGGAATGGGGTATTTGATTGTGGTAGAAAGCCATAGGCTTCACTCTTAGAAAATCCTTAATTTAGTACTCTGGAAAAAAACAAATCAAGTATAAGCCGTAAGCAAGTGAAATGCCACCAGAACGGAAGAGATAGAGTAATTACCAAGTTGAATCACACTGATGAACAAAAGGCATGTTCTCTAGGACATACTACAGTATTTAAACTGTCTTCAGCAGTGAAAGGAGGAGGATGAGGAGGACGCTCATCTCCTGCTGTCCTGACAGTTGGGTCCTGCAGAGTAGGCTGTTGTGTAGCTTTCTGTTGTGTATCAGGCCAGTTCTTTGAACTATGTGAGTTAACTTGGTCTTTAGCACAGTAAATTGGCTTGGCCTCATTTGATTTAACTCACAATCTAAGGTACAAGCTAGAACTGTCCTGCCTCTAGCTGCAAAGGTTTTTCTAGTCCAGTGCTGTCTTCAGAAGTCCAGTGCTGTCTCTCCTGTCTCACAGATACCTGAGAAAGGTTTCCACCTACTTCCAGAGAGAAGTTTCCAAGTTAAGGATTCTGCTTTTGGTGGGGGCAGTTCCTCAGCAAAGTTGAGATCTCCCCTTACCAAGTCCCTCTCTAGTTGTGTTATATTCTATTTCTGAGGTATAGGAAAGGACCTGAACTTGAATCAGAACTTGATTTGAATTCTGTCTGCTGCATAGTATTACATGACCTTAGATAATTATTATATTTTAGCTTTCTGAATCCCAATTTTCCTTTATGAAAAAATGTGGATAATAGCACTCCCTTCCTATGGTTTTATGAAAAATAAAAGCGTTCCATAAAGTATGAATAAATATGCCAATGTAAGGCTTTCTTTTTATTTATCTTGATTGGGATTCATTTAGCTTGCTGCTTCTTCTTCTTCCTTCTTCCTTCTTCCTTCTTCTTCTTCTTCCTTCTTCTCCTTCTTCTCCTTCTTCTTCTCCTCCTTTTTCTCCTTCTTCTCCTCCTTCTCCTTCTTCTCCTTCTTCCTTCTCCTTCTTCTTTCTTCTTTCTTCTTCTCCTTCTCCTTGTTCTTCTTCTCCTTCTCCTCCTTTTTCCTTCTTCTTCATTCTTCTTCCTTCTTCTCCTTCTCCTTCTTCTTCTTCTCCTTCTTCCTTCTTCTTCTCCTTCTCCTCCTTCTCCTCCTCCCTTCTCCTTCTCCTCCTTCTCCTCCTCCCTTCTCCTCCTCCTTCTCCTCCTCCTCCTTCTCCTTCTTCTCCTTCTTCCTTCTCCTTCCTTCTTCTTCTCCTTCTTCCTTCTCCTTCTCCTCCTTCTCCTCCTCCCCCTCCTCCTCCTTCTTCCTCCTCTTCTTCCTCTTCTTCTTCTCCTCCTTCTTCTCCTCCTCCTTCTCCTCCTCCTTCTCCTCCTCCTTCTCTTCCTTCCTCCTTCTTCTTCTCCTTCTCCTCCTCCTCCTCTTCCTCCTCCTCCTCCTCCTTCTTTCTTCTTTCTTTTTTCTTCTTCTTTTGGTACAGACAGGCTCTTGCTATGTTGCCCAGGCTGGTCTTGAACTCCTGGGCTCAAGTGATCCTCCTGCCTCAGCCTCCTAAAGTGTTAGGATTACAGCTGTAAGCCACAGTATCTGGCCTCATTTAGATTCTTGGGTATATAAATTTCATATGTTTTGGAAAAATTTTCAGCCATTATCTCTTTAAATATTCCCTCTGCCCCACTCTCTCTCTACGCCTCTTCTGAAATTCTGGTTAAATTTTAGACCTTCTCATTATATTAACTTATTTTCCATATTTTTTATCTTTTAATCACTTTCACATTAACTGGAACCCCAAAGGGCTCAGCATAAGGATAAACTAGAACTATTAATAAACCTACACCCCCAAAGCAGGCTGCAAGAACAATTACCAAAGTGCTGAGTATGTCATGGCAGTAGAACAAAAACACTTAGTATTTGTTGCCAGAGTTCTCATCACTCAGGTGATCCAGGGAACCTCAAACCATGAGTTCAGTTTAAGGTATTCCAGACTGGCAGTGCCTCCAAGCACCTGGCAGAAATAAATGCAGACTTTCCATAGAGGAAGACATACACATTCCTCACAAATAACTTTTCAAGGAAATGAGCAGCTCACAGTAAAAAATAACTAAACACACAAGGAAACAAGCTTCTGTTGAAGCTTGTTCTCATGGTTTTATGAGAACCATGTAAAACAACTGGTAACAGAGGAGTACTCACAAAGATTTCTGAAATTGGAATTACCACACATCATTTATAAAGCAATTAAATATACTGTATTTAAAGAAATAAGAGACAGTACTGAACTATATGCATAGAATAGGGAACTATGAAAAACAAAATACCAGATCTGAAAAAAACAATGAACTTCTAGAGTTAAAAAATACAATGATCAAAATTAAAAACTCAATAAAAGGGGTTAGCAGCAGATTAGATACAACTGAAGATAGAGTTAGTGAACTTGAAGGTAAGACATAAGAAATTATTTATAAAAGGGGTTGGCGAACTCTTTTGGCAAAGGGCCAAATGGTAAATATTTTAGGATTTGGGGCCTTATTTTTTCTGTCACAGCTACTCAGCTTTGCTGTTTTAACATGAAAGCATCCATATATAGTACATAGATGAATGAGTATGGCTGTATTTCAATAAAACTTTATTTATGGACCCTGAAATTTTAATTTTATATGTATTCTTTTTAGACGGAGTTTCATTCTTGTTGCCCAGGCTGGAGTGTAATGGTGCAATCTTGTCTCACTGCAACCTCCGCCTCCCCGGTTCAAGCGATTCTCCTGCCTCAGCCTCCCGAGTAGCTGGGATTACAGGCATGTGCCACCACACCTGGCTAATTTTGTATATTTAGTAGAGCTGGGGTTTTTCCATGTTGGTCAGGCTTGTCTCAAGCTCCTGACCTTGGGTGATCCACCCGCCTTGGCCTCCCAAAGTGCTGGAATTATAGGCGTGAGCCACCGTGCCCGGCAATTTTATATAATTTTTATGTGTCATAAAATATGCTCTTTGATTTTTTCCCCCATCTATTAAAAATGTAAAAGACATTCTTAACTTGCAGGCCATATAAAAAAAACAGGTGAAAGGTTGGCTTTGGCCCACAAGTGTAGTTGACTCACCCTTAATTGAGAATGCAACACAGCTATATCTTGAGAATTATCTCCTCGCTCCAGATGTTTTCTATTCTTGGAACCCTATTGCATAGAAATACTCCTTTAAAAAAATGGATTCTGGGGTAAATGTGCAGGCTTGTTACATGGGTTTATGGTGTGATGCTGAGGTTTGGAGTACAGATGGTCCCATTACCCAGGTAGTGAGCATAGTACTCAACAGGTAGTTTTTCAGCCCACTCCCCACTCCCCCCTCTAGTAGTACCCAGTATCTGTTCTTATTTTTATGTCCATGTGTATTCAGTATTTAGCTCCCATTTATAAGTGAGAACATGTGATATTTCGTTTTCTGTTCTGTGTTAATTTGTTTAGGGTAATGACTTACAGCTGCATCTATCAACATCATTTTTCATAGAAGTAGAGAAAACCATTCTAAAATGTATACGAAACCAAAAAAGAGGCAGAATAGCCAAAGCAATTCTAAGCAAAAAGAACAGAGCTGGAGGTATCACATTACTAGACTTCAAACTCTACTATAAGGATATAGTAACTAAACATGATACTGCTACAAAAACAGACACATAGACCAATGGAACATAATAGAGAACCCAGAAATAAAGCCACACAGCTACAACCATCTGATCTTCAACAAAGCCTACAAAAATAAGCAATAGGGAATGGACTCCCTATTCAATAAATGGTGTTGGGATAACTGGCTAACCATATGCAGAAGAATGAAACTGAACCCCTACATTTTACCATATATAAAAATTAAGATGGATTAAAGATTTAAATGTAAGACCTCAAACTATAAAAATCCTAACAGAAAACCTAGGACATACCCTTCTCATCATTGGCTTTGGCAAAGAATTTATGGCTAAGTCACCAAAAGCAACTGCAACAAGAACAAAAATTGACAAGTGAGACCTAATCAAAATAAAGAGCTTTTGCACAGCAAAAGAAACTATCAACAGAGTACACAGACAGCCTACAGAATGGGAGAAATACTCCTAAAATACCTTATGTCTAGTGATATTCCAAAAGCCTGGAAATAGACATTTTAGATTTTTTTTCTTCACTGTATTTGTTTAATTATGTCTTTCTGGAATAGAGTGGCTTATATTTTCTTTTAGAATTCCCTGCTGCTTGTATCTACATGACAAAATCACTTGTTAGTGCTGAGAACATTATTCAGAATACTGATGTGCAAAACCTTGTCTTTTTACTACAAGATCTGTTGTTGAAGAAGGCAGAACTTTTTGTTGGTTAAAAATGTGAGCTATGGAGTCAGACATGGATTTTTGAGGCCCAGTTCCACATCTTACTAGCTCTAATCTGGAGTGAGTTATTAAACTACTAAGTCTCAGTTAAAGTGGTGACAATAGTAATACCAAGGATGAGAGTTAGCCCTTATCAGTGTCTGGTAAACTAGCAGGGATATAGCCCAAAAATGAGACCCGGACTTCAGCTTGCCTCCTGCTCCATACCCCAGATTTCATTTCTTTACTCTTTCATTTAGCAGATGTTTCTTGAGCACCAGCTATGTGTTTTCTAGTTGGAATAAACGGAAAATTCTAAGACATAGACACAGCCTTATAAGCTTGATTGGAAAGGCTATCCTGCGAGCTGAAGTCTTAGTGAATGGGGAGGAAGCGAATGAGAACAGGAAGGGAGGGTAAAGGGTAGTATTGCTGGATAGCATGAGCAACAGACAAGTTTTTGGTTGTTTGTTTTTTTATAATAAGCATGACATATTGGTGATTTGGAAGCATTAATGGAGTACAAAAAGGATAACCAGGGATCCCAAGGTCCATGAAGTATAGATGAAAGAGCAGCCTCCTTTGCAGAGGGCTGTAAAAATGGCGTTTTCCCGAGAGACCCAGGTTTCTATGAAAGCAAAAATGGAAGGAACATTCACCGAAGAGTTTGAGGATATAAAGGAACACAGTTTTATGCCACATAATTGAAAGTTAGAATGTGGACCGTGCCAGGGGAGAAGTAGGAAATTGGACCAAGAAGAAGCAGAGAGCAGTGACTTGAGGATAAGAAAACTGAGAAGAATATGGTTTGGAGAGAAACAGGAATAACTAGAATGTGAGACTGGTGAGTTGGTGACATTGCCAGCCTTGTGGTTGCCTGAGAATTGACCCCGTCTTCCCCAGGGGTTGGGCACTCAGGCTGCTACGTGCAGGCAGCCACAACCTGATTTAAGGATACCTCCAAGGAGGCACATCTGCTCTCTGAAAGGGGTCTACTGTGGTCTGGCTCAAAGTTGAGGGCCTCGAAAAGTCTCAGGGGTAAAGGCTCTTGCCCCGACAACAAAGTGGATACTCCCTCATTCAGTTAACAGATTTGTTGAGCAACTAATATGTATCAGGCAATATTCTGTGGTCTGAGGATATACCAGTGAACAAGACAATCAATAAACAAAAATTATTATAAATAAAGTTTTTAGGATTTTGGAAGGTGATAAGTGCTGTGAAAGAAAATAGAGCAAGACAAGGGAATGCTGTTGAAGAGATTGCAAGTTGCAATGGGACAGTCAAAGTAGAATTCATTGAGAAGGTGACATTTGAGGAAAGAGTCAAAGGAAGAGAGGCAGAGCATTCCAGGAAGAACCCTAAGGAAATCTCAGTCTCCATTATAAGGAATATGACACAACGAGCCAGGAATGTGCCCATTAGTCCAGGAGAGAGATGAGTCATCTGGATTCCTTGAAGGAGCCAGATCCTGGTGTCCAAGTGTGACTTTCCTGAGCCGACGTGGGCCTTCTGGGAGCAGATTTAATTAAATGGAAGTTTCATCTATTTCTGCTGGGTGTGGGCAGGTGCTCTGTGCTCTGGGAAAGCTCCTGTCTGCTGCCACAGTGTGGTGTTTTACAGTTGCCATGTGGGCAAGAGCATGGGGACTTTAATGCTCAGTCTAATTTCATAAGGAATTCCATGTGAAGACACAAAAATATGAAAATGAAAGCAAACAACTCTTAACCCCCAGAGCCTTGTGAAAAACCAGGTCATTTGTAATAGTGTATAAACATGGAGCAGTCTAAATATAGCCTGAGGTGAGTTTAACACTTCTAAAACAGCCTGTCAAGTTCCCTAGGGCTGCAAGGGGAAAGCATTTATTGAGCACCTACTATATGCCCAGTGGTGCACTAGGTACTTTCTATGTTACCTGTTCCCACAACATTTGCTTAGATAATCTAATCCGGTATCATGGCTTTAAATATCATCTATATGCTGATGACTCCTATATTTATATCAAGCCCAGTTCTCTTTCCCCACACTCCAGACTCATTTACCCAATTGCTTCCTTCATTTGGATATGTATTAGGCATCTCACACTTAACATGTCCAGAACCAAACTCCAGATTCACACCCCTGCCTCCCAGAATCTTTTCTACCCCAGGAAATGGCAGCTAACTACATCCTTCCAATTGCTCACATCAAATACTGTAGCATCATTTCTTTGACACTCAAATCTGATATCAGCAAACCTTATTAGCTTTACCTTAATATCCTCAGATCCAGCCACTTCTCACTACCTCTGTATCATCACTCTGTCCAAACCACCATCTCTCACCTAATTTTTGCACTCCTAACTAGTCTTCCAGATTTTATGCTTGCTTCTCTGTGGTCTATTTCCACACTGAAGCCAAAGTGATCCCATTAAAATACAAGATAGATCTTGTTACTCCTGTGATCAGAACTCCCCAATGGCTCCCCATTTCTTGTAGAATGAGAGCCAGAACCTTTATAGTGCTCATCAAGGCCCTACATGGTCCACACCTTCGTTTCTTGTTGCTCTCCTTCTTGTTTATTGTTTTATCCTGCGCTCCTTGCTGTGATTCGGATATTCCAGACCTGTTCCCGCCTCAGACTCTTGGCATTTGCTCATTCCCTTGTCTGGAACACTCTTCCCCAGATACCTGAAGAGATTGCGCACTCTCTTGCCTTTTTAGAACATAGTTCAAATGTCACCTTCTTAATAAAGTCTCCTTTGCCCATCCCATTTAAAATCATAGCCCCATCCCCTATTGGCGTTCCCTGTTCCCCTTTACTGTGTCATTTTCTCCAGGGTATCTATCACTCTCGGATGCCACATATGTTTTATTTACTTGTTTATTGTCTGTCTCCATCTACTAGAGTGTTTCTTCTGTTTTGTTCCCTACTATTTTCTAACACCAAAACCAGTATCTACTGTATTACTTAGTGATCAATTAATAAATATTTGTTGCATGGATAAATGGTGGACAACTCTGTGAAGTAGATGGTATTTAAATGCATTTTAACAAATGTGAAAATGATATAGAAGGGATAAGTAATTTGCTTATGTTCACAGAACTAAATGTGATCAAGCCAGTCTTTGAACCCTTCTCTGCCTGGCTCCAAACTTTTTTACTTTTCTCACTATTCAACTTAGCTTTCTGTTTTTTCCAAATTCACAGTCAGTTTTATCCTATGTTTTAACTATACCGAAAGCTTTGTAAGGGCAAGAACTAGGAATGTTCTGCTCACAGATATATTCACAATGCCTAGTATAGTGTTTATGTGCATAGTAAATATTCAGTAAATATTTGTTCAATCAATCGAGGACAGAAGGAAGAGGGTATGAGTAAGAAAGAATAGAGCCACCTTTAATAACAAAATCCAGATCTTTCAAATATTGTTATTAGAAGATTTTTAGGGAGACGGAGTACAGTGGTGAGGACTGTCAGGTGGCCCCTTCCTTTATCTAACCCTGACTTTCCCCATCTCCTGGAGAGACTGTCACTTGAAGAACTTCTGCCACCATCATGCTGACTTCAGATGGCCAGCTTCTCTTTAATGCCTTAAAAAAAAAAAAAAGAGGAAAGGGGTGTGTGTGTGGTGGGAGGGATACTTTCTCTTGGCTTCTCTAAGCAAAGCTAAAAATATTTCACTAAAGATTAAAAGAGGACAACAGAGAAATTAACCTTGAGAGGACAAGAAATCCAGAGGAGTAGTCTGGTTTCCAAAATGCAGAATTCTGTCTCTTCTATAGCTAGCACAAGCCAGGGCCATACTTACTTCACAACAGGAGAGCATAGCATTGCAGGATTTGGCTAGGTTCTTTGCTTCATGACATCTAGCATTTTTCACAGCCCACTGTTCAAAGACTTTCTCCTAGACATCTTGAGCTATGTGATCAAGACTGAAAAAGCCAAATTCCCACTTTGCAGCTCACCGAGGACTCTCTGCACGGTGGTTTTTGGCCTTGACTGCATATTGGAATCACCTGGAGAGCCTAAAAAATTACTGATGCCTGCATCCCACCCTCTAGAGATTTTGAAGTCACTGAGCGAGGACACAGCCTTTGCATTAGGATTTTTAAAGCTGCCCAGGTGAGTCTAATATGCAGCCAAATTGAGAACCACTGCTTTAATAAAAGATTCTGTTTCCTGTCTCAGGAAGTCTCCACTTCCCCAGGTAATTGATACCAAGAATAAATCTGCCTGTACATAGGAGTATGTCTATGTGTGATGATTCATAACTAAGACCTCACTACCCAGAGATTCTGATTTAGTTGGTCAGGAATTGGGCTCAGGTACCTTTATGTTTAAACATTCTCCCAGATTATTCTAATATGTCAGGGTCAAGAACCATGAAGCAACCTCAGGCCTGTCACTATATCATATCTGAATATAATATAACAACTACTGCAGAATATCATAACAATTATGTTAGGGTAGTGGAATTGCGGCTACTTTCTTTTGATTCTAAATATTGTTTTTATTACACCTTTACAATGAAAAAATATATTTGGATGTTTCTGTAATTTTTTCGAACTTTCATTATGGGCTATAGATCTCTAGACACTATTTTTGGAAATCCATTTTATATTAGTTTTTGGTTACCAATTTTTTCTCTAGTTTTTCTTAATGGTCTTTTAAAATCTCAGCCAATTGAAGAACTTCCTATACATTATATTGACTAATTTATCTCTTCCTTATCTATAATTGAAATAAATGTATGTGTAAAGATGTAAGATTTGTCTTTTCTATGCTGCCAAACTCCAGGAGACCTGAGGGTGGAACTTGAGAAGTCTGGAGGAATGGGCAGAGACCAAATTATGTGGGGTTTTAGAGATAACAAGGAGAAATATGGGCTTCATCTCAAGGGCAAAAGATGCCTTGAAGGGTTTTAAGCAGATGAGTAGTGACATAATCAGTTTTGACCCTTAGGAAAATGTTTTTGGCCGCAGGAAGGAAATTTGATTAGAGAGGGACAAGAATGGAAGGGGAGAGGGTACTTAGGAGGCTATAATAGAAGTACAGAGTAGAAATCAACAGAGAAAATCAACAAAACAAAAGCTGGTTCTTTGCAAATATCTATAAAATTGATAAACCTAGAGCCAAAAATAGAGAAAGAGAAGATATAAATTACTAATATCAGAAGTGAACATACTAATCCATAGATATTAAAAAGAATAATGGGCCGGGTGAGGTAGTTCATGCCTATAGTCCCAGCACTTTGGAAGGCTGAGGCAGGAGGATCGCTTGAGCCCAGGAACTTGAGACCAGCCTGGGCAACATAGGGAGACCTCGTCTCTTCAAAAAAAAAAACAAAATTAGCCGGTTGTGCTGGTAATCCCGTCTACTTAGTAGGTTGAGATGGGAGGATCACTTGAGCCCGAGAGGTCAAGGCTTCAGTGAGCTGTGATCACACCACTGCACTCCAGCCTGGGCGACAGAGTGAGACCCTGTCTCAAAACAAAAGAAAAAGGATAATAAAAGAACATTGTGAACAACTCTGTACTCACAAATCTGATAACTTAGATGAAATGGACTGATTCCTTGAAAGACACAAACCACCCAAACTGACACAAGGAGAAAAAGACCATCTGAATAAATCTGTATCTACTAAAGAAATTAAATCACTAATTAATAACTTTCCAAAGCAGAAACAACAGTCTCAGATGGTTTCACTGGTGGATTCTATCAAAATTTAAGGGAAAAAATGATACCAAATGATACCAGTTCTCTACAATGTCTTCCAGAAAATCAAAGCAGAAAGAACGCTTTCTAACTCATTCTATGCGTCCAACATTACTCTAGACATTACCCTATTACCCAAATAAAGATATTATAAGAAAGGAAAACTACGGACCAATATCTCTCATGAACATGCTCCAGAAATCCTCAACAAAATTATTAGCAAATTGAGTTCAGCAATGTATAAAAAGAATTACATGTTGCTGCCAAGTGGGATTTATTCCAGGTATGCAAGGCTGGTTCAGCTTCAAAAATCAATTAATGCATATTCTGTTACATCAACAGGCTAAAGAAGAAAAATCATATAATCATATCCATAGATGTAAAAAAACCATTTGATACAATCCAATACCTATTCATGATTTTTAAAAAAACTATCAGCAAACTATGAGTAGAGGGGAACTTCTTCAATTTGATCAAAAAACCTATAGCTAACATCTTGCTTAATGAGACACTGGATTCTTTTCCCCTAAGATTGAGATAAAACCAAGGATGTCCCCCCTCTCACCACTCCTGTTCAACATTATACTAAAGTCTTCACTAACACAGTAAGACAAGAAAAGGAAATAAAAGGCATACAGATTGGGAAGGGAGAAATAAAACTGTGTTCACAGATGACATGATTGTCTATGTAGAAAATCCCAAAGATTGGCAAAAACATTCTGGAACTAATAAGCAATTAAGGCAAGTTTTCAGGCTGTAAGGTTAATACACAAAAGGCAATTGCTTTTCTATATACCAGCAAGAAGCAATTGGAATTTAAAATTTAAAACACGGTGTCATTTACATTAGTGCCAAAAAAAAAGGGAAATACTTAGGGATAAATCTGATAAAATATGTGTAAATGTGTTTGTGCATAGATCCATATATGAATGAGGAAAACTACAAAACTCTAATGAAAGAAATCAAAGAAATCTAGATAAATGGATATTCCACATTTTGATAGAAGGACTCAGTATTGGGTTTTGGGGGTTTTGGGGTTTTTTTTGAAACAGGGTTGCCCAGGCTGGAGTGTAGCGGTGCAACCACGGCTCACTGCTGTCTCGACCTCCCAGGCTCAAGTGATCCTCCTACCTCAGCCTCTCAAGTAGCTGGGACTACAGGCGTGCGCTACCACACACAGCTAATTTTTTTTTTATGTTTTTTATTTTGTAGAGTCAGGGTCCGCTATGTTGCTGGGGCTGGTGTCAAACTCCTGGGATCAAGCAGTCCTCCTGCTTTGGCCTCCCAAAGTGCTAGGATTACAGGTGTGAGCCACTGTGCCCAGCCTCAGTATTGTTAAGATGTCAATTCTCTACTTGATCTATAAATTCAATGTAATCAGAATCAAAATTGCAGCAAGTCATTTTTCGAATATCAACAACTTACGTTAAAATTTATATGGAAAGGCAGAAGACCCAGAATCTACTGATGAAGAAGAAGAAAGTTGGAAGATTGACAGTACCTGACTCCAGACCTACAATAAAGCTATCAAGATACAATCAAGATAGCGTAGTATTGGCAAAAGAATAGACAAATAGATCAATAGAATAGGATAGAGATCCCATAAATTGACCCACACAAATATAGTCTGTTGATCTCTGACAAAGGAACAAAGGCAATTCAATGGAAAAAGGATAATTTTTTCAATAAATGATACTGGAATAATTAGATATCTGTATGTACAAATTAATCATTCACCTTGTACCTTTCACAAAAATTAACTCAAAATGGAACCTAAATAGACTAAATGCAAAACCTGAAACTATAATAAACTTCTGGAAGGTAACATAGAAAATTTATGTGATTTTGGGTTTGGTAATGAGTTTTTAGATATAAAACCAAAAGCAAAATTCAGAAAAGAAAAATCAGTACGTTGATTTTATTAAACTCCAAAACTTGTACTCTGTGAAGTTCACTGTTAAGTGAATGAAAAAACAAGCCACAAACTGGGGAAAAAATTGCAAACACATACCTGATTAAGGACTTGTATTCAGAATATACAAAGAACTCTTAAAACTCAACATTAAGAAAACAACCAACCCAATTAAAAAAATGGGCAAAAGAACCAAAAAGACACCCTTTCCAGATGGTCAAAAAAGATATGCAGATGGAAATAAGCATATGAAAAGATGTTTGCATTATATGTCATTAAGGAAATGCAAATTAAAACAACAGTGAAATACTATCACACCTATTAGAATGACTAAAAAAAAACCAAAAAACCTGACAGTCTCAAATGCTGACAAGGATGTGGAGCAGTAGGAACGCTCATTCACTGCTGGTGGGAATGGTTTGGCCACTTTGGAGCACAGTTTGGCCACTTTGGAGCACAGTTTGGCAGCAGCTTACAAAGTGAACATAATATGTTCTAGCAGTCACCCTCCTAAGTATTTACCCAGTGGAACTGAAAACTTATGTCTACACAAAAACCATACATGAATATTTATAGCAGCTTTATTCATAATTGCCAAGAACTGGAAGCATCAAGATGTCCTTTAGTATGTATGTGGACAAACTGTGGCACATCTAGACAATGGACTACTATTCAGCACTAAAAAGAAATGTAGTCTGTTAAAAAAAAAAACACTACTAAGGGCTTTGAAATCAGGAAATATAAAAAGTGTATTTTATGAAACAGCCACAACCAATATCCAAGGGCTTTGAAATCAGAAAGCTCTATATTCAAATCTTCCTCCTGCCATTTCCTAGTTGAATTTCTTTATTTCTTTGTTCATAAAATGGGAAGAATAATACCTATCATATAGGGCTGTTTAAGGATTAACAATAATGTAAATAAAAATAAAAACAAAACCCCAGATACTGCTGAATAATTGTTAGTTACATTCCTCCACTCTCTATTATTTTGCTTCCCAAATATATCTTACAAATATTCTTCCTGTCTATATCCACTGTTACCCCTTCAGCCAGGTCTCCTCATTTCTCTCTTGGACTAGTGCATGTCATTCATCTGCATAAAAATCCTTCAGTGGCTCCCCATTGCCTCCATCAGCAAGTCCAGGCTCCTTGTCCTAGCAGCAAGACCATGCTGTGGTCTCACAGGCTTTGTTCTGTCAGTACTACTGTATTTGCAATTCCCAATATGTGCCAGGCTCTTTTTCTGCTTTGGACCCTTGCACATATTGTATCCTCGGCTGAGAATGCCCTTCTCCTTTCTCTCTTTTCTTGACAGTACCTCCTCAAGATACCCACCCTAATTCCCAAGACCACTTTAAATTGTCTGCCTCCTCCATACCTTGTATATAATAGTGGTCGTACTTATACCCAAAGGTAATCTTTTATTTACTTACCTATTTGCTTACTGAAATTCAAGCTTTTTGAGAGTAGGAACCAAAATGGAAAACTTAGGTTCCTTAGTGCAGTGCTTCTGAAACATTTCCTCCAGAGGACCCTTAGTGGTAGAGGAGAGTGAGCATATATTGCAAAGCAACCCACTGCAAGCATAAAAATTCCTTTTTTTTTTTTTTTTTTTTTTTTTTTTTTGAGACAGGGTCTTGCTTTGTCGCCCAGGCTGGAGTTCAGTAGTGCAATCTCAGCTTACTGCAGCCTCAGCTCAAGCAATCCTCCCAACCTCAGCCTCCCCGGCCCAAGCAATCCTTACAACCTCAGCCTCCTGAGGAGCTGGGACTGTAGGCACATGCCACCATGCCCAGCTAATTAAAAAAAATTTTTTTTAAATAGAGATAAGGTCTCCCTATGTTGCCTCTGGTCTCAAACTCCTGGGCTCTAGTGAATCTTCCCACCTTGACTTCCCAAAGTGCTGGGATTACAGATGTGAGCCACCACACCTGGCCCCCCAAAAAAGAATCTTTAAGATCTTTCATTTTGCTTGTAAAAATTCTGCATTCTATACCATAGTATGTATGTGTTTTCTTAATACATTCTTCCTCATATCTTCAAGTACATGTATTGCTCCAGGAAGATACACTGGTTTGTACTGTGGCTTTGAATAACTCTAACCTCTATTACATAGCCCCTGAACTGTGACACCTGCTTTGAGAGCCTGGACTTAGTGGATTTAGGGACAATGTTATCTGGAAATCATGATAGTGACCTCTATCTTATACTGGGGACCTATAGAAGAATTGAACAGAGGATTTGACTGTGATTTTAACTACAAATTTTATGAGATATAGCCCTTCCACTGGGCTCACATAAGTGCTAGGATGCTAGTTTATAACAAGTTCCTGCACATAGATGATGGAATTGTTTTAGTGGCCCTCCCTTTCTGTCCCCTGAAGTCTCTTGACCTCCCTGCCCAATAGGCATACATTTATGGACAGCCAGTTGAATGAGAGAGAAGAATCCAAATAAGAAAAATAAATGAGCAGTTATTTTCCTTCTTAAATTATTGAAACTATGATAATAATTCAGATGAATCTAGAAGGAATAGTAAAAGCAGAAGTCAAACATTAAAACAGTAGGAACAGTGACTAATATTTGTATAACCTTTCAAAGGGCACTGTGACCCACATTGCTGTAGGTATTCACTGATCTTCCCATCAGCCCTATAAAATGTGCATTACTATAGCTATTTTAAGAGTTAAGGAAACCAGTTGTGTCTTACCTGAGGTTGCACACCTAGTAAGTAGAACTGGTGGCTTAAACTCCAATCTTCTTACCTTAAGCTGATTACACTTTACATCATAGAAAGTAGGGGCTTTGGGAAGAACAGGAGAGAGTTTTGGAGTCAGTTTTCTCTTGTCAAAAATGAAAATAATACTTACCTTAGAGTAGGACTGCTCCAAAGGTAGACAGGGCCCTGGCCAAATAACGTTTTGCAAGGCCTCTGCCTGTATAAACCAGTTGATGGGTCCATGTATGATATATTGACTTACTAAGGATTTAGAACAATGGGTAGAGAAGAGATACTTATGTATTTGTTATCCAATCAGTGCATATGAAAATTCCTTTTGCTACCCAGACACCACCAACTCTTTCTGTTCAGGTTCAGGAACCATCTCTGTGTTTTCTATTGTCAAATGTATCATTGCTGGAAAGTTTCATATCTCCTGCCACAAACAACAAGTATCTGTATTATTAGTACTCAATGCCATGGCTTTTTGGAAACTGTTTTGTGGAAACAGTGATCTTCTCCCTTCATTTCTCCAGTACCATTCAGCTCATGCTGGATACATCATTTCATGAGGCTGCGCTATCCTTCCTGAGACCTGGGAGTATCTCAAAGATGGGACTGCTTTGTTGGTCATGAACACACACCAGTGTCAGAGAGTGCAGGGAAAGTGTAAATGGTAATTTGTTTTCTGGTCATATTAAATGTATCATTTGACATTTTATAGTGTAAACAGAACAGTGCATCTTCTAACCATGGCTTCTCCTGGACTCCTTCAGCCCCATATGCCTGGGTCTAAGGGAGGTACTACTTTGTAGAGGATTGTTGTAAAGCTGAATTAGATCATTAGATCCGCTGTCTGGTGCCTGGTTTGTGCTCAGTGAATGTTACTTCTCTTGTGTCTTTCACTACCACCCAGAAAGAGGATGTGTTTTTATTTTTAAGGAAATAAAGTGTGGAAGCAAAATTGAATTGGAGAGTCACAGCAGATCTCTGGTGGAGTGCCTCCGTGAAAATTGTCTGTTGAAGCACTTGGAGAACTTAGTGGGGAGCATCCCTCCAGCTAAGAGGAAATAAATTACAAGGCTCTGGAGACAAATGTAACCTGGAGTTAATGTCAGCTCCACAATCACTGATCAAATAGGAAGGTGGCCTGGTTTGATGAAAAGGTATTGCAGTGCCTAGCAGCAAGAGCAGAAAGGCAGGGCCTCCGGAGCTGAGAAATACCACAAGTTTCAGATGGCTCAGATCAAGCAGTCCCTTTTTTCTTAAAGTGATAGAAGACATTTGACAGTGCTTCAGCATTTGTCGTAGATGGCTGTACACGTATCATGATGGCAAAAGCTGTAGAGAAACCTGAGTCTACATTGGAAGCCACAAAGAGCAAAGAGTCAGTGATGTCTAGGGTAGAATGGATTGGCACAGCCCACATGTGGGTAGATGATGAAACTGGTGACAATGCAAGCAAGACCCAGCAGACCTTGGAGTAACAGGTCAGACAGGTGGCAGTCAGAGGAGACAGAAGTTGTCCTTAAGGAGAAACATTTCCATCTTGGGGCTTGAGAGGATCTATGGCAGTAAAGGCTATTTCAAAAAAAAAATTAAAGTGAAAATATTTAATGACAGAATAGGATTACTCAAGCTAGGCGAAGCTGCTTCTGCCATTTCCCTCCTCATGTCATTATCCCAGAAACAACTCTCTAGTACTTGGAGAAAGGCATCCTCATGAGGAAGGTAGAAGATGGAATTGAAGAATTCCCTCCTCTGTGGATGGAAAGAGCTCTGTGTAGAGAGGCTCATCTGCACGCTCATGCATGTCCCCCTAGCATGGTAACACTGGCTTTGATTAAGCTGCTGGGTTGTTAGGCAGTGTGCTAAGTGCTGCCTACATGGTCTTCTTTTCTCATAAGGAATGCTTTAAACTAAATTAGCACATGAAACGAGGGAGCAGGCATGGTAGGGGCTGATCTGAGTCCAGTCCTCTCTGAGATGGTTCTAGAAACTAGACTGATGGTTACACAATGTCCATCACTGATCTGTAGAGTCCTCAGGAATCACTGTCAATGACTCTTCCCCAGTTTCCCTGGCCATCACCCCACTTCCCCCTTACACTTCCTGTTGATTAACCTTCCAAGGCAAGGTAACCAACTGATTTCAGTCCAGCATTTTATTGGGTACTTGTATATTCTGTGCCATACATGCTTTGCTAAAATGATCATATTCTATGAGAGAAAGATATTTAAATGGACAATTACTCTTCAGTGTAATGGAGTGTAATGCTAGGCCTTAACTATGTCCTAGTCATCATTGTATCCTTAATCCCAGGCCAGTTAGTTAGCATGTACTGAGCACCAGCGAGGGGCCAGACACCGTACTCAGTGCCAGCCCTTCTTTCTCAGCATAACTCTTAACAAAAAAATTTTATAAAGTAAGTACTAGTATAATCCCACTTTTAAAGATGTGCAAATTAAGGGCACAAAACAATTTAAAAGACATGCCCCAAATCACACAGCTATTAAGAGAGCCAGGATAAAAATCCAAGCAGAGTGACTCTATTGTCTCTAAATATTTGTTGCCTGTGGAAATGAGAGGCAGAAAGGGGAAGGCGGTAGGAGAATGGGGGAACAAGTGAGCAAGTGAAGATGAAGGTCTGCCCTAGGTGGCGCAGGTCCACAGGGGGATGGGTTCTACCTGAGAAGGGAAGTATCATGGAAAGTTCGCAAGGGAAGTGGTGCTTAGAAAATAGGCATCCCTGGCCAAGGCGGGCTAAGGGAGCAGAGCTAAGGCCAGCCCTTCCAGTTTTGCGCTAGATCCTTTCCCCCTCCGCCTTCTCACAGGCATTCTCCCCCAACCTGGCCAACATGGTGAAACCTTGTCTCTACTAAAAATGCAAAAATTAGCCGGGCGCGGTGGCAGGCGCCTGTAACCTCAGCTTCTCGGGAGGCTGAGGCAGGAGAATCACTTGGACCTCGGAGGTGGAGGTTGCAGTGAGCCGAGATCATGCCACCACACTCCAGCCTGGGCAACAGAGTGAGACCCCGTCTCAGAAAACAAACACAACAAAAAGAAACATTCTCCCTACAACTGTCCTATCTCTACTGCATTGTGAGTTTTTCTTTTATTCTAACCAGCTTGTAAACTTGGGGAAATATTTCCTAACCTCAAAAAACACTTTACCCTGCTTCCCCGCTCCGGCTATTGCCCCATTTCTTTGTTCCTTTGTAGCAGAACTCCTAAAAATAGTCTGTGTTTCATGACTTCAGTTTGTCTCTTCCTGTTTTCTCTTAAACCCAGTGAAACGAGTTTCACCTCCACATTCCAGTGGAATGGCTGTTGTTGAGGTTGGTGGTGACCTCCCTGTTGCCGAATCCAGCATTTAGTCCTGTGGCCACACCTTACTGGACCTCCACAGTGTGTGACGCAGTTGGTCTCTGCGTCCTTCCTAAGACACTTCGTTGACCACAGCCTCACACTCTCCTGCTCTTTCAGCCTCCTGCAGTGCTACTCCTCATCTCCCAAATGCTGATCCTTCAGACACACGTCAGCCAGGGCACCCTCCCACTAGATATCATGTGGTGACTCTCCCTGTGGTTGGATCTGAACCCGAGCCAGGCGCTTATGGCAGCCACGCGTGTCACACAGCATGTGTGTCCCCTCCAAATGTGCTCCCTCACCACATCCTGATGCGATTCTTGGAATTACATGGTTTCCACTGCACATGGGGAAGTTGAAAATCAGATTTTCCATCACTTGCTTGTCAGTGTCCTCTGTGACAGTTTCTGATTCCAGATCTGATGCTTTTTCCATTTATGACCCATTGCTTGGCCTGATTCCTTAAACTCAGTCCTTCTGAGTGAAGCAGGAGAGTGGAAGCGTCTGGTTCCTTCTTTGGGGCTCCAGCCTGTCCATCTGGATTTCCTCTTGTGAGTGCAGTGGTAACACTCTTCACCCCAGGGGCTTGGTAGTCACGTTTGCAGGACAATGGGTGCTCTTACTGGGTTTAATGCTAAATCTCCCAAAATGAAAGGCCAGCTGCAGAGTAGGAGAAGAACAAGGGCTGAGTGATTTGATCAGACATCTGTGGGGGCCTGCTGGCATTTGGAGTGTGAGTGCCTTAGAGAGACTGACTATTCTGGCCCCAGGGAGTTGGCGACCGTTAATCTTGGTGGTTTTGACCGCTAACTGCCCCAGAGGTCCCAGCCTGCTGGATGACTCAGAATCCCCAACACTCCCCCTATTCTTCTCTCACTGGGATAGTCAGGAGGCCATTTCTAAGGCATTTTAATTTGGTAATAACTTGACATGACCCACTGTACCCAGAGTTGTACGTTTTAGGAGTTACTGTCGCTTTCTAAATGAGGGGTTGATTTGGAGCCCATCATCCTTGATATTGGACTGCCTTCCACTGCCATGGAGAGAGCAGTATCTCCTGCCTTGCCTGCTGGGCTCCAGCTCCCTCTCCATTGTAGATGACGTGATCCTGTGCCCCCTGGACTGTCCCACAGCCCTTATTCTTTAAGTACCTTGCCAAAAGTTGATGGGGTAAACTAGAGAGAAAAGAGGTGGCCAAAGGTCTGTCTGTTGTTCATTTATTTCTGCACTGCACTGTGTTAAGAAGGGCACCTGCTGTCCATCTTTCTGCTGTTTATGAAACTTTCTGGAATTCAGAAAGACCACAGGAACTCACAGCACAAGGCAGGCAAGCAGATGGTGGGGACTGGGGACAGGACATGAAGAGACTCAAAATGCCTTACTGCCGCAGACCAAAGCTGTGTGAGGCCTTCTGGACTGTCTTCTCCACCCCGTGTCTGACTGTGTTGACCACTCCTGTGCTGTCCTGTGCCTTCCTCCGTGACCGTGTTGGTGGCAGTGCCCTGTTAAGAGTTCCTCCACTGGTGTTAGAGACCTTGGGTTCTAATCCAGTGTCTACCACTTGTATGATCTTGGATTAGTCTCTTCATCTTTCTAGGCCTTGTGTGTAAATTAATTCATAGCACCAACTCACAGAGTTGTTGAGAGAGCTAACTGAAAACATCTAGAACGTTTTTGTCACTGTGCCTAGTCAAAAAGCTTCTAGTCAGTTCTGTAATTGCACTGAGGTTTATATTTCATTTCAAAAATACAGTTGTTTACATAAGAAAATATTGTTTTTCTCTTGTTAGACTTTTGGCTTTCTTTTGCCTACCAAATAAAGTCCCAACTCCTTGGCTTGTCACTCAGCCTTCAGATTTGCATTTCAGGCTTTGAATTTCCGTGGTGGGGGATGCTTGAAAATGTAGATTTCTAAAAGAAATTGTGCATTGATCAGATGAGTTTGTGTTCAATGAGCAGTTACTCTGTGTAAGGCTCTGGGCTAGGCCCGAGGGGTCTGTGGTGAATCAGACATGACACACACTAGGCAGTGGCATCATCATTTCTGGTACCACCACCCCACACCCACCCAGTCCAGACCCTGCAGAAGGCAGCCTGGAGGGTAGGCTTGCCACAGGGCCCCAGCACAGTAGAGCAGCTGGGCACCAGAGTTTTGGCAGCAGGCCCAAGGGTGGGGGTGGAGGAGGTGGGGACTCAGAACTGGCAGCCAGCCAGGGCTCACTCAGGTGCCCCAGCATGCAGGGCCTCCAGCCCCGGCAGTCACGGAGCCCATTCACTGACTATATCCTGTTCTTTGGCTGTGATCTTCTCTAGACTGCATAGTGCAGAGATTTTGGTGGCAGGGCAGTGACTCCAGACCCACATTGAACGCATAAGACGTTGAAACCCAAAGATGTGAGGTGGCATGATTATGGTCACACAGCAACAGGCCAGGATTAGAACACAAGTCTTCTGAAAAATATGTAGCAGTCTCAGCCTTGTGGGTTCCTTGAGATTGCCTTGTCTGCCGTGAGACTGTCAGGGTCATTTTGTTCCTTAAGAAAGTTTTAGGGGTCTTCTTTGTGCCCATTTATGCAAGGCACTGGAGAGGGTAGGCAGGGTTAAATCAGCCTCTGACCTTAGGAATTTACAGTGTATCAAGGGAGACATACTACCAAAAATTACAATACAGAATAGCAAGTGCTGGGGGTAAGTATATGATGTGAGGGGAAGGGGGAGTGACTATACAAGCACAGAGGAGGCACTTAGCCCAATCCGAGGGTCAGGGAATCACTCCCAGTGAAGCTGATATTTAAGCTTAATCATGAAGGACCAATAGTTGTTAGCCAGATGAAGAAGGACAAGGAATAACATTCCAGGCAGAGAGAGGAAACCATCCTCAACTAAAAGTCTAATGGTTATGTCAGTAGCCCCAGTGACATAATTTATCGTGTCTATATTCGGTCACTGTTCGGGACAGTTCCCACTACTGGGGAATGGTTCCCACTGGATGGATCATAGCCTGAGTGGAGAGAATAAAAGCAGATGAGGCTGGCCATGTAGGAACATACAAGGAAGGTGGAAAGGCCAGGGGCTCTGAGTATCAAAGCCTGAGTAGCTGTATTCTATGAACTCCAAGCACCACTCCCCCGGGTATTGGAGCCTTGATAGAGCTCCTCGTTTCCTTGGTTTCAGGCTTCCTGCAAAGAATTATGAGTTTGAGCTGGGCACAGTGGCTCAATGCCTGTAATCCCAACACTTTGGGAGGCCAAGGCGAGAGGATCGCTTGAACTCAGGAGTTTAAGACCTGCCTGGGCAACATAATGAAACCCTGTCTCTTAAAAAGAAATCTGTGAGAATCCAGTTAAGTTCCTTTTACAGATACCATCCAGGGGCCTGACTTATTTATCTATCTATTCCTTTAGGGTTGGGGATTTGTTTTGTTTTTACCCTTAAAGCCTTAATGTGGAAAAGTGCCTGAAGTGCTGATTGTAGGGAATGAAACTTGATTCAAGGTTTAAACACCTTATCCCAGCCACTCGGGAGGCTGAGGCAGGAGAATGGCGTGAACCCGGGAGGCGGAGCTTGCAGTGAGCCGAGATTGCGCCACTGCACTCCAGCCTGGGCAACAGAACGAGACTCCGTCTCAAAAAAAAAAAAAAAAGGGTTAAACACCTACAGCTCCTTATGAATTAATAACCCACTCAGTGCTCAGTGCCTGGCAAGCTGTAACTTTCCTTCTCTTCCCATAGGCCTGCTGAATTAGCCACCAAGTACGCAAACTTTTCAGAGGGAGCTTGCAAGCCTGGCTATGCTTCAGCCTTGATGACGGCCATCTTCCCCCGGTAAGTGCTCCTGTTTCCCTCCACTGCCTAGACAGCCTGGTCTGGGGTCCAAGAGCCAGAAACTCTGCCTCTCACAGCCAGTCATGTTCTCCTATGCTCTGGAAACCATGGGTTCCTGGAAAGGACTCTGCCTTTAAGTTGGTTCCTACTCCAGTCCTACTCCATGCCGTTGCTTTGCCTTACTCCCATCCTGCCTCTGGAGCTTGCACCTTGTGGCACAGCCTGTTTCTGCAGAAGGATAACCTACATGGTTGCCGCATGCAAGCCAGGTATCCAGAGGCAGCCAGAGAAGGCTGCCAAGCACAGAAGCTCCTAGACCTAGTATCAGTGGCCAAAGAAACTTTTTTGGAAGCTTGGACCAACTAGCTGGCTTCAGGGAGGCATATCCAAATAAAGCAGGGAACAAAGAGAAATTTCTGAGGCTGTCTTGAGTTTTAGCACTTTCCTTCTCTGTCCATTTTGCATTCTGGAGCTGCTGACTTCTTTGGCACCTGAAAGAATCTGTGCATAACCCAGGGAGTTCCTTTTACCGAATGCTGCTAAGGGGTCTTGCTTACTGATCCACCTTCTCCTTTTTGGTTTTCTTTTCTGAAGCCTTGGTGTGGAAAAGGAGCTGAAGTGCTGAGATTGTCTTTGGAGTGCAGTGAGACTGTCAGGGTCATTTCGTTCCTTCTGATTTGGAGGGGCTGAAGGAAAGGCTGCCTAGGATTGTCTGGGCACTTGGACCACCAGAGGAGTGCTAGGGGTGGGCTCTGCTCACTGGGGGAAGGACTTGCCTCCCATCCCTTAGAAGGCTGAGGTTAGGACACGTAATGTGCTTGCAAAGGAATGCTGAGAAACAGCTCGCCCCAAAGTGACTCCGGTATATTTGGTTTTTATGCTCCCTTTCTTTTCTAACGTGAGCAGTCTCAGCTTAGCTCCTTGTGTAAAGCAAGGGCTATGCTGGCTGAGTATCTGGTGCTCAGATAGAGATCTCTTTGTCCAGGGTCTGCCTTCTGAATTGATTCCAAATATTTTGCTTCCTCCAGCTATTTATTGAGTGCCCCTGTGTCTGGCTTTTTGTGTTCTGTATTCTTAACACAGGTTTTTGCAAGCCTATACGACTCAGTCCTTAGCCCAGACACTTGTGAGTTTTCCTTTACCAGTATATAGGTTTCGTTTGCTTTTTCTAATTGAAAGTAATACAGGCATGTGGAAACAAAACAAAACAAAAAAACCTCAAACAGTACAAAAGGTTATATACTGCCACTCCAGACTCCTTCCCCAGAGACAGCCAATATTACCAAAAGTGGGAACATAACTGTATTTAATATTCTGTACTGTGTATTAGGCCGTTCTTGCATGTCTATGAAAAAACATCTGAGACTGGGCAAATTGTAAAGAAAAGAGGTTTAATTGGCTTATGGTTCATCAGGCTTTACAGGAAGTATGGTGCTGGCACCTGCTTCACTTCTAGGAAGGCCTCAGGAAACTTAAAATCATGCCAGAAAGCAAAGGGGGAGCAGGCACGTCATATGGCAAAAGCAGGAGCAAGTGAGTGAAGGAGAGAGAAAGAGAGGAAGTGCTACGCACTTTTAAACAACCAGATCTCACAAGAATTCACTCATTTTCACAAGAACAGCACCAGGGGGATGGTGCTAAGTCATTCATGAGAGACCACCGCCATGATCCAGTCACCTACCACCAGGCCCCATTGGAGATTACATTTTTTTCCCTTCCTTTTTTTTTTTTTTTTGAGACAGGGTCTTGCGGTGTTGCCCAGGCTGGAGTGCAGTGGTGCGATCTTGGCTCACTGCAGCCTTGACCTCCGGGCTCAAGCAATTAGCCACCTCAGCCTCCCAAGTAGTTGGGACTCCAGGCGCATGCAACCACACGTGGCTAATTTTTGTATTTCTGGTAGAGGTGGGGTTTTGCCATGTTGCCCAGGCTGGTCTCAAATTCCTGGGCTCAAGCGATCCACCCACCTTGGCCTCCCAAAGTGCTGGGATTACAAGTTTGAGCCACTGAGCCTGTCTGGGGATTACCTTTCAACATCAGATTTGGGCAGGGACAAATATTCAAACTGTATCATTTTGTCCCTGGCCTCCACAAATCTTATGTCCTTCTCACATTTCAACATACAGTCATCCCTTCTCAATAGTCCCTGCGAAATCTTAACTCATTCTAGCATTAACTCAAAAGTCCTACTGTGGTCCTGTGATCTCGCCCTGCTTCCACTTGCCTTGTGATATTCTATTACCCTGTTAAGTACCTGATGTCTGTCACCCACACCTATTTGCACACTCCCTCCCCTTTTGAAAATCCCTAATAAAAACTTGCTGGTTTTTGTGGCTTGTGGGGCATCACGGATCCTACCAACGTGTGATGTCTCCCCCGGATGCCCAGCTTTAAAATTTCTCTCTTTTGTACTCCGTCCCTTTATTTCTCAAGCTGGCCGACGCTTAGGAAAAATAGAAAAGAACCTACGTGATTATCAGGGCAGGTCCCCTGATACTAAGTCCCAAATCTAAATTCTTATCTGGAAATGAGTTCCTTTCACCTATGAGACTGTAAAATCAAAACAAGTTGCTTACTTTCGAGATACAATGGGGGTATAGGCATTGGGTAAACATCCCATTCCAAAAAGGGGTAATCAGCCATAAGAAAGGGGCTATACGCCCCATGCAAGTTTGAAACCCAGCAAGGCAGTCATTAAATCTTAAAGCTCCAAAATTATCTCTTTTGACTCTGTGCCCCACATTCAGGGCACACTGGTGCAAGAAGTGGGCCCCCAAGATCTTGGGCAGCTCCGCCCCTGTGGCTTTGCAGGGTGCAGCCCCTGTGGCTGCTCTCATGGGCTGGCGTTGAGTGCCTGAGGCTTTTTCAGGTGCAGGGTGTAAACTGCTGGTGGATCTACCATTCTGGGGACTAGAGGATGGTGGCCCCCTTCTCACAGCTCCACAAGGCAGTGTCCCAGTGGGGACCCTGTGTGAAGGCTCCAATCCCATGTTTCCCCTCCACACTGCCCTAGTAGAGGTTTTCTGTGAGGGCTCCACTCCTGCAGCAGGCTTTTGCTTGGGAAGCCAAGCTTTTCCATACATCCTCTGAAATCTAGGTGGAAGCATCCAAGAATCCTCCATTCTTGCACTCTGTGCACTCTTAATACCACATGGAAGCTGTCAAAGTTTACAGCTTGCATTCTTCAAAGTGGCAGCCTGAGCTGTACCTTGCCCTTTTTGAGACATGGCTAGAGCTGGAGCCGCCAGAATGTGGGGAGCAGTGTCCTGAAGTTGCATAGGGGTGAGGCCCTGGGCCTGACCCATGAAACCATTTTTGTCTCCTGGGCCTCAGGAACTATGATGGAAGGGGCTACCTCAATAATCTCTAAAATGCCTTTGAGGCTTTTTCCCTATTGTCTTAGATATTAGCATTTGGCTCTTTTTTAGTTATGCAAATGTCTCTAGCAAGTGGTTACTCCACAGCCTGCTTGAATTCCTCTTCTGAAAAAGCTTTTTCTTTCTTTGCCATGTGGCTTGGCTGCAAATTTTCCCAATTTTTATGCTCTGCTTCCCTTTTAAATATAAATTCCAACTTTAAGTCATTTACTTGCACCTGTATCTGAGTGTAAGCTGTTAGGAGCAGCCAGTCATATCTTGAATGCTTTGCTGCTTAGAAATTTCTTCTGCCAAATATGCAATCATCACTCTCAACTTCAAACTTCCACAGATTCCTTGGGAAAGGGCACAATGCAACCAAGCTGTTTGCTAAGGCATAACATGTTATGACCTTTGCTCCATTTCCCAATGAGTTCCTCATTTCAATCTGAGACCTTGTTGGCCTAGATTTCATTGGCCATATCCCTATCAACATTTTGGTTACAACCATTTAACCAGTCTCTAAGAAGTTCCAAACTTGCTCTCATCTTCCTGTCTTCTTGTGAGCCCTCCAAACTCTTCCAACCTCTATCCATTACCCGGTTCCGAAGTCACTTCCACATTTTTAGATATCTTTCTAACAATACCCTACTCCTGGTACCAATTTTATGTATTAGGCCATTCTTGCATTGCTACAAAAAAAAAATCTGAGCTCTCCATTTGCCTTCTGCCATGATTGTAAGCTTTCTGATGCCTCCCTAGGAGGTAAGCAGATGCCAGCACCACTCTTCCTGCAGAACTGTGAGCCAATTAAACCTCTTTTCTTTATAATTTACCCAGTCTCAGATATTTTTTTTAGAGGCCGGGCATGGTGGCTCACACCTGTAATCCCAGCACTTTGGGAGGATGAGGCGGGCGGATCACGAGGTCAGGGGATCAAGACCATCCTGGCTGACATGGTGAAACCCCGTCTCTACTAAAAATACAAAAAATTAGCTGGGCGTGGTGGTGTACACCTGTAGTCCCATCTACTTGGGAGGCTGAGGCAGGAGAATCGCTTTAACTTGGGAGGCGAAGGTTGTAATGAGCCGAGATCACGCCACTGCACTCTACACAAAGCAAGACTCCATCTCAAAAAAAAAAAAAAAAAAAAAGTTTACATTCACTTTTTGCACATGGATGTTCAGTTGTTCCAGAACCATTTGTTAAAGACTCTGCTTTCTCCATTGAATTACCTTGGCATGTTTGTTGAAAATCAGTTGAACATGTATGTGTAGGTCTCCTTCTGGACTCCCTAGTCTATTCTGTTGATTTATGACTTTGTGCCAGTACCATTCATACATGGACAGTCTTGTCGTCTGTTACTAAAGACAGTTTTATTTCTTCCTTTTTCATCTATATGTCTCATTCCTTTTTCTTGCCTTACTGCATTGGCTAGACTGTTCAGTGCAGTATTAAATAGGTGAGGTGAGAGTGAACAGCCTTGCCTGTTCCCAGTCTTAGGAGGAAAAGATCTAGTCTTTCACCATTATGGTGTTAGCTGTAGGTTTTTCATAGATACCATTTTTTAGGTAGAGGAAGTTCTCTTCTGTTCCTAGTTTCTTGAGAGTGTTTATCATGAATAGATGTTGAATTTTGTCAAATGCTTTTTCTGCATATTTTGAGAAGATCATATGGCTTTTCTTTTTTAGTCTATTAATATGATGAATTACATTGATTGGTTTTTTCTCATTAATTGATTTTTGAATGTTGAACCAATCTTTCATTTGTAGGATAAACTTCATTTGGTCTTGGTGTATTGTTCTTTTTACACATTGCTCTATTCAATTGGCTAAAATTTTTCAAGGATTTTTGTGTCTTTGGTCATGAAAGATACTGGTCTGTAGTTTTCTTGTGATGTCTTTAGTTTTGGTAATATAGTAATGCTGGCTTCAGAATAAGTGGGAAAATATTTCTTCATCTTTCTACAAATTTTGTGTACAATTGGTAATATTTTTTATGAAATGTTTGATAGAATTCACCAGCAAAATCTAGGCTTGTCTGAAGAAAAGACAGTTTTTTATCTCTATTCTCATGCGCCACTGAACACACTTCTGACACCAGATGTGTGGCAGTTTTTCTCACACATCAAGCAATTCTTCAGCAGACACTAATGGGTGTCCTATAATTCAATTCAATTCTGGCATTATCCACCTGGAGATGGCGTCAGATCCCACAGGTTGACGGCCGAACAAGACTATACCTCACTTCAGATGCTAATCACAAGTAGTAGGTTGTTACCTATACATCTCGCCAACCAGCTATAAGTTGTGAATTCCAAGACCATCCCCTCTTGGGTTTGATCTGTTTGCTAGAGCAGCTCACAGAATTCAGGGAAACTTATGTTTATCCATTTATTATAAAGGATATCATAAAGGATACGGATGAACAGCCAGTTGGAAGAGATGCATAGGGCATGGCATGTGGTAAGTGGTTCACAAGTCTGAAAGCTCTCTGAACCTTGTCCTTTTGGGTTTTTATGGAGGCTTCTATAAACCCTGTGGAGGATTACATAGGCATGATTCATTGCATCATTGACCACTGGTGATCAAATCAACCTTCAGCCCTTTTCCCATCCCCGAGGTCAGAGGGTGAGACTGAAAGTTCCAGCCCTCTAATTGCATAGTTGGTTCCCCTGCCAACCAGCACCCAACATAAGGCTATCCAGAAGTCATCTCATGAGAACAAAAGATATTCCTATCACCCAGGAAATTTGAAGGAATTTAGCAGCTCTCTGTCAGATGTGCTCTTATCAGTCAGGAAATTACAAAGGTCTTAAGAGCTCTGGGTCAGAAACTAGGGTCAGAGACTAGACTAACTATTGGTGGCCGGGCACGGTGGCTTACGCCTGTAATCGCAGCACTTTGGGAGGCCGAGGAGGGTGGATCATGAGGTCAGGAGATCAAGACCATTCTGGCTAACACGGTGAAACCCCGTCTCTACCAAAAATAAAAAAAAATTAGCCGGGCGTGGTGGCGGGCACTACGGTGGCGGGCGCCTGTAGTCCCAGCTACTCTGGAGGCTGAGGCAGGAGAATGGCGTGAACCCGGGAGGCAGAGCTTGCAGTGAGCCAAGATCGTGCCACTGCACTCCAGCCTGGGCGACATAGCAAGACTCCGTCTAAAAAAAAAAAAAAAGACTAGATATTAGAACAAAAGATTCTCTTAGTGCCCCTATCTGTAAGGATTTTTAGGAGCTTTATGTAGGGACCAGGAGCAGAGACCAATATTTGTATTTTTTATTATTTCATAGCCTGCACATCTTTGTAGGAAGGCTTTTGTTGTTGTTTTTGGTTTCTTTTTGAGACATAGTTTCTGTCACTTAGGCTGGAGTACAGTGGTGCAATCTCAGCTCACTGCAACCTCCGCCTCCTGGGTTCAAGCAATTCTTGTGCCTCAGCCTCCCGAGTAGCTGGATTACAGGTGTGCACCACCATGCCCAACAAATTTTTGTATTTTTAGTAGAGATGGTGTTTCGCCATGTTTGCCAGGCTGGTCTCGAACTCCTGGCCTCCAGTGATCTACTGGCCTCAGCTTCCCAAAGTGCTGGAATTACAGATGTGAGCCACTGTGCCTAGCCAGGGAAGTTTTTTTTTATTATTATTATTACAAATTAAATTTCTTTAATTCTAGAGTTATTCAAGTTTTTCTGTTTCTTCTTTAGTAGCATGTCTTTCAAGGAAGTTTTGCCTTTCTTCTAAGTTGTTGAATTTATTAGCATAAAATTGTGTATAATATTCCCTTATTATTATTTTAATGTCTAGGATAGAGACAGAGTCCTCTCTTTCATGCCTGATATTCGTAATTTGCATTTTTTCTCTCTTTTTCTTAAATTCATCTGATTTGAGGTTTATCATTTTTTGTTGATCCTCTCAAATAACTAGCTTTTAGTTCCATTGGTTCTTGTCTATTGATATTTTTTCCACTATATCATTGATTTCTGTGCCTATCTTCATTTTTTATTTTTTCACTTTTCTCTTAGTTGGACTTTAATTTATTATTTGTTTTTTTTTCCTTAGGCTAGAAGGTTAGATCATTGATTTTATTTATTTCTCATATAAACATTGTAATGGTATAAATTTCACTCTATATATTGCATTGACTACATCTTACAAATTTTGATATGTTGTATTTTTATCTTTGTTGAGTTAAAAATATTATCTAACTTTACTCGTGATTTCTACTTCGGCCTATTAGTTCTTTGGAAGTGTTTTTGCTTAATTTCCTAATATTTGTGGGTGTTCCAGATATCTTTGTGTTATAGATTTCTGATTTATTTTTGCTGTGCTCCAAATATACGTTATATGATTTTAATACTTTTAAATTAATTGAAATCTGAGTTATGGGACAAAATATGGTCGATTTTGGTGAATATTCTGTGTGTGCTTGAAAAGAAAATACTTCTGTTTTAGGGTATTCTATAAATGGCAATTAGCTTAGGTTGGTTTATGGTATGTGTCTAGTTTCCTGTATCCTTACTGACTTTCTGTACACTTTTTCTAACAATTACTGACAGAGGGGTAATGAAGTCTTAATTTATCAGTTTTTATTTCATTTGTTTTGAAGCTCTGTCATTTGGTGTGTATACACTTAGGATTGTTGTATCCCATTTCTAATAGATTCCTTCATTATTTTGAAATGTCCCTTTTTCTTATTGATAGTCAAATAATTATTGTTCCAAAATCTTCCTTGTCTGATATTAATAAACCACTCTGGCCTTTATAAAAATAAGCTATATCATGGTGTATGTTTTCCATCCTTTTATTTGGTTGGTGCAAAAGTAATTGGGGTTTTTGCAATTACTTTTGTTTGTGGGAAGGAGCATGTTTATATTTGCCCTTGAGCTGTCCCACGGGTGGTTGGGGAGCAGCCTATCTTTTTAACCTGTTTGTGTCAGGCAGTCCTCCCACCTCAGCCTCTCAAGTAGCTGGGACCACAAACACATGTCACCGTACCCAGCTAATTTTTGTATTTTTTGTAGAGACAAGACTTTGCCATGTTGCCTAGGCTGGTCTCAAATTCCTGTGCTCAAGCAATCTGCCTGCCTCAGCCTCCCAAAGTGCTGGGATTACAGGCATGAGCCACCGTGCTCAGCTTATTTATTTTTGTTTGAAATAGTCAATTATTTAAAATAATTTAAAAATGAGAGTGGAAGGCAACCTACAGAATGGGAGAAAATATTTGCAAATCATATATCTGATAAGAGGTTAATGTTGTCCAGAAAATATAGAGAACTTCTAATACTCAACAACAAGAAAAAAACTGATTTAAAAGCGGGTAGAGAACTTGAATAGACACTTCTCCAAAGAAGATATACAAATGGCCAAAAAGCACATAAAAATGTGCTCAATGTTACTAATCACTAGGGAAATGCAAGTCAAAACCACAGTAAGATACCACCTCACATCCATTAGGATACTATGGCTATTATCCCAAAACCAGAAAATAACAAGTGCTGGCAAGCATGTAGAGAAATTAGAATCCTTGTGCACTCTGTGGGAATGTAAAATGTACAACAACTTTGGAAAACAGGATGCAGTTCCTAAAAACATTGAAAATAGGATTGCCGTATGATCCAGCAATTCCACTTCTGGGTATATACCCAAAATAACTGAAAGCAGGGCTCCAAAGGGTGTTTGTAGCAGGAATTATTCATTATTGCCAAAAAGTAGAAGCAACCTGTGTTCATTGACAGATGAAAGGATAAACAAAATGTGGTATGCATAAGCAGTGGAATGTTACTCAGCCTGAAAATGGAAGGAAATTCTGACACATATTACAACATGAATGAACCTCGAGGACATTATGCTAAATGAAATGAGCCAGTTACACAAAAACAAATATTGTGTGATTCCATTCATATGAGGTGCCTAGAGAAATCAAATTCATAGAGACAGAAAGTAGAATATGGTTTCCATGTGCTGGGAGGAGGGAGGAATGGAGAGTTATTGTTTAATGCATATAGAGTTTCAGTTTTGCAAGATGAAAAACAGCTCTGGATATTGGTTACACAACAGTGTGAAAATAACTAATACTACTGAATTGTACACTTAAAAATGGTTAGGATGGTACATTTTATGTTAGTGTATTTTACTACAATTCAAACATTTTAAAAGTTTTTTTAATGAGAGGGAAAATTCTTTTATATTTACTCACAAAGTTTTCTTTACTGTTGGTCTTTCTTCCTTTGTGTAAATACGTATTTCCATATGGTATCCTCTTTCTTCTGCCTGAAGAACTTCATTTAACATTTCTTGTGGGGCAGGTCCGATGACTGCGAAGTCTTTCAGTGTTGGATTGTCTGAACAAGTCTTTATTTTACCTTCAATTTTGAAAGATTTTTAAAAATGTTTTGGCTAGGTATACACTTCTAGGTTGACAGTACCCTGTTCTCACTTCCACCACCCCTCCCCCACTACCTTAAATATGTAACTCTATTTACTTGCTTCATTCCTGACAAAACGTCTTCTGTCATTCTTACCTATATTCCTTTGTATGTAGTATTTCATTTTCTTCTGGCTGCCTGTTGAGATTTTTCTCTTTACCAGTGGTTTCCAGCAATTTTATTATGGTGTCCCTTGTTGTGGTTTTCTTTTTTTTTTTTTTTTTTTTTTGGCGTAGGGATGGAGTTTTGCTCTTGTTGCCCAGGCTGGAGTGCAATGGCGCGATCTTGGTTCACTGCAACCTCCGCCTCCTGGGTTCAAGCAATTCTCCTACCTCAGCCTCCCGAGTAGCTGGGATTACAAGCATGCGCCACCACACCTGGCTAATTTTGTATTTTTAGTAGAGACGGGGTTTCACCATGTTAGCCAGGCTGGTCTCAAACTCCTGACCTCAGGTGATCCACATGCCTCGGCCTCCCAAAGTGCTAGGATTACAGGTGTGAGCCACCGTGCCTGGCTGTGGTTTTCTTTATATTTATTTGGCTTGGAGTTTATTTAACTCCTCAGATCTGTAGGTTCATAGTTTTCTTGTTTGTTTGTTTTGTTTTATTCTTTGTAATCACATTTGGACCTTGTTTACATATTTTCTCAAATATTTTTTCTGCCTCATCTCCTTTCCCAGGATTCAAATTACATGGATGCTATATTATTTGTCCCACAGGTCACTGATGCTCTGGGTTTTTGTTTTTCAATCTTCTTTCTCTCTCTGCTTCATTTTGGATAGTTTATATTGCTATGTCTTCACATTTATAGCTTTTTCTTTTGTAGCATTTAATCACTTGTTAATCCCACCATGTATATTATTATGTCAAATACTGTGTTTTTAATCTCTGTAGGTTCCATTTAGGTCTTCTTATATCTTCTGTTTCATTTCTTATTATGTTTGTGTTTTCTTCTGCCTTCTTGAACATTTTGAGAGTTATTGGCAAATTGCCCTTCATAGCAGTTTTGGGATTTATGTACCCACATAGTAGTTGATGATGGTGCCATCCTTTGTTTTCTTCTGTTTTACAGTTTTGTTATTTATATTTAAATTATTAATTCATCTATTTTTGGTTTTGTGTGTTAGGAATGAGGTTGAGATCTAGGGTTCTTTTTTTTTTTTCATATGGGTAGCTAGTATTTCTTGGTATTTTGATCACAAAATACTTAAGTAAATTCAAGGTTTTGATTTCTGCAGCATCAATATTTTGACAGAAAAGGACTTGATAAAGCTCTTTTTGATGTGTTAATTTTGAGATGATCTACAAAAACTATTAAATCTTACCTTTTTTAACTTTTTAAGAAATTAGTTTGAGTTCAAATATTTTTGAAATATAAAAATTGTATTTTTAAAGCTATAATTCTTATAGACATTCAGTGGTTAAAAATTTGATTGTGCTTATTAAAAATGGTCGTATATGTTTTGCACTTCAGCTATGTGAAAATAAAGTTTCTTTGGGAAGGTGACATTTGGTTTCCTGATTATGGGAGGGAGTTGGTTATCTCAGGTGGAGCAGGAAAGCCTGGTTGATTCTCACACCAGTATGGGACTGGGATTTCCCAGGATGGAGGGAGGAGACCCTTTCTACACCATACTTTGAACTACTGACAGCAAAACCCTCCCACCATACTGAGTGCACCTTGTGTACACTTGGCTAATGTACACTTCTGATTTACAGCACACAGCAGAAGCTTCAGAGGCGAATTCAGCTCCCCTTTGGCATGCTGCTGGGTAACAAGATAGTAAGAGTGGCAGTGTGTACAAGCTGTGGACAGGAGCATTTCCTCTCTGCTGCAGCAAGGCAAAGGAAAGCCTAGGGAGAGTAAAACACTAGAATCTTTCTAATAGCTCTGCCCTACCCCATGGTCTAAATGATTATGGCCAAGTGGCTACACAGTATTTTTATTTTTCTAGAATAATTATATCCAGCTGTGAGAAAGCCAGGTTCAAATTAAAAACCTGTAATAACCTGTCCCAGAATTAATAACAATGAAACTTAAACAAATTTTGATTTGTGAAGAAAACATGAAAAAAGTCCAAAAGAAAACCCCTCAAAGGAAACAAGTGTCAGTGGGTCCCTTGTGGGGCAGCTTGTACATCTCTCAAGGGGATCCTCCAGCAGGTAGCTTCCTCTGTGGCACCAGGTGCATCCAGGGTGGGCCGGCTCCTTTAGAAGTCAGGCAGGCCAGGCAGAGGGAAGAGAGTGAAGCTCTCAACCTCCTCCTGGAGAGCCTGCACACACCCCTGGTATTTATGCCCTGCTAGTCTCTCCTTGAACTCTTTCAGGGTGGCTCTGATGCCAGCGTTGCTCTGGATCTGCAGGGTTAGCTCTATCCCTCTGTGGATAAAGTGGGCTACCTTTTGGAAGCCTTTTTCCAAAAGTCCAAGAGATGTCAGTGCTGGGTTCCCCAGCCGCAGTCCACTGGGCCGTAGAGTGTTTCTATCATCTGGGCAGGTGTTCTTGTTGCAGGCAATAGAACAGGCTTCTAGGACCTTCTCAGCCCTTCTGCCATCTGTGCCTTTGATTGAATGGAGATCCACGAGGATCAAATGTTTATCAGAACAACCTGTGACTGTTTGGTAGCCCAGCTCCGTCAGTGCCTCAGACAGAGCTCTGCAGTTGGCCACCACATGGTGCTGATAAACTTCAAATTCCAGAGTCATAGCTTGCTTCAGGGCCACAGCAACCCCAGCAATGGTGTGGTTGTGGGGACCTCCCTGAAGGCCAGGGAACACAGCAGAGTTGATGAGAGACTCCAGGTTGTACAGAATCTCTTTGCCAGTCTTGGGATCCATACTTTGCCCTCCTTTCCTGTAGAAGATCGTGCGGACTTGGCAGCCTCTCAGGTTCTTGTGAGTGGTGGTGGCAGTGTTCAAATGGGGAGGGCACCACGCCAGCTGCCACCAGCCTGCTGATATGTGCCATGTCCACCATGAGATACACCCCATTCTCATCTGCAGTTTTTCTGCAGCGGGGCATAGTCCAGGTTTTAGGAGGAGCAGCTGGTTCCTGCACTGATCAGCTTCGGGTGGAAGAGGCGGGTGTTCTCCTCCAGCTGGTCATAGTTGATGTAGCCAGTGTCTGGGTTCACCTTATAGGGCATAGATTCAAAGAAGATGGACGTGGCAGAGATTTTCTTCTTGTCTGTCATGAACCCGTGGGTCAGGTGACCCCCATCTGGCAGGTCCAGGCCCATGATGCACCCATGGGTTTCCACCAGGGCAGTTACACTCAAAGTTTGCAGGGGAGCCTGAGCAAGGCTGGACGTTGACCCCCCAGCACTGTGGGTCCAGCTTATAGGCCTGCAGGGCTCGCTTCTGACAGAGGGTCTCCAGCTCATGAGTAAAGTCAGTCCTGCCTTAGTATCTCTGGCCCGGGTACCCCTCAGAGTATTTGTTATTTAAGCAAGAGCCTAGGGCCTCCAAAACTGCCCAGCTGGCGAAATTCTCCGAGGTAATCAGCTCCAATCCAGCCCTCTGCCGGTACTCTCCTTAATGATGTTGTAAACCTCAACATCGCTGTCTTTGAGGGGCTGCGCCAGCATCTTGTCATGTGAGGACCACAGGTCAGCATCCTTGTGGGCCCTGTTGACTGGCATTGCTATTGCATGGGTCCGAAGCTGCCGGAACACAGCCCCGCACATGTGCCTAGCCTCAGTCCCACGCCGCCACCAGTGCCACCAGAGTCCCAGACCCGCTGACCCAATGCCCTGTACACTGCCACGCACCAGCAACGTGACTGGCCGCACCAACCCCAAATCCCAAACTTGGTGCGGGACTGCTAGTGCTCTGCTAGGTGCACCCCTTGCACCAGGCTTAGGCTTGGCCTAAATCTTACCTTTTTAAAAAAAATCCCCAAATGCTGTGTGAAGCATACATTCTCTTTTCCTATGCTTCACTCTTCCCTGAGCCCACCTAGTCATTGACTCCCATCCCTAGGTGCAGACTAAGGAGCAGGCAGTGTAAAGGAAGGGGTGCTGATGTGCCCACCCGTCCAGACCAGAGTCCTGCTTCTCTGGGAAGCCAGCCTGTTTGCTCTCACACTTTTGTACTCTCTGCTGGGAAGTCCTCCTTTCCTCCCTCGAGTATTGCTCACTTGGATACATCTTCCTCTAATTAGAGAGATGGGGAGGGGATGGCAGTAGGTCCAAAGGAACTCAGATTTACTGAGCACTTGTTTTGCTCTAAATTTTGAGTTAGGTCTTTTGAATCTGTTTGGTCTCATGGAATGCAAAGTCTTCCCTTACCTAGAAATACACTCCATTACTCTTTCCCCTACCCTGTGCACCACCACAGTGCCTCACACATAGCTTTGTTATTGTGTATATAACTATTGGCTGGTATTTCTTCTCCCATAGAGACTGTGAACTTCTCACATAGAGGCATGGTCTATTCATGGCTGCCAACACCTAGCAGAGCCTTTAGCACACAGTAGACACTTGGTATTGGTTTTGTGAGTGGAAATTAATTTCTGCCCTCCAGAGATTGAGAGTGTAAGGATGTGGGAAATGTTGATAAGACACTCTTTTAGTGGAAAGAGTTTCTGAAGAAAACTAATTATTGTGACATATTCCAATATATGATAGATTGAAAGGAGATGAAGATTTGGAGACTGAAAGTTCTCACAGCTTTCTCACTTCACAGGCTATGTGATCTTGGAAAAGTCTGAGCCTTATTTCACTCATTAGTCAAGAGAATGAAATGAGAGGATGTGTCCTGGGGCCATAAATGTTAGATCATTTCAACAACATTTAATGTTAGACACTTAATTAAGTGAATTCTGTTTTCTCAGTGACTTTCATTATAATTAGATAAGTTTTTTTCAGGAAGAAAAATAAAGATCCTAGAGTAAGTCACAGTAAACATTTTGAATGTTTTCTTTAAAAAGAAAAAATATAACTCGTAAAACCTAAATTGACACATAATTGGCATACCCCATTTTCCTGCCAATATTTTGCCTCATACATTTGAATGGCTTTTTGTGCTTTGGTGAAAGACATGATTGAGTGTTGTCTCTTTTAGTTGGTGGCCAGTAGGGCCACTCGGTATTGGGAGAAAGTGAGGCACCTACAGGCTAAACCTGTGGCCAAACAGTTTCAGCAGAAAGCAGAGCCCTAATCCAAGCCACGTCCATGCTGCAGAGTGATACTAGCAGCAGTGACAGTGATAGCTCACACCTACTGATGTTTACTTTGGATCAGGTCCCATGCTGAGATTTTTTCATATTTTTTCTGTTTTAATTCTCCCAACAATCATATAATGAGACTAACCCTTGTTAGTCCAGTTCTAAATATGAGGAAATAAAGGCATAGAGAAGTCAAGCAGTTTGCCCGAGGTCACACAGATAGGAAGTGATAAAACTAGGTTTTGAACCCAAGTCCACATATTTAACAACCGCCTTCTACTTCCTCTCACAGCTGCTGTTTCATGGGCAGGCTGGCTAGTGGCCAAGGTACCGAGGTCTACCAGATGCCTGGTGGTAGCTAATGAGGTGCTGATGTAGAAATGGTTCTCTTACCCAGCTCTACAGAGGAAAACCACACCTCTCTTGAGATGCATTTTGTTTTAGGAAGGCTGGGGTGTGTGGTGTGTATCTGTGACTGTGCGTCTGTGATTCACATACTGCTAAGGAATCATTGCTATGGTCCAAGCTGGCTGAGTTTCCAGAGTGCAAAGATGGCCCTTGAAACTTTGCAGAGCTCTCTGAGGCAGGAAGTCTAGAGAGTTAACACACAGTCCCAGCTGCCTGATTTGGGACGCTTGCATGAGAAGGTACAGGAGACCTATTGCACTGCCCTGGGGACTTTAAAAGCTTGTGGGCTCCTGGCCAGGATAGCTGAGTATCTGGTATCCCCACATTACAAAGCCCCTCTCTCTCTGCCCTTCCAGAAAAAGATCCTGGGATTGTTATCACTACAACACCAGGGAGGGGTAGTAAGATTGAGAGGCGTCCTTGCCAAATTTTGTCCCATACCATAAATTATGGAGAAGAATGGAATACCATCTACTTCTCTACTTCTGCAGAATCGTTGTCCTTCTAGGCTGGGAGCACATTGGGCACCCCCATACCCCTACCAGGAATATGCAAGACTTGCTACAGTTACCTTCTCCGCTTCCTCATGTCCCTCTATGTAGTCTGGCCTCCACTCTCGCTTCTCTCCTCCTCAGAATGCTCTTATCCAGACCACCAAAAAGCACTGACAAATCCGACAGATAGATAGTCTTTCTCTTTTCATGATGTCTCTGAAGCATTTGGCAGTATTGATCTCTTCCTCCATTTTGAAACTCTCTCTTCTCCTTAATTATTTGTTCAAACTCCCTCCCAGTTCTCCTACCTCTCTGTTCCTTCTCAGTCTCTATTGCAAGAGATCTTCTTTTCCTGTGCCCATCCTTAAATGTTGATGTTTGCCTGGTTTCGGTTATAGCTCTCCTCTCTTCTCACTCCACTGCTTTAGCTAACATCATATGTGCTGATGACTCTCAATCTTTTTGCAGCCCACATCTCTACTGATCTCTAGACCCAAATACCCAACTTCCTGCTGGACAGCTCCACTTGGATGACTCAAAAGCATCACAAGCTCAGTGTATCCAACGCACCGAATTTCCAACAAATCTAATCAGCCTATGTTCTTATTTCAGGAAATGGCACCACTATCCATTCTCACCCAAACAAGACATCTGGGAGTAATTCTTTTCCCTTCCCCTCTTAACCAGATATCTAATGAGTCGTCAAGTCCTGGCACTTGTGTACTGTCTTCTTTCCGAGGTCAGTTCCTTCCCCTGAGCCCTGATTCTCCAACCTCTCCCACCTCTGCAGGAACCTGGATCTTCATTCTCTTCACTGGTTCCTTCTTATCACTATTTAATCATATTCAGGTCTCTCTCATCTCTTAAAAAGTTGCCACATTGATCCTATTATTCTGTAAACTCATTCAACAAAGTGCCAGATATTTTTCTAGGTGGTATAGCTTCAGCACTGCATAAGTTACATAAAACCTCTCCCCTCAGAGATCTTACATTCCACTGGCAGACACAGATAACCCACGCACATAAAGTGTCACGCCATTTTTAGAGCACCTACCGTGTGCCAGACACTGTATTTCATTACTTCATTTAGCCTTTACAATGGGAGCGGATCATAATTCCAAAAGACACAATCATGAACACCATAGTCCCAAATGCTGAAATCCTAAAAGATCAGCCAGGCGCAGTGGCTCACGCCTGTGATCCCATCACTTTGGCCGGCCAAGGCGGGTGGATCACCTGACGTCAAGAGTTCGAGACCAGCCTGACCAACATGGCGAAACCCCATTTATACTAAAAATACAGAAATTAGCCAGTCATGGTGGTGGGCACCTGTAATCCCAACTACTCGGGAGGCTGAGGCAGGAGAATCGCTTGAACCTGGGAGGCGGAGGTTATAGTGAGCCGAGATCACACCATTGCATTCCAGCCTGAGCGACAGAGCAAGACTCTGTCTCAAAAAAAAAAATTAAATTAAATTTAAAAAAAAAGGAAATCCTAAAAGATGAGAATCCCAAAAACTCTAAAACCCTGAAAATCACAATTCTGAAGGATTAAAATCTTGAAAACATCATTCTGGAAAAAATAATTTTTAAAATTTTTAAAAATATATTTATTTACATTCTTAAAAGGGGATTTATTTGATAAACATAAAAACATTACAGAACATAGGCCACTTTACACAATGAAACGGGCATTAATAACATACACATTTTATTGCCTAGCATAAACAGGTATACTAACGACAGGCATGAACAGGTTACTAATGACAGTCACATGGATATAACAGGAACAGGCAAACTGTTCATAAAGAAATAGGTACAAAGGGAAACGTATAAACACATTTCACTATAGTTGATAATTGTGTACACCCAGGTTTACAACTGCGGTCATCTGAAATACTGTGACAGACATCTGAAATACCATGACTGATCTCGTCACATTCTTTTATCAAGATCAGTCAAAAGCCACAGTGGGTCACTACTGCATATGCAGTTGTCCAAAGAGCCAAGATCTTAAGAAATTTTATCTTTCACAAATGCATGTATACAAAAAGGACATCTCTTATCAAGGAAGTTTCAGTGTTTTTACATACACACACAATCGTTACACATAAAGTCAATGTGATAATGCACTTTTATGGAGTCAAATTTGCAAAAACCCTTTACGACAACCCCGTGAAGTAAGTGTTGTTATACCCATTTTGTAGATGGGTAAGCTAACGACTTGCTCAAGGTCATAGTAGCACAGAGCCAGGAATCAAACCCACCAACCCCACCCTGTCCTGAATCGAGGCTCTGAACCATGGACCTAGAGGGGAATGCAGATTCCTTTTGTTTGGAGAATGTTTTAAATATTTTCAGTAGGTACCTGCTGTGTTGAAATCCTTGGGTACAGACCTTTCTGGGAAGAGCAGAGTGCTCTATAACTAAAGCTTCTCTGCAGAGTGTCTAAGAGTAGCCTGCATGGGCTAGACAACCTCAATGCCTGTCCATGACCTGGACTCCAGCTTACAGCTGGAAGAATTGCCATTTGTGTCCTCTCCTTTTCTCTGCCCACCAATTTTTTTTCATATATTCCTTAGCGTCAGGTGTTGGGACCTCCTCTGGGAACTAATCCATGTTCTGCTTTTAAATTAATTCCACATCTTGTCTGAGCTTACTGCCTCCTCCATTATTCAAGGAATTTAGCCTGCCAGTTCCCTATAATGGTATACCCCGTCTCTTTCCTCTTTGCTCTATCTTCCAATTCTCATAGGTGGAGCTGCGGTAGACATCCAGAAGTTGTGGGATTTTTTTTTTTTAGATCTCCTTCTCAGATGATTAGGGACCCACACTTGCTTGCAAAGGTGAATCCTGCAGACCTAGCTGGTTATAAATCCATCAGCTGTAGGAGAAGTTCTAGGCCTCAACCTGCTAACTGTTTCTGATGGTGTCAGAGTACATTGTTTCTCCTACCCCAGGACAGGACCTGAGGAGCTACATCTTATCCCTTTCTAACTTCTACTGGAAGGTGAATGACAGGCAAAGCCTTGGTAGAATGTCCCAGACAGGCAAAAGGCAGTTTGGAACCTGTTGTGTGCTATAGAATCAAAAGTGATATGAACTGGTCTGCCACAAGATTTTTGAGATACTGGAAATAAGGTTTTTGAAAACATTTATGGCAATTAGAGTAAGTTTATGTTGCTGAATCTAATAAATAAAAAATAGGCCTGGCACAGTGGCATGCACCTGTGGTCTCAGCTATTTGTTACCAAAAAAAACCCAAAAAAACCAAACTTTTAAAAATGGAGCTTATATTTTATATGTGTATTTCCCTCCTTCCTTCCTTCCTTCCTTCCTTCCTTCCCTCTTCCTTCCTTCCTTCCTTCCCTCCTCCTTCCCTCCCTCCCTCCCTTCCTTCCTTTCCTTCCTTCTTTCTTTCCTTCCTCCCTCCCTTCCTTCCTTCCTTCCTTCCTTCCTTCCTTCCTTCCTTCCTTCCTTCCTCGGAGTCTTGCTCTGTCGCCCAGGCTGGAGTGCAATGGTGTGATTTTGGCTCACTGCAACCTCCACCTCCCAGGTTTAAGAGATTCTCCTGTCTCAGCCTCCCAAGTAGCTAGGATTACAGGTGCCCGCCACTATGTCCAGCTAATTTTTGTATCTTTAGTAGAAGCGGGGTTTCACCATGATGGCCAGGCTGGTCTCGAACTCCTGACCTCAGGTGATCCACCTGCCTCAGCCTCCCAAAGTGCTGGGATTACAGGCGTGAGCCACCACGCCTGGCCTTATTTAACTTTTCTAGTGATTCATTTTTATTCTATTTTATAAAATCATCATTCTGTGACAAAATAGAAATTTAAAAAGCAAAACCAACCGATCCCTCTTCACAGATGGTTTGAGAAGTGTCGGACTACAGTGGAAAGAACAGGTTTTTGAAGTGAATAGGGCTGGGTTGCTCAACCTTTCTGAGCCTCACCTTCCTCATCTGTACCTATCTTCCCCAGAGCTAAGAGAAATGGTGCATGGAGACAAAAACATATCCAGGCATATGTGCTCCGCCAGAGGTGAAGACAGAGGATTGTGGGGACACAGAGAAGGCCCTTCAGCTGGAGGAGTGATGAGAGATTGACTGGGGAGACGTCCTGGTGAAGTCTGATGCCTGAACTATGCTGGGAAAGGTGGGGCTTCGGCAGCAAGACCAGACACACTGGTGGGGGCAGCTTCCTCCTTTGCAGACCAGTTCCAGGCTCCAGCCTAGGAGCAGGAACTGTAGGGATGCTTAGAAGCACAGTCCCTGGTGAGAGCAGGCAGGCTGGCTGCATTCCTGTGGTATTTGAGGATTGATCTTGTCAGATTAGCAGCTTTGCTTTTTTTGGTTCAGGTACAAGATCCCCACGTGGGGAGTTCTTGCTGCTTGTGAAGAGCAAAAGCTGGTGAAAGCACAGAACATGATCCTGGCCCTCCTCCTGAGCTGTGTGAGGCTCCCAGCCAGGAGCAAGCAGCCCTGTGAGTTCCTCAGTGAGAGGGAGGGCCCAGGTCTGAGCTCCACCCACACAAGTCCCAGCGATGAGGCAGCAGCTCAGCAGAGAGCAAGATGCTGGCACCTTCAGGACTGTGTCCTGCTTTCCCTACTCTGTCTGCACCTGGGGAGACAGGTCACTCTCTGACTGGTCTCCCCAAATAAATAGCCAGAGCTAGAGGGGAGAAGGAGGGCTGAAGCCTTGCCTCCCCACTGTGGAGGCAGGACATGAGTCTATGCCTGCCTGCCATGATGAGGGCCCTTGGCTCTGCCTTCTGCCCTGATGCAGGCAAAGAGTCCAGATCCAGGCAAATGAAGTGTCAGAGGGAAGCCACGGCCCTACTCAGGGAGCCTGAGTTCAGTGAATCTCTCAGGAGAGAGGTCTGGGCTGGAAGAAAACAAATTGCACGTAGGTCCATACACAGCCCCCAGAGTGTGGATGAGATTGTCCAGGGTGATGTGGCGAGTATTGGGCCACGTGGCCTCTGTTCTCAGGAGTTCCTGGTCAGGGAAACACACACCTGACAGTTGGCAGCATCACGAAAAAAGGCCTGTTGACAGCTGGCCCTGTGACATCTTTGTGGCCCTTGTGTTGGGATAGACCCATCCTCTCTCCCTCGGTTTCAAGGGCTTAGTATGCGGAAGTTTCCTACACTGGACAACTTCCGAACATAGTTTGAAAACAGAAGATTGGGGCTGGGCACGGTGGCGACCAGCCTGACCGACATGGAGAAACCCCATCTCTACCAAAAATACAAAATTAGCCTGGTGTGGTGGTGCATGCCTGTAATCCCAGCTACTCAGGAGGCTGAGGCAGGAGAATCGCTTGAACCTGGGAGGCGAAGGTTGCAGTGAGCCGAGATCACGCCATTGCACTCCAGCCTGGGCGACAGAGTGAGACTCCATCTCAAAAAAAAAAGAAAAAAAACCAGATGATTGGAAAAACAAAATGACACCTTTGGCTTTGCTGCTCAGCCCCTTCAGATAGTGTGTCTGGGCCACAGGCCAATTGCCAGTTGCGGAACTTGCTCTAAGAAGCAAATGCCCAAATGGAGCAAGTCCTCCAAATGGGGCAAGGCATGTGCTTGAGGCCTGAGCTCAGAAACCAGCTCTGATGAGGGCTGGCTCTGTACCTGCTGTCTCCACTGGCCTTGCTCCCATGTGTCCAAGGTGACTATGATCAGTGAGGTTCTGGCCAGGTTAAGGGCTGTCTCCACCACATTCCCCGTCTCCATCACCCATCCTCATGTGTACCTCAAGACCAGCAAGAGGGATTAAGGGCAGGACTCTGCCAGCTATATGTTCACCCTTAGGCCGCTTCTGACCATCTCAAACCCCCTGCCTCTGCTCCTGTGCCCTTCTCTTCCTGCCCTGTGGCTGTTGCACACACAGGGGTCCCTGATACCCAAGTCCCTTCCCCTGAAGGGCTTCTTTCTGCCCCTCCCTACCCCTGAGGGCGTATGCAAGGAGAATGACCACTGGTTGGATCAGGCCCCATGAGCCCATGTGGGCCTCCTGATGGAAAGAATCCTTCCTCCAAAGCAATGACCTTTTTAAACATGGTCAGCAGCTGCCTCTGGTTTAGCCAGTTCTGCCTGTAGCCTAGTCATTTTGGGGGCAAAATGAAGAAGAGTGCAAGAGGCAGTAGGGTAGAGCACAGCAAACCGTGACCCACACTCAAGGCTGTGGGGAAAGATAGCTCATCCAGGAGGCCTGGGCTCCTGACGCAGCCCTGTCTCCAGTGGGCCTGCTCCAGGAAAGTTGCTAACTCTCATAGAGATGCATTCCTTTGCTACCGCTCAGATTATTGAGAGGAAACACAGGGTTCAGAGACCCCAGCGTGGCCAAGGAAAGCTGTTGGCAAAGGCACAGCTGCATGTAGAGTGAGGTTCAGGAGCAAAGGGTGAGCCTTGCTCTATCCATCTCTGTTCCAGTCCTCATCAGGTACTCCACAGAGGAGCATTTGCTAAAGGAAGAAAGGTAGGACTGGCCATTTCTGCCATGCATCTGGATCCCAAGGGCCATCCTCCATGAGCAGCAGGTCTCTTCCTGTCTAGCCATGAGCCCCTTTCCCTAACCCCTGGAGTGCTAGATGCAGAAAGGGAGGGCAGTGGAGGGATGTAGGCTATGTGGGTTACAGTCACCATGTTCTCCCTAGCCAGAGGTTGATCATTTTTTCCAGCCTGTAACTGGGCCTAATTTCAGACCTTTTCTGAGGGTAGGTTCAGGAAGTAGAAAGCTTTTGAGCTGAGGCAAAAGTGGTCTTACTGTACTTAGACTGTCATCTGTTGGCACTGCGGTGAGGCTGGTCGGAGGACGAGGGGTACATCTTTACCACCTGGCCTCACCGCTGTTTCACCGATCCCTGTGGCTTGACCTTGTGTGCCTGTGCCAGGTTCACAGCATCTCCTTCATGCTTTCTCAGCAAAGATGGAATACAGCTGGGAGCTCCTCTGCCTCCGTCTGGGCAAGTGAAGAGAGCTTAGGTTTTGAAATCAGGCAAACCTGGGTTAGAATCCCAACTTTGCTACTTTGCTAGCTGTATAACCTTGGACAAGCCCTTAGTCATGTTAAACATCAGCCTCCTTATCTGCAAAATGCGAATAACAGCCCCCATCTCATGGGCATTTATGGGGATAACACTAAATAATGTCCATGACATGTGTGTCCTGGTGCCTGGCATGCAGTGAGTGCCTCGTCTGGGGTGGTAAGTGTGGTTCTGTCTTTATGCTCTGACTGCCTCAACTCTCATGGAGACCTTCCAGTAATATGTCTTGGTGTGGAGCTGTCAGGACTTGTATAGACTGCATACAAACCCAGGTGACTGGCATTTGTTGATACAGAAATACTTCCACATATTGGGAAATGTGGCTTTTGGCAACTCCAGCTACACAGGATGCAACCGATGACTCATAACTTATGCTGATGCTTCAATTAATAAATTAAATTAATAATTTAAGCTGATGCTTCCTGGTGCCGTAACCCCTACATGCCAATGCCTTACTAACCCATAGTCTTTTATGCCTTTGTGCTGTGCCTGCTAGTCCCCCAACCTGGAGTGCTTCTCCATATTCTTTGCCTTAAGAACTACTGCTTTGGCCGGGCACAGTGGCTCACGCCTGTAATCCCGGCACTTTGGGAGGCCAGGGCAGGCGGATCACCTGAAGTCAGGAGTTCGAGACCAGCCTGGTCAACATGGAGAAACCCCGTCTCTACTAAAAATACAAAATTAGCCGGGCGTGTTGGCACATGCATGTAATCCCAGCTACTTGGGAGGCTGAGGCAGGAGAATCGCTTGAACTCGGGAGGCGGAGGTTGCGGTGAGCCAAGATCACGCCATTGTACTCCTGCCTGGGCAACAAGAGCGAAAATCTGTCTTAAAAAAAAAAAAAAAAAAGAGAGACAACTACTGCTTTTACTTCAGTGAGTAACTTGAACGTTGTCTGGCATCAAGCACAGCAGTCTCTGCTGAGAGAACTGCTTGTGGCAGGCCTCTCCCCTCCAAAGGGGCCTGGACAAGGCAGGCACTCAGCTTGGCCAGCTGTCCACATGCATGTGCTGTCTGGAGTGTCTGTCCTCACATTCTCCACCTTTAAAACTCCAGCTCAGATGTCACCTCCTCTGTGAAGCTTTTCCTGCCCTGGAGCTCCCCCAGCTCTGTGTGCACCTCTATCTGTAACAGTTCTGTGTATACCACATTATAATTCCCTCCTGAGACCTTGTCTAATTTTTACCTCTATCTTACCCTCCATCACCACTTGGTGACTGACTAAACTGGGGACAGCTCCCATTTCTCTTGCCTTTATCCTATCACCACACTCCTTGCAGCTGGCTTGGGCTTGGGGAGGGAAATGGAAGCGGCGGGTCCTACTGACCTAGTTGGGTGTTCTGCCATGTCCAGGCCCACTGTGCAGCTGGGCCCAGCACTCTGGGCTTCCTTCCCAGGACCAACACCAGCAGCATCAACAGTGGGCAGAGCCAGGCGCAGTGGCTCACACTTGTAATCCCAACACTTTGGGAGGCTGAGGCGGGAGGATCACTTGAGCCCAGGAGTTTGAAACCAGCCTGGGAAACATAGCGAGACTCTGTCTCTACCAAAAAAAAAAAAAAAAAAAAATTTAATTAGCATAATGGTGTGCACTTGTAGCCCTAGCTATTCAGGAGGCTGAGGCAGGAGGATCGCTTGAGCCAGGGAGGTTGAGGCTACAATGAGCTGTGATCATGCTACTGCACTCCAGCCTGGGTGACCGTGTGAGACCCAGTTTCAAAAAAACAGTGGACAGAGTCTAAAGTGGCTCTAAGGACATATTAAATTCTGGATTATTCTTCCTTCAAAACATTGAGTTTGACGGTCTCCCTCAGTTGACTCAAATAACTGGATATTGCATATCTGTCTGTTCACTCATGTAATACATTTTTATCAAGTGCTGGGCACTGTGTGGGCACTGGGGAAATGGTTTTAAAAAACGCAGGCATGGTCCCAGCTCACTGTCTGGGGGAAGTAAATTGAAGTTGTAGCTCAGGGTTTCAGAGACATTCAAGTCAAGTTGAGAGTGAGAGATTTGGTTGGGTACTCCCTCACAGCTGCATTTCAGTGCCTGGCTCTGACCTGGCCACAGCACACACCATTGCTAAGTGTGGGGCTGTGGGGAGGCTGAAGCCCTGCACCCACTCCAGGCTGAAGGCAGTCACACAGTAGCTGTGCGGGCTGTGGCAAGAATGAGACTATGACAGCCCCGGAGCCTCAGAAAAACTGGCTTGTGAATGACTTTGCATGGACCAGGGTTATAGACAAACAGAAATGACATCTGAAAAGACTCTTCTGAGCAAGTCCCCTGGCACATTCACACAAGTCAAGTTCAAACAAAAGGCTGTTGATGACATTTCTTCGCACAAGTCACGAAAAGCTTCAGACCAAGGGTGAGCAGTTTCTGCTTCTGCAATTCGGAGATCATAAAGAATAAAGAATGGGTTGGGGAAAGCATAGCTCCATCACTAAGCCAGCTTCCGCCCCCTAAAATGGGGCCTGTCTGCTCAGTATGATGTTCTTAATCCTGGGAGACCCCACAGAGGCCCCAGTCTGGCAGAGAGTGTCCTCAGCGTGTGGGAGAAGCCTCCTCCTCCTCTTCCATCTCTGTGGAGCAGCGACCAGGCCTCCAGAGAAGAGCATGCTTGCATCAGTACCTCATAGATCCCAATCTGGACCTGCCCATGGTGACTGCTGCCCCACTTCCAAGCTCCAGAGACCCCAAGTATTCTGCCCCTCCCTGAACCCCTAAGCATTCACTGTCTACCAAGCCTTGTGCAGAGGTCTAGGGGAGAGTGACAGATAAGAAACTTGAGTGGGGGCCGGGCGTGGTGGCTCATGCCTGTAATCCCAGCACTTTGGGAGCTTGAGGCAGGCAGATCACCTGAGGTCAGGAGTTCAAGACCAGCCTGGCCAACATGGCAAAACCCCGTCTCTACTAAAAATACAGAAATCAGCCGGGCATGGTGGCGCATGCCTGTAATCCCAGCTACTTGAGAGGCTGAGGCAGAGAATCATTTTGACCTGGGAGACGGAGGTTGCAGTGAGCTGAGCTGGCGCCATTGCACTCCAGCCTGGGCAACAAGAGCAAAACTCTGTCTCAGGGAAAAAAAACAAAGAAAGAAACTGAGTGGGCAGTGTGGTTACTGTAGCAACAGAGCAAGCACAAGGAGCTGTGTGTGCTCTGATAAGGGCCCCTAACCAAACTGCAGGCAGGAGAGGCTTCCTAGAGATGGGGACACCTGTGCTGCCTATTGGAGGACAGTTAGAAACTGGCCAGGTAGAGAATCTAGGGAAGGGCAGGAATCACATGGAGGGAAGGAGACACACTTGGAAGTAATTTGGCTGTTGGAGTACAAGTCCTTGGTAAGAGGCCTTGAATGTCATGCTGAGAAGTTTGAACTTTATTATGAGGTCAGCCAAGGTTTCAAAGCAGGGAGGGAAGGACAGCATCAGATTTGTGCTTTAGAAAGGTCATTGCCTGAAATGGGGAGAAAGGGTTACAGGAGGTGGGACTGAGGAAGGTAATGCTTGGGAAGAGGTGATAAGGACAAGTTCATGTCATATTAGGGGAGGAGAAATGACAACATTAGGTGGCTGGTAGAGGGATGAGTAAAAATGGATTCCTAGTTTCTGTTTCAGGCAGCTGGCAAGGTAGTGGCACCATTTCCTAACATAGGAAACACAGGGAGAAGAGCACGCTTATGGGGCAGCTGTTGAGTTCATCTGGGGAGAACGCTTAGCTTCAAATTCCTGCAGAACATCCCTGTGAAGCACCCAGGTCCTTTAAGGGATTTTTTTTTCCGATTTCTTCCTAGTGTAAACAGAGTATCTATGTACAACATTTTTTTTTTTTTTGAGACAGAGTCTTGCTCTGTCGCCCAGGCTGGAGTGCAGTGGCGCGATCTCGGCTCACTGCAAGCTCCGCCTCCCGGGTTCACGCCATTTTCCTGCCTCAGCCTCCTGAGTAGCTGGGACTACAGGCACCCACCACCACGCCCGGCTATTTTTTTTTGTATTTTTAATAGAGACGGGGTTTCACCATGTTAGCCAGGATGGTTTCGATCTCCTGACCTCATGATCCTCCCGCCTCGGCCTCCCAAAGTGCTGGGATTACAGGCGTGAGCCACCATGCCCGGTCATAACATTCTTATTTATAAGTCTTTATGCACCTTCCTCTCTGTCTCTGACATAGTGAAAGAAATTTTTTCATTACATCACATGAATTTGTAGTATCTATACCTTTTAGTCACCAAACTTCTCAACTTGAAACCTGTTTACTTAAACTTCCTTCCCTCCCCTTCCTCTATTATTAATTTTATAAGCATTTCCATATATTTGGCACCATGCTGGGTACTAAGGATGAAAAGTAATACATAATCCTTACCCCAGAACTTGTCTAGAGTGAGTCAGACATGAAAACAAAATTAGAGAATGCTGACATGATGGTAAATGAAAGTCTAGGGTGCCACAAATACACAGAAAGGAGACACCTAATCAAAGTGAGGTGTCAGGAGGGGCTTTTTTCCTAAGGTAGATCACTGGGCTTTACTCCTCTTCTGCCATTATTGTTTACAGGACCTCTTGACCTTCATTCTGATCATCTACTTCTAGCATTAAAGGGCCAAAGAAGACCTTTTCATTGGTTCGCTGGTGATTGCTGACTCACCATCATGAGGTTGAAAAGTAGTCTTTCTTTTTTGTTTTAGTTTTGTTTTTGGCACGGATTGGTGCCGTAAGTGTCAGTGGGTGGGATACATTATGTCAGTAGCTCCTTAAGATACGTGGTCTGTGGACCTGAAGTATTCATGGCCCCTCAAGGCCACAGGCAACCAGAGCCAAGCAGCCGGGCCTTTTCCAGGGCTCCTGACCTCCTCTGGAATTATCACTGTCTGCCCCACACTCCCATATATTTTCAGCACTGCCTGTTCTCAAAGACACCCAGGTAAGGACATGTCATGGCCCCTTTCAGCAGCCTGGGAAAATGCCTTGGAAGTTTCTTTTTCTTCCCTACTGTAAGCCTGCAGGACAGGGAGGATCTGTAACAGAGAATACCTGGGAGAAGCCATCTTTTGGGGGAAAGTGGTCAGAGAAGGATTTTTGAAGGAGGTGATTTTTTTTTCAAGGTGTGGTAGCTCACACCTGTAATCCCTGCACTATAAGGCTGAGGCAGGCCGATCACTTGAGCCCTGTAGTTTGAGGCCAGCCTGGGCAACATGCTGAAACCCCATCTCTGCTAAAAATAGAAACAAAAAAATTTAGCCACATGTGGTGGTGTGCACCCATAGTCCCAGCTACTCGAGAGGCTGAGGTGGGAGGATCCCCTAAGCCCAAGAAGTTGAGGCTGCAGTGAGCCATGATTGTGCCACTGCACTCCAGCCTGGATGACAGAGTGAGACCCTGTCTCAAGGTAAAAAAAAAAAAAAGATTAAGGAATTAGGCAGTTGAAAAATGACAGGGTAGGTCTTCTAGACAGAGGGAATACATAAACTGAGAACATGATGCACATAAGGACATTCAGATTACTGCACGTGGTTTGGTATGTTTGGCACATAGTGTTACATCCTAGATGCTGGAAGACAGGCTAGAAGTAATCTAGAGCAAGATCATGGGAGACCTCACAAGTCACTCCAAAAGGACTCTAGATTATATCCTTAAAGATATGGGAAATTAGGCCAGGTGCAGTGGCTCATGCCTGTAATCCCAGCACTTTGGGAGGCCGTGGTGGGTGGATCATGAGGTCAGGAGTTCAAGACCAGCCTGGCCAAGATGGTGAAACCCCGTCTCTACTAAAAATACAAAAATTAGCCAGGCATAGTGGCGCGTGTCTGTAATCGCAGCTACTTGGGACGCTTATGCAGGAGAGTCGCTTCAACCCGGGAGGCAGAGGTTGCAATGAGCCCAGATCACGCCACTGCACTCCAGCCTGGGTGACAGAGCGAGACTCCGTCTCAAAATAAATAAAGCCATCAGATCTCGTGAGACTCATTCACTATGATGAGAATAGCGCAGGAAAGACCCACCCCTATAATTCAATCACCTCCCATCAGGTTCCTCCCACGACACGTAGGAATTGTGGGAGTTACAATTCAAGATGAAACTTGGGTGGGGACACAGCCAAACCATATCAGTAGGAAAATTGGAGGTGCCATTGGTTGAGGTAGAGAACCCAAGAAGAAGATCATTTCTTTCTTATATTTGATTTCTGACTTTTGGGAGGAGGAAAGGGCAGAGATCATGAATTTGATTGTGTGCATAATGAGTTTGAGATGCCTCTGGGACACTTAAGGAAAGATGTAGATAGTCATTTGTATATGTGGGTCTGGGGTTCCCAGGGAGAGGTCAGAGTTAAAGTGGGAGTTATCAGCACATAGATGAAGTTTTGGCAGTGGTGAAGTTGTGTGGGGAAGGTGTGTTAACTGGGTCCCAAATTGGCAGCTTGTAAACAAATCTACCTGTAGACATGCTTTATGGCACAGTGTTTTAAAATAATGTGAATACTTTTAGACAGTGTGTAATTCTAGCTTGCTCTAACCCTGCCCCTTCTTGTTGTCTTATGTCTGGCCCAGTTGACATATTTACCGTACCTTCTTGGCTCTTGTAGGCATTTGAGTTGGTAATTTTTTAAGGAAGAAGAAAACAGAATGACCTAACTCTGAGGAATACCAATATATAAGGGTTGAATAGGATGAAGGAGAATAGGAAAAAATGGCTGGAAAGATTAGAGGAAATCAGAAGAGAATAGAATTTCTCTCCAAAATTATGGGAGGCTATATAGGCAACATACATGTATAATAAAGTATAAAATGTGGATTCCACTTCATCCAACAATTCCACTTCTTAATATTGTACATACAAAAGTAATCATATCTGTGTATGCATTATTTTAATATGCTGTTGCAACATGTTTATGATAATAGCAAAAAACTGGAAACACCCTAAGTGCCTCTGAGCCAAGCATGATTCATGTAGTATTTCCCTATGATGAAATAGTATGTGGTCGTGAAAAATGTCAGACTGTATTTACTGGCATGCTCCCACAGTTTATTGTAAATTTGTTAAAAAGCAGGTTATGGGACACTATATATAAGGTAATTCCATTTATGTTAAATGTCTGTTTATGGAAGGAAAAGTCTGGAAGCCTTCACACACAAATCACAAGAACTTCCCAATAGCTAAATCTAGTAGACCTTTCTCTGGCCTCTGTTTCTTTGACCTGTCTGTGGCTTTTGACACAGTTTAACCTTTCTTGGCTTTCTGCTGCTTGTCTTTTTTCCCTAGCTTTAGTCCCATAGGCTGGCACTCAGGACTGAAAAATGGCAAAGTCATTCCTGGGAGAACCCTTCAAAACTAGCAGTTTGTTTAAACCCTGGGCATACGCAAAGCAGGGCACCTACTGGGCAGTTCTTCCTGGAAAGGAGCAGTTAGGAACAGTATCTTCCTGACCCTTACCCCCTTGAGTCTACATATCTCTTCTGGGATAAAACCCTTCCCAGGGCTCTGGGTACAAGTTTCCTCTCCTTGCCTACCTCCCCCACCCTCTAGCAAAGTTGCCTGGCTAGCCCCTTTCTCCCACGCCTTCTGTTCAATCAAGGGGTTATTTTTAACTGTGTTGTGTATACCATGCTTAAATCCTGGCAAAACACCAGAGCTTTGGAAGAGACACCCGAGATGGAAATAGTCTCCCACAACCCCTGGCCCCTTTCCAGAGCTTTTCCTTTTAAAGAGAGAAAACAACTAATCCAAACTGTAGACAGCCCAATGAAGAAAGTCCCTAGATGCTAGCACTGAGCAGCTGAACCCACAGCCTTGGCCATGACATTAGACTGGAGGCTGGATCTGCTGCCTCTTTGGGCCTATCTTCAGCCCAGGGTAAGTCCAAGGAGAAGATGGTTCTTGCCACTTTCCTGGGCTTGGTGGTTCTAGAACCCTGTATCGTGGAATCATGGAGATTACCTAGTCCATTCCCCACTTCCAATAGCTGGAAGTCCTTGACCTGCAGAAACAGCCCATTCATTTCAAGATACTCATCAGTAATTGGAGAGGTTTAACTATGAAAAGCCAAAATCTGCCTTTCTGCAGCTTCCCCCTGTGGTCTTAGTTCTGCCTGCCAGAGCCACGTAGGACGAGTCTAATCCCTTTTCTCCATCAGTTGTTCAGAGATTTGAAGCTGGTGATGTCTCTTGCCAGACATCTCTGCCCGTATAGGGTATCATAAAGGGCCCCTCCCTGTCACAGTGGTTTTCTTCTCTTGTCAGTTCCATCTTACGACTTTTCCCCTTTTGCCTTTAGGGGACACCCAAAATAGAGCTCATGCTTGCTCCAGGTGGCTTAACAGGGAGCATAGAAGGAGAAGCATCTCCCCATTTTTGATGCTCCTCATAATGCCTCACACCCAAAAGATGGTATTTTCTTCAATGGTCATGTCCCACTGACCATAAGCCTATTCTTGACCAAATGCTCTTGCCAAGCTCACTCCCTTCCCACTCAGCACGTATGATGGAATGTGTGGGTCCAAACCAAGCGTGGCAAGGTAGCTGTCATTCTGGAGTATTTTGGATCCTCTTTGTTCTCCAATATAAACTGTTCGTTTCCTTTCTCTTTATCTTCCATAGATTTGAGGATTAAGCCATTCTGTTCTTGTCTAAGCAGTGCACATAAAAACAGCGACTGAGATAAGCCTAACGCAGAAACTTGCCCCCAACGCTACAGGCAGTTAGCAGGGCTGTTCACCAGCTTCTGTCTCTCAGACCACCCTCCCTGTAGCCAAATCCACCTGGAAGGGCAGTTGCCTTATGCTTCCCTAGAACTTGTTATGGTCCGCATGTGGTATCTGAGAGCTCCAGGCAAGGACTCATGCCCTAAAGAAGAGCCACAAAGTCTAGAAGGAGCATTTACCCCAGAGTCAGAAATCAGAGGCTCAAACATGGCTCACCACCTTCTCTCTTTGGACAAGTCACTCAAACTCTAAACCTCAGTGTCTTCATCTGTAAATTAGGGGGAATGCCTGCCTACTTACTTCAAATGAATTTTGTGAGGCTAAAATGATATTGTATAATGAAAAACAGTTAAGAGCGAGGTGGTGATAATTATTTCATAAACATTTATTGAAACCCTGCCAATATGTAAGCCCTGTAAGTGACATAAGTAGGAATCCCATGAGCCCTGTTGAATTTTGATCCAGCAGGAGGTCTGCTTAGGCCGCCAGGCCGTCACAATCACAGGCCATGCTGGGAGCAGGGAAGCCCAGGTCTGGGGAGGGGAACCTGGGACAGCGCAGAGCACAGGCTTCCCAGAAGGGGCTGGAGTCAGGCTGAGAACAGACCACCTTCACTGGACTGGTCTGGTGTCAGGACACATGTTGTACATAAAAGGCCTGAAACCCAAGGGAGGCAAGGCAGGAGTGAGACCTCAGGGGTTGGAACTGGAGATGGAGAAGCTCTTGGAGAGCTGTGTCTCTGGAGGGTGGGGGTGGGAGCTGGTTGACATGAGGCTGAATCTCAGGCCAGGACCTGTGGTTTGTGCATGTGAACTGTTCCCGGGAGAGCCTGTGATGGGAAGACGATAGGCTTGAAGCTAGGGGGAGACATGGCCATGGAGTGAAGTGGGTGTCTGCAGAGAGGCAAAGTGGAATGTTTGCAAGGGCCACTGTGGAAAGGAGAAGAGGCTGGTACTAGGGAACCCCAAAACTGTTGAGCATGGAGAAGGCCAAGTGGGCCAGGAGTCTGTGGCAGCCACCTGTCTGCTTGTGTAGGTTTTCCCCAACAGGCTTAGTCCTCCCAGTACCGAGGTAAGGATTCTGAGAAGTAACCCCTGTGCCAGAAAGCTTGGCCCAGATTGATTGTGCCTCCTAGGATTCATGTGTAGGAAACACCCTCTGTTCCTGAAGTGAGGAGAAAGGTGCTGGGGCTTGGGGCAGTGACAGGACTCAGGCCATTCCAGAAGGGAGCAGCCATGGCCCGAATGAGCAGCTGGCCACAGATAATAGTTCCCAGGACTCTCCTACATGTGGGACAACAGCAGGCTCCAGTGGATGGAGCACTCCAGCCTCTTTGGAATGAGGTGGCCAAAGTACTTGGCAGGATGTGCACTGTAACAACGAGGGGACCAGAAGAACCCTGGTAGAGAACTCAGGAGAAGGAGGCTAGGAATACAGCCAGGCAATGTGCTACATGAACCTTTGAGACTGAGACATGAGCCCATGGGTGAGGACTGTTGGACCTGTGTTAATGGAGTGTGAGGGAGAGGACGGGGTGTGAGGGAGAAGATGGCATGTGAAGAAGAGGATGGGGTGTGAGGGAGAGGCTGGGGTGTGAGGGAGAGGATGGGGTGTGAGGGAGAGGATGGGGTGTGAGGGAGAGGATGGGGTGTGTGGGAGAGGCTGGGGTATGGGAGAGGATGGGGTGTGAGGGAGAGGATGGGGTGTGAGGGAGAAGATGGGATGTGAGGGAGAAGATGGGGTGTGAGGGAGAAGATGGGATGTGAGGGAGAAGATGGGGTGTGAGGGAGAGGATGGGGTGTGAGGGAGAGGCTGGGGTGTGAGGGAGAGGAGGGATGTGGGAAAGGATGGGGTGGGAGGGAGAGGATGAGGTGTGAGGGAGAAGATGGGATGTGTGGGAGAAGATGGGGTGTGAGGGAGAGGCTGGGGTGTGAGGGAGAGGAGGGGTGTGGGAGAGGATGGGGTGGGAGGGAGAGGAGGGCGTGTGTGAGGGTAGGAAGGGGTTTGTGGGAGGGAGGAGGGGGTATGTGGGGGAGGGGGAGCGGTACGTCGGTGGGGGGTGTGTGTGGGAGATGACTGGGATGTGAGAAAGAGGGTGGGGTCTGAGTGAGAGGCTGGGGGTGAGGTAGAGGAGGGGGTGAGGGTAGGAGGGGACATGGGAGGAGGGGGTCTGTGGGGGAGGGGAGAAGGTGTGAGGGGGAGGAGGGGGTGTGTGGGGGAGATGATTGGGGTGTGAGAGAGGATGGGGACTAACAAAGAGGATGGTATATGAGGGAGAGGCTGGGGTGTGAGGGACAGGAGGGGGTGTATTGAGAGGGGTGTGGGGGGCCGGGAGTAGGAGGAGAGGGAGGAGAGGTGTGGGGGGAAGGGGGGAGGGGCTGTGGGGGGGACGGAGGAGAGGGTGTGTTGGGGAGAGGTGAGAGGGGGAGTGTTGGGGAAGGGTGTGAGCGAGACGGGGTGTGAGGGGGGAGGACTGTCTCAGGGCAGAGAGAGTCCTGCCAGGGCTGCTGGTGAGGCACCTGCTGCTCTTCACCCTGCCTCTGACCGGGCACTCCCTGAGGGAGAGGGAGGGCATGGCAGATACCAAAACTGGGAGGGGAGAGAGAGAGGTGAAGGAAACTGACAGTCATTGAGCAACATGGTGTGCCAAGAACTTCACATGCCTTATCTCACTTCATCTTCACAATAATCCACGAGGTAGTAGGTATTATTAGCCCCTTTTTACAGTCATTCAACAAATACTTAGTGAGTACACTGCTCTTGTACTGGAGGTAAAGCAGTGAGCAAAACTGACCAACAGTCTTGCCTTCATGGGGCTCATATTCTAGTGGGAAGCAGGCAAAGAAACGATATAGAAATAAGGTGTACAGTATTTTAGATGGTGGGAAATACTAGAGAAAAATAAAGCAGGAATGGAAGTTAGAGAGGGGCTGCCATTTGAGATTGGGAAAGACCTTCATGGGAAGGTGACATTTAAGTAAAAACCTAAAGGAAATCAGGGAAGGCCATGCTGATATCTTGGGGAAGAGCCTTCCAGGCAGAGGAAACAGCCAGTGCAAAAGCTCTGAGGTGGGATCCAAATGCAGGAAAGATGCCTGTGTTAAAGAAGTGGGAAATATGAGAGATGAAGTAAGAAAGAGAAATCTGAATCATGGGAGTGTTGGAGGTCACTCTAGGAATGGAGGATTTGGAGCAGAGGAGTGACTTCAGTTTTAAAGGATCCTTCTAGCTGCCTTGATGAGAATAGACTGTTGCAAGGCAGTCCGATTGGGAGGCTATTGTGACCTACAGGAGAGATGATTGTGACCTGGACCACGGTGGAAGCAGTGGAGGTGGTAAGAAAGCGTCAAGTTCAGGGTATATTCTGAAGGGAGAGCTAACAGGTTTGCTGCCAGCACAGGTGTGAGTATGAGAGAAAGAGAGTAATTTAGGCCAACTAAAAGTGTGTAGCCTGAGAAACTGGAAGAATGAAGATGCCATTTACCAAGATGGAGAAATGACTGCAAGAAGAGCAGGTTTTAGGAGCATTATGAACTCAAGTTTAAACATGCAGAGTTTGAGATGCCTCTTAGACATCCAAGTGTAGCTATCAAGAAGGCAGGGGAAGGGCCAGGTGTGGTGGTTCACACCTGTAATCCCAGCACTTTGGGAGGCTAAGGTGGGCAGATCACCTGAGGCCAGGGGTTTGAGACCATCCTGGCTAACATGGCAGAACTCCATCTCCACTAAAAATACAAAAATTAGCTGGGTGTGGTGGTGCGTGCCTGTAATCACAGCTACTCAGGAGGCTGAGGCAGAAGAATCTCTTGAACCCGGGAGGCAGAGGTTGCATGTAACGTGAACCAAGATCGCACCACTGTACTCCAGCCTGGACGACAGAGTAAGATTCTGTCTCAAAATAAATAAATAAATAAATAAAATAAAAATACAAAAAGAAGGCAGGGGAATATAGCAGTGTGTGGGGTTCAGGGAAGAGGTCCAGACTATGAAAATGGATGAGATCACCAAATAAGTGAATATGGATGGAGGAGAGAAGCTGGGACTGAGCCCAGAGAATGGCCCACACTTGGTGTGGGACATTGAGGGAGCAACTGCAGAAAGGAATGAGAAAGAGGAGTGCCCATTGCAACATTAGGAAATCCAGGAAAATGTGATATTCTGGAAACCAAAGAAAGTATTACAAAAGGAGTAATTAACTGTGTAATATGTTGCTGGTAGGCAGGATGATTGTATAAGTTACTATACAAACTAGGGCACTTTTGAGAGTGAAAATGGACAAGATTAATTACTCCAGGATAAGACACATAAACCAACATTGTCCCAGGCAAATCACAATGTATGGTTACTCTGTTGATAGGTTAAGTAAAGAATTGACCATTGGATTTAGCAGCATGAAAGTAATACGTGACCTTAAAGGATCATTGGTATGGATTCAAGAGAAATGGGAGGAGAGAGATTGGAGACAGGCAAATGTAGATAACTCTTTGAAGGAGTGTTTCTGTAAAGAGATGGAGATAAAATGAATAGGTGGTCACTATATGGGTGATAGTTGTACTGTTCTTTTAACTTTTCTGTATGAATGTTTTTCATAATGTAAAGTTAGAAGAGTGCAAATTTTAAAACCTTAAAAAAGAAGAGAGAAGGGGTTTAATATGGATAAACAACGTATTTGTTTGCCTATGGGGATAATCCAGAAATGAGATGATGTAAGAGTGAAGACTTCCTGGAGCAGTGTCCTTTAGTAAATGAAAAAGATAAGGTCTAGGGCACAAAAGTTGGCCTTAGTTACAAATATGGGCAGTTCAAACATAAAGTAGAGAATATAGGCACAAATGCACGCAAGTAGTGATACGCAGCTTGTAAACATTCTGTTCTGTTTGTTTCACATATTTCAGTACCATGGTAAACAAGGTTATCTATGGGAACAAGAATGAGGGAGGTGTTGGAATTGTAGAGAGAAAAGAGAAAGTATGAGTAGTCATCCAGGAGAATGGAAGAATGACTGAGCTGATAACATATATGATTGCCAGGAAGCATAAGGGCCTCACTGGTATTTTGAGTGAGACCAGCCAGCAACCAGCATGGTTGTTCTCCAGCCAGACATATTCAGCTGTGTAGGTACATCCCCAGAGTAGGTAGGAATTTCGATTTAATCAAAGCTGTGTTTCCCCCAAATGAGAAAGGAACAAAGAAGCTGAGGGTGAATGCAAAGAAGTGATTATAATGATTGATTTGGAATTTAAGCTGGATGAGAATTGCAGTAAGAATATAAGGAAGTAAAGGACAGTGAAAAGACGGTCAAACCAATGGCTTGATGATTTCAGTGTGTTGAGGATTGTACGAGTTTAGCTATGACAGCAGGTGAGCTATAGATACATGGAGGCAGTCAGGGAGTGAGCTTGAGACTGACATTAGAGAGGGCTTTAGTTATTAGCAGCGACCTAGTTTAACATATAATTTAGGAGTAAATAGCTGAGATAGGAAAGAGATTAAGATCACTGGAGGAGGGGAGGCCAAGGCAGGCCTGCCTTGGAGTTTACCACTTTCTATGTTTGGAAGTGATATTGTTTGGCTTTGTCCACACCCATATTTCATCTTGAATTGTAATCCCCATAAACCCCACGTGTCATGGGAGGAACCTGGTGGGAAGTGATTGGATCATGGGGGGTTTCCCCCATGCTGTTCTCATGATAGTGAATGGTTTTATAAGCATCTGGCATTTCCCCTGCTTGTACTCACTCTCTCCTGCCACCTTGTGAAGAAGGTGCCTGCTCCTGTTTCACCTTCCGCCATGATTGTGTTTCCTGAGGCCTCCCCAGCCATGCAGAACTGTGAGTTGATTAAACCTCTTTCCTTTATAAATGACCCAGTCTTGGGTATTTCTTTATAGCAGCGTGAGAACAGACTAATACATGAAGAAAATTCATCTCTCCTGTTTCCTGCTTTTTGATAAAAGAATACACAAAAAATACTGCACCTGATGATAATTGCTTTAGAATTTCTCTTCTTCTTCTTCTTCTTCTTCTTCTTCTTCTTCTTCTTCTTCTTCTTCTTCTTATTATTATTATTATTATTATTATTATTATTTTTGAGACAGGGTCTCACTCTGTCATCTAGGCTGGAGTACAGTAGTGTGATCTTGGTTCACTGCAGCCTCGACATTCCAGGCTCAAGTGATGCTCCCCACTCAGCTTCCCAAGTCGTTGGGATTACCTTGCCACCATGGCAGGATAATTTTTTAAATTTTTTGTAGAGACAGGGTTTCGCCATGTTGCTCAGGCTGATCTCAAACTCCTGGGCTCAAGCAATCCGCCCGCCTCGGCCTCCTAAAGTACTGGGATTACAGGCATGAGCCACTGCGCCCAGCTTAGAATTTCTCTTCACTTTATTTTTGACTGAGCCTATAGTTGAACAGGGAGATATCTGTCAAGGAAGGGGGTACTAGACTTGCCAAGCACAGGGATCATAAATGATTTGTGGCCCTAGAACATCAAGACTGGAAGAAAAGCAGCTCAAGTCATAGAGCAGACCCTGAGGGGAGAGAGCCAGTCAAGCATCGGGATTGAGGCTCTTAGCTGTCAGGTATAAAAGATTCAGTCCATAGAGGCCATCGTAAGGTACTGTGGCAGGAAAGGCTAGAGATTTGGGCCTGAGTCAGTAATGTGGAACTGCTGAAGATCTTCCAATGAAGGGACAAGATAGGCTGGGACTTGCTTATCTCCATAACTTTACCAGGTAATGGCAGTACTATGGCCTGGAAAGGTGTCATGTGTCTAGAATGACCTACAGCAAGTCTCTGGTCCTCCTTCCTGGTGGTTGGCTGGATGGCCATGGGGTGCTCATTGCATGTGGATGGACGAATGTGAAAGAGGAATGCTGCAGCCCAGTAGTTATGGTTGTGACAGGTCCCTATCCAGTGGGCAGGGCCCATTGTTGTAGCTATTCATTCATTCATTCATTACCTATAATATGCTAGGTGCTGTTCTAGGTACTAGGCATGTGATGTTAAAGACAAGGCATGGTGATAAAACTGTCACCTCAGCTCGCCCAGGAGGCGAGCAGAGGTGAAAAATGGCAGAAATAGTAGGAATACCAGCCTCTGCGTTTGTATGGGGGCTGGAATTCTTATTGTGGGACAGTTCTCCCTATGCATCTCGACAATAGTCTGTGACAGGTTTCTATCACTAGCTTGACCCATCCCATTTGATCAGGTGTTCAGAGAGAGAGGATTCTGCCCCTACAGCCTCACCCAAGGTCTCCAAAGTCAGGAACAATGTTTGAGCCCCTGGACTGAAGAAGGCAGCTATAGTATTTTCCTGTAGGAACAGAGTCCCCAGCTAGGACTAAGGGGGACCTGCATGGGAAATTCCAGGAGCAGTCTGCATTCATGCATTGCCCAGTCTGGGGCGATGATGATGATTGTGATGTCATCTAGCCACGTGGGTGCAGGGTCTTCTGACTTCCCTGGTCAGCAGAGTTGGCTCACCCTTCTCACTTCCCTGCAGAGAAACACACAGAGGCCACATTCAGGACCCCAGAGATAGCAAACAAGCAGATAGGTCTCCCCTTAGTCTGTGACTTGGATGCTCTTCATTGAAGAAAAGACAGATGGAATAGGTTTAGGGGAAGATAATGGGCTCCTTTTTTGATGTGTTGAGCCTAGGTGCCAGTAGGAGATCTTGGACAAGATACTCCAGGTGCAGTTGGATATATAAGTCTTGAGCTCCGGATACAGGTCTAAGTTTGAGATGGAGATTCAGCAGCCCCCAGTTAGAAATATGTGTCTGGATATCTGGAACTTGAACCCTCCTGTAAACAGTCGCATTTTCCAGCCTTTTCTTTATAAAACCTGCCTGGGACTGTAAGCAATGATTGGATGCAGAGCAGATAGTGGTCAGCAATGACTGCCCTTGTGCCCCTTCCCTGAAGGTAGAGGGTCTCATCTCACAGAACAGCATCTGCTCATTCTCTGTCATGTTGTCTCACTCCTTAGCAGAGGAAAAAAGATGGCTGAAACCTTCCCTTCCAGGAATCCCATTTCTAGGGGTTCAGAAAGTAATGTATCTGTATTAATTTCCTGTGGCTGCCCTAACAGATGATTCCCTCACAGTTCTGGTGGACAGAAGTTCAAAGTCAGTATTCCTGGACTGAAATCAAGGTGTTAGCAGGGCTGGGCTCCCTCCAGATGCTCTAGGTCATATCCGTCTCTCGCCTCTTCTGCCTCTGGCGACTGCTAGCATCTCTTGTCTCGTGGCCGCATCTCTCCAGTCTTGACCTGTGGTCACATTGCCTTTTCGTCTGTGTGTGGTCAAATCTCTCTCCACCTCTCTCCTCTAAGGATTCACAATGGTGTTAGGGCTCACCTAGATAATCCAGGATTATATCCTCATCTCAAAATCTTACTTTAGGAAGTGTACATCCTACCAGAAAAACACAAGCAATAAACAACTAAGAAGTAAAATATTTAGTAAATTACCACAAGATAAATGCCATGGGAAGAAAGAAAATATGGCAAGGTGACAGGAGCAAGTTGCATTATTAAATAGGATGGTGAGGGTTGGCCTCAAGGGAAATGAGAGATTTGAGTAAAGACTGGAAGGAGGCGAGGAATGAGCCAAATGTGTGTCTGAGGAAGAACATTCCAGGCAGAGGAAACAGCTCTAGTCAAGGCCCTAAGGCAGCAAGGAGTGTGGCTGGGGGACTGTGAACAGAGGGAGAGTAGTAGGAGATGAGACCAGAGAGGAAGTTGGGGTGAGGGAGATCATAGATGGCCTTATAGGCTGTTGTAAGGATGTCAGCCTTTACTCTGAGATAGGAAGACATTGCCCATGTGGAAATATTGATCTTTGATAGAAGAATGGAATTTTGCTCAGTTTTATCAAGAGGGAAGAGCAGACACGGTAGTTTTGAATATTTGGTGGAAGGCAGATCTCTGATCTCACTTACCAAATATTTATTCAGCACCTTTTATGCTAGGCACAATTCTAAGTACTGGGGGGCATGACAGTGAACAGAATGGGCAGCTCCTGTTCACATGGAGACCCTCCAGATAATTACACCCTCCAGATAATAACAAACAAGTGCACATGGGAGACAGGAAGCAATGCACAAAGAGTGATACGTGCTTACAGAGAAAACAAGAGAAGATGACATGTTAGAGAATGACTGCGGCAGGAAACCCACTTTAGACAGAAGAGTCAGAGAAGACGTCCCTGAGGAGGTGACATTTCAACAGAAATCTGAATGAAAACATAGAACCAGCCTTGGAAAGATGCAGAGCCGTTGTGGAAAGGTCCAGACTCAGAAAAAGGCTTGTATTTAAGGACTGGACAGAAGGCCAGTATGCTGTAACAGGGTGAGGAAGGAGGAGGATCTGGGGTGAGGTGAGACGTGAGCATTGGGCCCTTTAACCTGTGGTTTGGCTTTTTTTTGGAGACAGTGAGAAGGTTCGAACCTTCATGGCATGGTTGGCATGGTATGGTTGATGATTTATCATCCTGGCCTCCTCGAGAGAATGGACTCTGAGAGAAAGACAAGAGCAGAAGCTGCACATTGACCATCATAGTGGTCCAGAAATGATTATTTGGACTAGGGCCGTAGCAGTGGAGAGAGGTAAGTGGGTGAATTTAGAATATGTTTAGTGATTGTATTAACAGGACTTGCTGATGAATTGGATGAGAGGCAGCCAAGAAAAAGAGATGAGTCAAGAATGACTCCAAGGGATGCCATCCAGTTGGCAAGAGAGAGATTTGTTTGTAAAATAGGTGTTGCTCTTTGTGAGGATCTGGGAATATGGGACTAAAAGAGAAAAAAGAATGACTCCTAGGTTTTGGCTTGATCAACTACATTAGCTTGGCCCCTGCCTTCCTCACCATCAAAGCCAGAGCCGCTGCTCCTGCACCGTGACCCTGCGTATCACTGGTATTCTCACCACTGCTTTGAATCCCATCATACTCCTGTCCTTCCATCAAACCTGCTACAGCAGGGCCCAAACGTGGTTGGATCCATCTGACTTTTCCTGCTCCTACTTCTGGGCTGCTTGGCACCACTGCCTTGGCGACACACAAACACAGCCTTGGCGCTACTGTGGCTTCATGCTCTCCAGCCTCTGTGCACAGCTTAGCAATCCTTGTCCCTGTCCCAGGGGAGCATGAATTGGTCTGGTTGGCCCTGGAAAATCCACATGGTGGAGGCTGTCACCCCAAGCTGCTCCTGTCTCTTGCAGCCCACAGGCATTTACGGAGCACCTGCTGTGTACTTGGCTGAGAGCTAGGGGTGCCACAAAGTCTGCTGGGGAACTGGGCAATAACATTAGCATGTGTTAAGTGCTAAAAGGTCAGTGTGACTTACCATGGTGACTGTCCCAAATCTTTCCTATTCATAAGTCCCTACAGTCTACACCCTCACACTACAACCCCAAATCTTCCCAAGGAAAAGAGTCGATGTGGTGAGCATTTTCTCAGGTTCTCCATACCTCTAAGCTCACCTGTCAGAGTAGCCATCTTCACATCCTCCTCCCTTTCCACGGAAAAGATATCCTGTCTTCTGTCTTCCTCCCCTCATACTCTGGATCTATCCCCTTCCTCTCCTCCCGGGCTTCATTCCACTGTTACGCTGGCTGTCACCTACCCCCTCCCTCTCTCCGCTTGTCTCCTTTCCATCTGAATACAAACATCTCAGTTCTTCACCATCCCACTTCATCTCCAGCCTCCATTCCACTTCTGTCCTCTCCTTCACTACCAAGTCTCTTTAGAAATTGTCTGATCTCTGTCTTGAACACTTGCTCACTTCTTTCCCTCCTCAACCCCTGCAGTTGGTTCTGTCCTCTCCATTCCCCAATAGTGTGTTCCCTAAGGGGCCAGTGACTTTCATGTATTACCAGAAGCAATGCGGTTAATACGAACGAGGATATAAATAGTGCCCATCCTGAGGTCACTGTGAGATTAAATACGAAAATGGAGAGAGCACTTAGAACAGTGCCAGGAATGCAGTAAGAACTCAGTTGTCATTGCTATTATTACTGTTGTTATTATTGTGACGTTGATCATGTATTTCATAACTGCCTCTCTGTTTGGCTGCCTCACCCATTATCCACCAAGGCAGGGACTCTGAGTTCTTTTTTTTTTTTCCTTTGAGACGGAGTCTCACTCTGTCACCCAGACTGGAGTGCAATGGCGCGATCTCAGCTCACTGCAACCTCCTCCTCCCGGGTTCAAGTGATTCTCCTACCTCAGCCTCCCAAGTAGCTGGGATTACAGACGCCCATCACTGTGCCTGGCTAATTTTTGTATTTTCAGTAGAGACAGGGTTTCACCATGTTGGCCAGGCTGGTCTTGAACTCCCGACCTCAGGTGATCCACCCGCCTCAGCCTCCCAAAGTGTTGGGATTACAGGCGTGAGCCACCACGCCCAGCCTCTGAGCTTTTTATATTCCCAATGACTAGCACAGAGCCTGAGATAAGCTGGGGCTTAGCACATATTAGAGACACAGACGGTAGATGCTGGTCACCAACAGGACCGTGCCTTTGGGCTTTGGGTTATGTGGCCTCTGCAGACAATCTGGCCATCAACCAGGCTCTTCCTGAGGCAGGGGCGCCTGCCTGACATGGCAGCTTCTCAGCACACAGTTTCCTCCCCTACGTTCCCCACTTCCCTCCCTCCTTCCTCTACACAAGGCACAGGCTGTCAGCAGAGTCAGTGGGAGCCTGTCAGCAGGAGCCCAGGCACTGCCCCCTTGAGGGCCTCTGGCTCAGCCTCTCCTCTCCTCCTTCAGCACAGGCCTCCCTGCCTGTCACACATGTCATGCATGTGGCTCCAGCTTGTCTGGACACGGATGTGGCCACAGTTCCTAGGCAGGCGGGGTGGGGGCAGTAGCTGGCAGTATTTCAGAATGGGGGGTGGGGGTGTCTGTGAACATTGGAAACATCACTGGAAGCCTGGTGCTTTGGAACAGGGAGATCAAAGTGTCCATGAGGATCACACAGAGGCGGTCCCCAGACTGCCACAGGTGAGCAGGAATTGGCCTGGATTAGCCCTGGAAGATCCACATGGTGGAGGCTGTCACCCCAAGCTGCTCCTGTCTCTTGCAGCTCACAGGCATTTGCTGAGCACCTGCTATGTGCTTGGCTGCAAGCCGGGGGGTGCTACACAGCCTGCGGGGGAACTGGGCAATAACATTAGCATGTGCTAAGAGGTCACTGTGCACAAAGAACACTGATGACCCAGAGGAGGGTTTGGTCAGCCCTGTGTGGCTCAGGGAAGACCTCAGAGAGGTAGAGATGCTGCAGTCCAGTCTTGAGGAATGAGCAGAAGTTCAGCATGTGAATGATAAGGAGACGAGAACCCCAGGCAGAGGGAACAGTGGTATAGAGGCATGGAGGCGTTAAAGAGCCTGATAGACTCTGGAAATTATACATAGTTGTACGGGGCTAAAGCATAGGGAAAGGGAGGAGAAGAGGGGGTATCTGAGGCTGGAGAGGTAGACAGGAGCCTTGTAAATCAGACTGAAGAGCTTAACCTTTACCTTCTAGGTAGCAGTTGCAGTTGGTAATATCCCATGTCAAATGAATTCAAGCAAAAAGGAAATTGTATTAGTTTACATAACTGTGAAGTTCAGGACCTGAACTATCTTTAGGCCCACCTGAATCTAGGACTCAAACAGTGTCTTCCTCCCTGCAGCCATAGAAGATGGCTCCAGCTGTTCTAAGCTCGAAGTTGGCACATTGTTTTTCTTAAAGGGCCAGATAGTAGATGTTTTCGGCTTTGTGGGCCATATAGTCTCTGTCACAAGTCTCTACTGTTGTAGGTCAAAAGCAGCCATACATTGTTTAAATGAATAGGTGTGGCTGTATTCCAATAAAATAAAACTTTAGAAACAGGCAGCTGGCCTATAGGCTGTAGTTTGCCTGACCCTGTTCTGGGCTTGCATGGTTTGTATAGGTCACTATCTTAGAGAAAAAAAGAGACTCCCACAGCCCCCAGCGTCCAAATATGAAATCTCAGAGAAGACCATGGTGCATAGCACTTAGGTCAAGTGCCCATTCTTTTATTTATTTATTTATTTATTTATTTATTTATTTATTTAGAGACAGGCTCTCACTCTGTTGCCCAGGCTGGAGTGCAGTGGCAAGATCATAGCTCACTGCAGCCTCGACCCTTCCAGGCTCAAGCGGTCCTCCTGCCTCAGCCTCCCAAGTAACTGGGACTACAGGCGTGCACTACCATGACTGGCTAAATTTTTCAATTTTATTTTTCATAATGACAGGGTCTCAGTGTGTTGCCTAGGCTGGTCTCAAACTCCTAGGTTCAAACAGTTCTCCCACCTCAGCCTTCTAAAGTGCTGGGATTACAGGCATGAGCCACCGTGCCTGGCTAGGTGCCCATTCCTGAGCCACTTAGGAAGGGGTCTCCTGATTGGTCAGCCCAGACATGTGCCCATCCCAGTAGCAGTGGTGGGGATCAGCCGAACCAGGAGCATATGGAATGAAAAGGGGGATGCTATTGTAGAAGACAGGGGAAGAGATGTGGATATCCACTGCAACGTGCCAACAAGAAAGAGCATGAACTGAGTGCCTGAAAGTACCAGTGATGATCCAGCTTGAAATTGGTCCTGACACAGCCTCAGGCACCAGGCCAGCCCTGCAGTGCTGATGCACGCCCTGCCTGGCCTTTTCCTTCTGTGCAGTATTTGCATCTCAGCTGCTTTGTTTACACCTAGTCAGAATGCACTTGCCTGCCCATTCTTCCTCACACATTGCTCCACCTGCCTGGGTGGAACTAGAGGGCAGAGTTACAAGGGTGCGGGGTGGGGAGGGTGCCAGGCTGAAGTTCCTCTGCCGTTGATGGGGGCTACTTCCCTCCTCCAGCCTCAGCATTCTCTCTCCTTATCTTGAAGGGACAGTTACTTATGGTTCTCTTCTCTTCTGTGCCTTTGTCTTACAACTACCCTTCTGAACATTCTCCACCAGGCTTAACGTTTATTTACTTGTCTTTCAAGGCTTAGCTCAGCTTTGCCATTATCTCCTTTGAGATGTCTTTCCAGTACCCTCAAGTTGGTCAGTGACCTTTGTACCAAAATATAGCATCCTATTCCAGAATATAGAATGTGGACATATATTACATATATTTTCTTATGATTATTTCTCTACCTGTCTCTATCACTAGCTTCTTGAGGAAAGGACCAAGCCTAATTTACTTTTAGGTTCTGAGCTCGTACTCAGCACAGGACCTAGCACTGAGTAGGCAAGCAGTTGTTGGATGGGGCCGTGTTTTCCAGCTCCATCTAGTCCCATGTAAGATACGGAAGCAAGAGCTTCCTGAACAGGCTTGGAATAGTACTTGTTGGTTGGCACCTGATGTTTGTCTCTTTACCTCTGAGCTACCTCTCTCAGGACATATGATGCCCACCTGCTCTTAAACTTACCATCCTTTCTCCTTCGACTCCTGCTCTCCCATAGGACCCATCTCCCATGGAATTCATTCAAGTGGTCAGCAAGGGGAACGCAGCAAGACACATATTTGACAGGGCATTTAGAAAGTGTTCGCATTACTTGCTTAGACATACACCAGGCTCTTCCTGTGCATGGCCCTTTATGGTGGGGCTGCAGCAGCTAGATCCCAAGCAAGACCATGTAGACTCTAGAACACCTATCTCCCTACGTTATGTCTATCCCACCACTACTCAGAGAAGGTTCTAGGAAGGTGGATCTGTGGGATTTGGCTTCATCCTGTTGGATGACAGTCTCACCTTGTGGGAGCCAAGGCCTGTGGTTGAATATAACGGACTGATGTGCTGTGGTCCCTGGTCTAAGAACTCATTGCTGGGCTCTGCCTTCCCTTTGTCTCATGGGCTGCTTGCACTCGTCACAGTCATTGGGAGAAGTGGCTAAAAGGCTGGCCACCCAACCAACCAGGCACAGATGTCAAGCTGAAGCCATCTGTTACCCTAATCCAGCAAACCCATATCTGGAAGCACCTCTTTCAGTTGGGTTGGTAGGAACTAGGAGAAGACCCTACCCTAGATCTGCTGGTGCCCACACATAACTACTCCCTCACCTCACTCCTTAATAAGACCAGTCAGCTTTCTTGCCAGTCTGTGGATACAGGCTTAATATTCCAAGCCTTAGAACATGGTTTAGGTTGATGAGCCAGTGTTGAGGACATTCACCTTATACGCTGCACCTTAGCCACATTTTTGAGCATTAAGTGAGCTGGAAGATCTCTTAGGAGGGCCCCAGGTTGCCCTTCCTGGCTGGTTAGCCTGACCCTTATGCTTAATCATAGTCCTCTTTCAGTCTACAGGTCTGCGAGCAGGGCAGCCTCCTGGCTCCTGAGGTTCCATCTATGCTGTGAGAGACACAGGGGTCAGATCCACACTCAGCATGTACTCTCCCAGGGCCCAAAACCCCCAAACTACTAGGCTGTAGGATCTAAGGAGAAAGGATAGGCAAGTTCCAGTGCAACTTCCGTCTCCTCCTTCCCCGGGTCCTTCTCACGCACTCACACACACCCTGCTGAAACCTGATCCTGAGGCTGCCTCGCGTGCCGGGGTGCTGGCGGGGCTGGCGGGCTGGGGCCTGTCTTTTGGAGCCTGCCCCACCCTCCCCTGCTACCCCCTAGGCCAGGGCAAGCAGGTCAGGCGTCCCACACCCCCGCTAGTCTGACCAGTCATTCTATACCTTAAGGGCCACCTCCACCCTGGCCAGGCCCCCAAACTGGCACACTGGTCTGGACGGAAGCCCCTGGATTCTGTTCCAGGCATAGCCTGAGGTTAGGCCACCTGCATAATTAACACACACACACCATCTTTACCATCACCCCACCCCGACATTTCCTGTTGTTTATAGGCCCCAGCCCATTTTCCAAGGCCTCTGCAGGTGTCAAGCCACCTCACAGGGGATGAACAAAGTGCAGTGGGAACACTGGAGGAAGAATGCAAGCCTCCCTCGGGGAGTCAGGGGAGACTGTCCTGAGGAAGTAGTCTTTCAGCTTGATAAGAATGAAACAGAGCAGAGGATGCCAGAGGCTGGGAAGGGAGAAATAGGGAGAGACTTGTCAAATTATACAAAATCACAGCTAGATAGGAGGAATAAATTCTAGCGTTCCATGACACTCTGGGGTGATTGTAGTTAACAGTAATATATAGTTTCAAATAGCTAGAAGGAAGATATTGAATGTTCTCAACACAAAGAAATGATAAATGTTGGCCGGGTGCAGTGGCTCATGCCTGTCATCCCAACACTTTGGGAGGCCGAGGCGGGCAGATCACCTGAGGTCAGGAATTTGAAACCAGCCTAGCCAACATGGTGAAACCCTGTCTCTACTAAAAATACAAACATTAGCTGGGCGTGGTGGTGCACACCTGTAGTTCCAGCTACTCGTGAGGCTGAGGCAGGAGAATCGCTTGAACCTGGGAGGCGTAGGTTGCAGTGAGCCAAGATCACACCACTGCAACTCCAGCCTGGGCAACAGAGCGAGACTCTGTCTAAAAATAAATAAGAAATGATAAATGTTTGAGATGATGGATATGCTAATTACCCTGATTGGATCACAATACATTATATGTATCACAACATCACTTTGTACTCCATAAATATGTACAATTATTATGTGCCTATTAAAAATTTTTTTAAAAGTAAGAATGCATTTTTTCCAGGCCTATAGAGAAGGAAAGTGGTTGGGAAATAGAGCAGAGGTGTACATTTCAGGCAGAGATAATGCATGTGTAAATGCAAGAAGACGGACATGTCTACAAATAGTGCTGCGCTGGGAGTATATATAACAGTAGTCCCAGAGGAGTAAAATCTAGATTGCATTAGATTGGAGGGTGACTAGGAGATGAGGAAGTGGAGACAGGATATCCACTGCTCTTCCTAGAACTTTTGCCATGAAAGGATGAAAGAGAGGCTGGTAGCTAAAGCGGGTACATGGCCAGGACGCTTTGTCGAATTTGTTTGTTTGTTTGTTTGTTTGTTTTCACAGGGGAGAGACCTGAGCCTTATTGTGTGCATAAAGAGAAACAAACAGAAATGGAATCCATAGCATGATAGAAAGATCTACTTTGGTGTCATAGGGATGGGGTAAGGAGGCCAAATTTAAGAATAGGTAAAGGGGCTGATAGATTTGTGGGTAAGGAAGCCAGAAGCTGAGGGAGTACCTATCTGATGGTCTTGGTTTTTCTGTGAAGTAAGAGAAAAGATACCTGCTTAAAGAGAGTTGGAAAAGGATAGAGTTTATGGAGAGTAGAGAATGTTTGGAATAGCTGCTGAGCAAAGTTGAGGGCCCAGCGCCTCATAAATTTGTGGTGGCATCAGTGCACTTTAGTGTATATGTGTGTGTGTTCTCGCAGCCCCTCAAGTATAAAAGGTACAACAGTGTAAGATTAGATAAATCTCTGGTTGGATTTTGCCTAATGTGTGGGACAAAAGAACAGTGGAACCAACGGGTACAGGACCCTGGCAAGAGTGAGATTGAGGAGATGGATGGGATCTAGCCAAGAGAGATAATAGACTAGAAGTATGTATAGAAATCAAGTGGGTTTGGAGTGTAGAAGGCAAAGGAGAGAAAGAGAAAATAGAACATGAAGAAATTGCATTCAGAGAGTATTGGAGATTAATATTTTCAAAGTGATGAAGAGTTTCAGAATGTGGCTGTGGGACTGAGTGCCTGACGTGGAGTGAAGATGAGAGGGTCACTGGAGTCAAGTAAGTCATCTTCGAGGCCAGAGTTGTAGTAGGCATTGAAGTTTCTGAAAATAATTGAGCAAGAATTGGGTTTGCGTAGAATATGAGACAGATGCTGAAACCTTGAATGAATATGGCAGAGTTGGTAGATGATCGCTTGAAACTTGGTAATAAAAGTGTTGGTGATGTAGTGATGGAGGTGAGGATGATGTTGGGGAAAGTTATGGTGCTGGCTGTGATTGTTAGAAATTCCACATCCACCACTGTCCTTTCTGGGAGTTCTAGGGTAACAAGAATGTAGAGTGTTCCAAGTCCTTGTTCCCACCTTGAAACCTGATCTCCCCATCACCATGAAAGCATGCCTGTGGCCAAGAGAAGGAGGAGGAGGAAGAGACTAGAGCACAGCACAGGACATGTTGAGGGAACAGTCTTTGAATCCATGCAGCTGCAATCAATGATACAAGGAGGGGAAACCAGGAGAAAAAAACAAGCATGCAAATCTCCAAAGAAAAGGTGAAGAAAAGCCACAGGATAGTCTTAGAAGAGGTAAAGAGAGGCCTTTGTTAGTCATATGGAACTAGATAAAATTGGATCTGGTCTTTAAGCCAACCAGAATAGACCAGAGATTTAAATGTAAAACATGAAAACACACAAGTACTAAAAAAGTATGGATGAATTTCTCTATAACCTGGGGATGAGAAAAACTTTCCTATGACTCAAACTCCAGAAGCAATAGGGGAAAGACTGATAAATTTGACTTAAAACAACAACAACAACAACAAAAACCTACTGTGTGGGAGGCCAAAAGTGACCATAGCAGCAGCTTTCTGCCTCCTGCTTTGAGAAAAAATAAAAATCTTTTGCAAAAATGAGGGGGGAAATAAAGAAAAGAAAACACCACAACCCAAGTAAATAAATAAACAAACAAACAAGGGGAAATTTTGTAACTGTATCTCAGAGAGTTTATATATTAAATATATAAAGAACTTTAAAAAAAGAGAAGAAAAAAACAATACCTAAAAAATAGGCAAGAGATACGAATAAAGTTTATAGAAAAAGAACTGCAAATGGCTCTTCCATATATGAAATAATGCTAAATTCCACTCATAACAAAAGAAATGCAAATTAAGATGACAGTGAAATACTATTTTTTTTCTATCAGACTAACAAAATCTAAATGTTTGACAGTGTACTCTTGGTGATGTTGCAGGGGCTGTGGGGGAGTGGCACTTTCATACATCACTGGTGGGTATTGCAAAATGGCACAATCCCTGTGGAGGGGAATTTGGCAGTATAGAGCAAAATCAGAGATACACACTTTCCCTTTGATCCAGCAAACCCACTTTTAGGAATCTATTTCAAAGATACATTGGCAAATAGAAAAGACATATGCATTAAATTATTCATTGTAACCACTACTAGTAGCACCTACTTTACAAAAGACTGGAAACAACCCAGGAGATTGATTGAATAAAATAAGGTACATAATCAATCATGGGAGTATTATTGAGTATGTAATTATAATGGAGTGCTCACCAGGATATATTGTTTAGTAAAAAAAGAAAAATAGACAAAACAGTATGTATACTGTGTTACATTTTTAGTGAATAAAGAAGGGAACAGGAATACACACACACACACACACACACACACACACGTTTCATTTATTTACTTATATCAAGAAAAAAGGATACAATAAAACTAATAAAAATGAATACTGTATGGGACTAGAAGTAACGGGACAGAGATGAAAGCTAGACTTCTTTGAATGTATTTTGTTTGTGAATTTAATTGTGTAACTAGGCAAAACTCTATATCATCATTAAACAAAATCAATTAAAATGAGGGAAAAGCTCTCCCTTAAAAACAAAAGCAGAATGAAACAAATGAACCTAACTATGTATCATGTCATTGATAAATTAAACTCAGCAGAATTATTTCAACTGGCAAATGCAAAGTAATTTGTCTGTTCTTCTAGTGGGGTATACCCTAAGGCAGAAGGAACTGCAAAGAAACCTTAAATTGTTTTTAGTAATGGTAGTGTTAGTAGTATACTGGTATTGTTTTTCTGAAACCATTATATACATTTTCTATATGTATACGTTAGGATCAAGCAAAAACAGTAGTTGTGTTAATGTCACTGGAAACAAGGATATCAGCTTAAAAGAGATACAAATATAAAGTCAAATATAGTAGGTAAACAATTTTTTGCTGTGTGAATTACATATCATAAAGCTGTTTTAAAAAAGAAAAAGAAGATAAATACAAATCTTATAATCCTAATTTTGAATTGGAAATACTAGTTACAAATGAATGATGTATTCTTTTCAGAAAATTAATTCCCACCCTGAGCAATATAGTGAGACTCCATCTCTACAAAAAATAAAAAATAAGCCAGACTTGGTGGCACATGCCTGTAGTCCTAGCTACGCAGGAGGCTGAGGTGGAAGGAATGCTTGAGCCCAAGAGTTTGAGGTTGTAGTAAACAAAGATCACACCACTGTACTTTAGCCTGGGCAATAGAGCAAGAGCCTATCTCAAAAAAAAATTATAGTTAAAATTTTAGGTGTGATAATGTTTTAAGAAAAGTTGTTTAGGTGTGGTTTATGTTTTAAGGTGTCCTTATCTTTTAGAAATTAATGCTGAAATATTTTATGGATGAAATGGCATAATTTCCGGGAATTTTCAAAATAGTATACAAAGAAAGTGGATGGGGTATAAAAGAAACAAAACTGACCATGATTGAAAATTGCTGAATCTGGGTGATGGGGGTGGCATGGTTGACAGTACTATTTTTTCTGCCTTTTTATATGTGAAATTTTCCATAATGAAAAGTTTAAAAATATATACACCGGAGGAAAAAATGAGTTCCCTTTGCAAAGAGATGCACCTAACTAGCCGAAGTGTTAGAGGAGAGCTGGCTGAATCATTCAAGGCATAGAAAGAGCAGCTACAGAAAGAAAATCCAAAGCCAAAGGCCTGATAAAAGAGAGAGACGAAGTGGAAAGTGTTTGAGGCTGAGCATGGTGGCTCACGCCTATAATCTCAGCACTTTGGGAGCCTGAGGCAGGAGGATCACTTAAGTCCAGGAGTTCAAGACCACCCTGGGCAACATAGTGAGACTTCATCTCTACTAAAAATAAAAATAAAATGAGAACTTAGCTGGGTATGGGGGTGGATGTCTGTAGTCCTAGCTACTCGGGAGGCTGAGGTGGGAGGATCACTTGAGCCCAGGAGTTTGGGATTACAGTGAGCCGTGTTCATGCCACTGCACTCCAGCCTGGGTAACAGACGTATACGGGACAGATGAACATGCTCAACAATATCCGAATGCAACTGGGAAAATATGGAATATGGGGCATTCTACAGGACAAATAGCCTGTATACATAGAACTAGGAAATATGTGTATGTCCTAGTTTTGACGAGCCTGGAAATGATGACTAACCCATAACAACATGAGCTTCCCTAGCTACTCTGATGGTGATCTGTAAATACCATTACCAATTAAAAGGAACCAGGGTTCCTTGGGAAAATGACTGATTCCAGGTTGGGGCAAGAAATGTACAAGATCAGCCTCAAAAATCTTTTCATACAAGAAAGCCAGGACATTATCAAAGATTACTAGGATGTGTGCAGAAGATTCAGGAGCCAAGTTGAAAAGACTCCACTGGCCAAAGATGGGATAATCTGAGCATCAAAAAATAATGATTGGCTGGGCTCAGTGGCTCACGCCTGTAATCCCAGCACTTTGGGAGGCCAAGGCGGGTGGATCACCTGAGGTCAGGAGTTCAAGATCAGCCTGACCAACATAGTGAAACCTCATTGCTACTTAAAATACAAAATTAACCGGGCATGATGGCAGGTGCCTGTAATCCCAGCTACTCGGGAGGCTGAGGCAGGAGAATCACTTGAACCCAGGAGGCAGAGGTTGCAGTGAGCTGAGATCGCACCATTGCACTCCAGCCTGGGCAACAAGAGCAAAACTACATTTCAAAAAAATAAGTAATAAATAAATAAGAATAATGGCTACAAAAATTACAATAGATTGACATATATCAAATACATGAAAATGTCTGAATTCCTAATGATTAAAACATAAAAAAGCCTCATTAATCATTCTTTGGGGGCTGTTAAGGAATCAGCTCATTATTCTGCAAATGGGTAAATAAGGGGGAAAATTAAGCATTTTATCTCATCTTTTCTGTAGGACTGCTACCAAAGAGTTAGTGAGAGAAAGTTTATAGAAGTACTGTAGCATCTCCTAAAGAAAGGATGGATCTAGGCGGTGATCCTCAGTGGCTGCTACAAGCATTCTGTGCAGAGCCGCTGAGAACTTTTATCAGTTCTAGCCAAGAACACTTGAACCTAGTCTTTTTTTAAATTTGAGATGGAGTCTCGCTCTGTCGCCCAGGCTGTAGTGCAGTGGCGTGATCTCAGCTCACTGCAACCTCTACCTCCCAGGTTCAAGCAACTCTCCTGCCTCAGCGTCCCAAGACGCTGGGACTACCAGCGTGCCCACCACGCCTGGCTAATTTTTGTATTTTTAGCAGAGACAGAGTTTTGCCATGTTAGCCAGGCTGGTCTCAAACTCCTGACCTCAGGTGATCCGCCTGCCTTGGCCTCCCAAAGTGCTGGGATTGGAGGCACAAGCCACTGCGCCCAGCCTGAACCCAATCTTGATCAATAATTTTTTTTTTTGAGGCAAGTTCTCACACTGTCACCCAGGCTGGAGTGCAGTAGTGTGATCTGACCTCACTGCAGCCTCAACCCCCCGAGCTCAAGTGATCCTCCCACCTCAGCCTCCCAGATAGCTGGGACTACAGTCTCTGTATAGCAGGAGAAAGGCAGTCTACAAAGCAATCTACAAAATAATATAGGAAAAGGAAAATCAGTTTCAAGGTATACCATAAGGTTAATTATCTCTGTGTTGTACAGTTATGGGTATTTTTATTTTTTATGTGTGCTTGTCTGTATTTTTTCCAAAATTAACACGATACAGGTTGCACAAAAAATGAGGTGTTTTTAAAAGTAAAACTTACTGAACTTTCCAATCATCTGAATAAAAAGAAAGCAGAGGAAAAGGGAAAAAAAAATGTCGAGATCATTTGGCTAGATCTTAGGCATATTTTATTAGCATATGACATCTAGTACATATTGGAAAGCAGATAAAATCCTGTCCAAGCTTGACTCTGAGAGAAACTTTCCAGAAATTTTATAAGCTCAGTCGTGACACAGAAGAAGAGGTTCTTGGTGCAGGCTTATCCAGGGACCATGTTTGCTTTGATATTACACATAGACCATGACCAGGATCCTCAGAGCCTCTGGCAAAACATCAAATATATTAATTTACTTAGATTTTATATACTTGGCACAAGAAATATGCATTACCCTTTTACATGGGGTGGTAGTGGGAGTGCACTGACTCAGTTGCTGGGACCCAACTCAGAGCTCCCAAGTGTTGACATCTTCCTAGCAAGAGTGATGGGGGAGGGAGCAGGATTCCAAGTTTTCTGCCTCTTTCAAGTTCATGTCAAAATCTCTAATAATAGCAGACCTCTGAGTGATAACTGATACTATTCCTCCTGGGACTGCTGGTTATAATGGTGTTAGTGATGATAGGGATGAGAAATCCATGCTGTGGTTGCTTCTGGGCTTGGAGGGCCACCCCTGCAGCCTCCAGTTATTCAGTGGCTGATTCAGGGTGAGTTAGAAATAACAACACAGAGCCACGGAGGCCCAGGCCTCCACACATTCATTTATGGCCAGGAAGGTCCTGAGCAGGCCCCATTGCAGAATTCTCAGCACACAGTGAGTGATCAGAAACTGGCCATCTTTGGGGCTGCCAGGTTCCCTGAAAAGGGCCTTCAAAGCAGGGTGCTAGCGCCCATGTGAAGTTGTGCTCTCCAGTCATCTCTGAAGAGCTCAATTCCTGCTGCACCTTCTCCCTCTTCCTCACTTCCCTTCCCTTCAGACTTCGTCTCCTCCTCCCCAAGCCTGTCCCCTCCCTGCCCATTCCAAGAAGAGTAAGACTTGCCTGTTCTTTCACCCCAGCTCAGCATCACTTCACCCTCCTTCTCTCGCCTTTGCCCCCATCTCCTCTCCAGGCCCAGATCAACCCTTCCCCTGAAGCTCTGGGTCCCTCCTCACTTCCACAAGAACTTAGCCTCCTCTCTTTCCTTCTCTCCACCAGCAAATGCACTCAAATTCCTACTGGTCTGAAACCTCTCCCCTCGGCCCTGCCTCCTAGGACTCTGCTTTTTCTTTCTCTTTCCTACCAAACTTCTGTCTCCTGTAGCTTTTAACCTGCTTTGCCCTCTCACCATGAATTCTCCTTCTTCCTCACTGTGGGTGGTCCACTTCCCAGAATTCTCTCCAAAATCTGTCTCCATGTACTGGCTGTATTTTTGGATATATTTCTGCTCAACTGGACAGTGTCTCATCTCTGTGTTCCCAGATTGCAGGAACAGTGTGGGCAGCAGTGACTATTTGATGAATGCCTGCACAACCTTCCAGAGAGCTTCCAGCTCTGAGAAATTGATCCTTGCTGAACAAATCTTGTCTCTCCACTCCTACAGCTAGCCAAATAAAGACTGACCAGGCCTACTCCCTCAGACTCAGGCTCCACTGAACAAGATCTGTCAAACCCCTCGACAGCTACCCAGTGAACAGGCTGGGTGGAGGGGGGTATGCCGGAATGCAGAGGGGGCTTCCAGCAGATCCTTTGCCAAGACCGACGTACGGAAGTGCCACCAGTAATCCAGACTGTTGCGTTTTTGTGATCCTCAGCAGTCCTGTTATATTCCAGGTTCTCCAAGCCAGCACCCATGTTCCTGGATGACTCCTTTCGCAAGTGGGCTAGAATCCGGGAGTTCGTGCCGCCTTTTGGGATCAAAGGTCAAGGTATGTTGGGAACCCTGACCTACATTAACATCTCATCCCCCCGACTGTCTCCCTGTCCTTCAGACAAGGCTACATCCTCAGAAGTCCCCATGCTGAGAATCCACCCTTCCTCTACTCTCAACAAATCTTCTCTACCTTTTTCCCTTCCTTTTTTTGTTTGTTTGTTTGTTTTTTTTTTTTGAGATAGATCCTTGCTCTGTCACCCAGGCTAAAGTGCAGTGGCATGATCTCGGCTCACACAATCTCCACCTTTAAGATCCTCCTACCTCAGCCTCCTGAGTAGCTGGGACCATAGGCACGCACCACCATGCCTGGCTTATTTTTTCTTCGTATTTTTAGTAGAGACAGGGTTTTACCATGTTGCCCAGGTTGATCTCAAACTCCTGGACTCAAGTGATCTGCCTAAAGTGCTGGGGTTACAGGCATGAGCCACCATGCCCGGCTTCTTCTTTAATGGAATATTTACACAGAGCCCACCACTTTGCCAGGGGTTAAGTATACAACAGTGAAGTAGACAGATTGTTTCCTCTCCTCAAAAAGCTCCAGTATAGCGGAGATTCAGATATTCAAGAGTGCAGAGTTCTGGTGAGGGCAGTACAAGGAGCTGTGAGAACACAGAAAAGGTGTGCTGTAGACAGGAACACTAGAGTACTAGGTATAGTAGGGACATTCCCAGAGAAAACAGAGACTGTCCCCCAGGAGTGCCCCACGTCCCTCTATCAGCCCATCCTGATATTTTTCACCTGAACCTCATCTCCCTTCCAACCCTTCCTTATCCTGTCCAAGGCTAACCTTTCCCCTACACTCTCACAAACTCCCCTTCCATTGCCTTGGGGACCTCACCCACACAGCTCCATGCTAACTTAAGACTTTCCCATCCCTAGTAGTTGAACAATTCTGCTTCTTTGTCAAGTTCTGTGCTATTTCATGGCATGGTGGAAAATAATCTGGACTTATGGGTCAGGCACAGAGGGATCAGATCCCCATACTGCCTCTTTACTAGCTGTGACCCTGGACAAGTTGCCTGTCTGTCCTTTAGTTCCGTCAGCAGTTAAATGGAGAGAATACTACTACTGTGTAAAGTTGTTGTCAGAATTACATAAAATAACTGCTAAAGGGGTGATATCATTTGGCCAGGAGACTCAAGAATACCTGAACCCTCTACTCAGCCAGACTATCTCTCCCTGAAAAGAAGCCAGTGGCAAGGAAAAACACTGTTGAACTGGCGCTTTGACCTCAGACCTCCAAGGACAAATCTAATGGTTGGGTTAAACCATATGAAGAACCCCTTTTCCCTGGGTGCAGGCAGCCAAGAAGTCCACTCTTCTCTCTTGAATCTGCACTCGAGACTCAGATGGGATAGCTACAAAGGCCAGGGAAGTTCGATATGGAGCCCATCAGCCAGCAAGCAGAGAGCATCTGCTAATGTGTGCTCTTTCTGCTGAGATTTTCCTCCTAGAAAACAAAGCCCAATCCATATCCTTGACCTTGGCTAATTTTAGTAGCAATATGCTCTTCCTTAAAGGTGAAATTGGAAGTGGGAAAAGGAGGGAATCTGTTGCCTTTCCTAAAGCCCACCGTAAGGTATATCTGAAGGCACTTAGTGTAGAACATTGCTTAAAGGTTTGTTTCCCTACCCCATTCTCACTCAACTTCTGGAAGGATTAACTGCACCTGCTGCCTCCTCTTTCTCACCATTTACTCCTGAAGAATATCTGCATCCCTGCCCATCCCACCCCACCATTCCAGTGAAACTGCTCAGTGTCCCGGAGAAATCCAAGGGATACTTCTCAGTCCTTAACATGACCTCTCGGCTACCTCTGCCTCCTTTAAAAAAGTATAAGTTTGTTATTTTTAATTTTGGAGACATCTTTTCTTTACATAAAATATTTCAAGCATACAAAAAATACTAGGAATAATAAGCATTGATGTACCTTCTACCCAGCTGAAGAAATAAAACATGAGACACAATTAAAGCTTCTGCGGGTCCCTTCCCACTCCATTCTCTTCCTTCCCCAGGAAGCCACTATTCTGCATTATCCTGGCTTCAGTGTTGGCATTCTTATGCCTTGTTTATATATGTTTGAGACAGGGTCTTGCTTTGTCACCCAGGCTGCAGTGCAGTGGCACACACACGACTCACTGCAACCTCAACTCCAGCGCTCAAGCAATCCTCTCACCTCAGCTCCCCAAGTAGCTGGGACTACAAGCACACACTAGCACTCCTGACTAATTTTTGTATTTTTTTGTAGAAACAGGGTTTAACCATGTTGCCCAAGCTGGTCTCAAACTCCTGAGCTCAAGCAATCCTCCCTCCTTGGCCTCCCAAAGTGCTGGGATTACAGGTGTGAGCCACCACACCCGGGCTTGTTTATGTATTTTCACTACATATTTATATATTTATTAAAAATATAGTACCGCTCTTACATGTCTTTAGACTTTACAAATGGTGTCATTATATGTACATGTATTTGTGTATATGTGTATGTATATTCTTCATATTTTTTTAATGTGTTTTTGAGATTTATCTATATTGGTACATACAGCTGTAGGTCATTGATTTTTTTTTTTTAATGGCTGTATAGGATTTCATACACCACATTTAATCTGGTTTTTTTTTTTTTTGGTGGACATTCAGCTTGCCTCCACCATTTTGCTATTACAAACAGTTCATCAGCAAACACTCTTGCATGTCTCCTGGAGCAAGTGTGTGACTTTTTCAACGCTCCACGCCTAGGAGCATAGTTGTAGGATCTTAGTGTCTGCACATCTTCGTGGTTATTTGATGTTATTAAGATGCTCTCCATTGTGGTGATACCAGTTTACTTTATTTTTAGGTCTTTGTGTACGTTATTTTATATCTTCCTAACAACTCCACAAAATAGGAATTACTTTCATTTTAGAGATGAGGAAACTAAAGCTCAAAGAAAGGAAATGATTTATATAAGGTCACAGAGCACAGCCAGTATTTGACTCCAAAGCCAATACCCTTGCTATTCACTATACATCATATTATAGTGCTCTCATGATACCAGAGTTTGGAAGAGCAGTCCTTATTGCCAAAGCCAGAGAGAGGCCAAGGAGATGAGGTCTAAATAGTGGGCACAGGTCTGAGAGCACAGAAGTCATGGGGGTCTTTGCTGAATGGAGTGCAGGTGGGCAGAGCCAGGCTCAGGGAGTAAAGAGGTGAGGAGGTAAAGACAGCCTGGCAAAGAGCAGGATTCAGGATTGGCAATGTGAGAGGGAGGAAGTGAGGGAAAGGTGATGTCAGATAATGAGGCACGTGGTGAGCTCTTCAGTTGCTGGGTGTCTCCTCATTTGTTTCCTGGTATCTGCTGGGTGGGAGCACAGAGATAAGTACAAGGTGGTCTCTAGCTCTGAGCAGGTACTCCCATTCCAGGGAGACTGCGTGCGCCAGCTTCCAGGGAAGGCCCTGGCCTGGGAATGCATGTCCTGGGGCCTGACTACAGAGCCTCAGAAAACCAGATGAGCCTCCCAGAAGCCTGGGAGAGAAGCTGCGTGCCAGTGTTAGGGACGGGCTCCCGGCAGTGATATGCCTGTCTGTTTCCTGCCATCACCTCCTTTCTCAGGAAGAAAGTCAGGGCAGTGGCCCAATACATCCTTGTGTCCAGAGCTCTCTCCACTTCCACTTTCACTCTAGCCCCTAGGGACTTGTGTCTTCCAGTAGGATTATCAGTAAACATTTTATAGAAAGGTAAGTGACCCTGTAACAGAAACCTCTCTCCTCTGTCTGCAGACAATCTGATCAAAGCCATCTTGTCAGTCACCAAAGAGTACCGCCTGACCCCTGCCTTGGACAGGTGAGCCACACACTGTGCAGCCTCCTACCCACCGCTGCCTGGTGGTGTGCAGAGGTGTTGAGGCCCAGCTGGCCTTCCCTGGACATGGGCAGTTTCTCCAGCACATCCACACATGCACATACAGTACACACACAGGGTGGGTGGAGCAGGTAAGTGGAACCACTCCACCTGACTTGCACCCCCACGGGCTGTCAGCACTTGGCAGGACATCCCAGTCCTCAGATACCAGAGGTTTGAGGGTAAGAACTGAACACACTGGGGCTGGGACTAGCCCAGCAATGGGACTGAGGGCCTGGGTGGCGGGGGCAGGTGAAGGGGGCAAGGCTTAAGTCCAGAAGGCAGTGACAGCTCCCAAACCAACAGACCCTAGAGCAGGAAGCCCCAGGGTCAGGGATGGGAGAAGCAAGATGGGTAAGCTCTCTAGTGGCTGCTGGGAGCCTTGAGTCCTAGAGCCTCCTGTCCCGTTCCCCTTTTCTTGCTTTCCTGGTATAGCCCCAAGCTCGGCCCACTTTTCCCTCTCCCCTGAAGCCTGCCTAAACACCACTACCCCTTGGGGAACCTTTACCCTAGAATGTCATCTTACCAAAGCTCCCTCCTCACCACCCACGCCTGGCACCCAAGCCTTTCCATGGCCCTGTTTTCCTGGGGAAGTGTCAGGGCCTAGATAGAGATGCTGGAGAGTCTCAGGGCCCAGCTACCCATTGTATGGTTCAGGCCTTCTCTCAGAAATGCTGCCAGAAGCCCATTGGTCTTCTTCCTCTATCCCAGCCTGGTCCTGGACAAGGGCGTGGGGTCAAGGGCCAAAGGAGCAGGGAAAGAGACCTGGTGGGCAGCTCTCTGTACAGAGGTCTCCGCCTCTCTCCCCTCAGCCTCCGCTGCCGCCGCTGCATCATCGTGGGCAATGGAGGCGTTCTTGCCAACAAGTCTCTGGGGTCACGAATTGACGACTATGACATTGTGGTGAGGTGAGCTCCCCAAAATGGCACCTCGGGTGAGTGTCGTGGCCCCAACCCTTAGTCCTGAGCCCATTGAGAACTGTCTGTCTGGCTAGTTGGGCTGGAGGTCAACGGAAGCCTCAAGAACTCTGGGTTGGAGGGCTTTGGAACAGACAACTAGCGGGGGCACCTGGGGAGAATAGGTCCAGGTGACCTGGACTCCCTATTCTCCATGCCTGGGATAGTCTGGGGTCATGGTGCCTTCCCAAACACAGGCCCAGGCTCTGAGTGGGCCTGCTCTCTGTAGACTGAATTCAGCACCAGTGAAAGGCTTTGAGAAGGACGTGGGCAGCAAAACGACACTGCGCATCACCTACCCCGAGGGCGCCATGCAGCGGCCTGAGCAGTACGAGCGCGATTCTCTCTTTGTCCTCGCCGGCTTCAAGTGGCAGGACTTTAAGTGGTTGAAATACATCGTCTACAAGGAGAGAGTGGTAAGCTCTCCTGGCACCAGCTTCTTCCCCTCTTGCCCTGGGCTTCCGCAACTCCTAAGCAATCCCGCCCCTTGAATGCAGCAAAGAACGAGTAAGAACCTTCAAAGGAAACATTAATGACCCAAAGCCGAAATCACCCAATGGCAACCAGGGGGCAAAGAGGTCAGGAGATTGCCCGGGTTACTGGCCAAACTCCAGGAGCCAATATGCCTGAAACCTGCTACCTGCTTCCAGGTGCCCAGGTGCAGATCCTTTCTCAGCCTTCTGTAGCCAGACCCCAGCAGCCCCAGGGGCCCTTCCCTGGCCTTAGATCTCCTGGCCAAGGGAAGCTCTGTCTCTCAGGCCAGCCTTCGTATCACTCCCAATCTTTCTACTTTCCTGCCCTGACCTTGTAGCTGCCTCCCTTGCACCCTCTTCTCCTCTGTAAGGTCTCTCTGGCTCTGGTCTTAGGGGTCCCTGCCCTCTTTCTCAGCCTGGGTTCTGCAGGGACAGCAGACCCCTCAACTTGAGAGTGCCAGCTCCCAAACTTAGAAGTCCTGGCCTGTTTCCACTTTGTACTTTTACCACTGACTTATAGTTGAATTCCCAACCTGCCACTGAGTCTGATCATTGGGAATGATCAGGTTCTACTGACTGTTCTAAGCAGGTAAGGGTCTGGGCCCATTTCTTTAGGGAGCTTATGTGGCAGAGTAAGGTCAACTGCTCTTTAGGAGACCACCACTGAGTTCCCTCCCGAGACCTCTACTTCCCAGCTCTGGGCCTACAGGGACATCCGTGAACTTGTCCAGGCCCACTCCCCCACAACCAGCTGTCACCAGCAGCCCCAGGGGTGGGGTACTGCAGAGCTCAGGCCATTCATCTTCTAATACCCAAGCCTCTTGCTAGAGGAGGATGGTGACAGACGGCCCTCTGCCTACAGTGAGAAGCTGATTGTTCTTTCCAGAGGTTTAGAGAAGAGTTGGGAGTGGGAACAGCTTCCTTTGCCTTTAGGGTCTCAGTGCAATTTGGTTTAACTCCACAGCTCTTTCCCAAGCAAGGCCAAGTACAGGCAGTGTCAAGTAGGTAGCAAGCAAGAGAGAAGACAGAAGTCAGGTCCAGAAATTCAGGTAGGTGGGACAGTGGGGAAGGGGAATCCATTTCAGAACCAGACTGGATGAGACACCTGGGCTCCACAGTGTCCAGTCCACCTCCCCAAAGGGGAGGAAAGGGCCAGGCAGCAGAGTGATGATTTGGCCTTAGCCAGGCCCAACTTCAAGCAGGCCCACTGCCCACACAGACCAGGTAAATAACAGCGGTTCCAGGAGTACCCTACTGTTTTCAGAACCCTGGGGACTGAGACACTAGTGTTTTCAGAGTCCCTCTCTTTGCCTTGAGGGCAGTAGAATTAGGGTCACAGATAGACACTTTTAAGGGAGAATGGTAGGAAATAGAGTCTGTCCTGGTGAACCCCAGTGAGCCTAAGGGCTGCTGTCTCACTCTGGCCTTCTGCCATCCTCCTTTCACATCGTTTCCTCTGCCCATGGGCACCTGTCACAGCCTCCCTCAGGGCAAGAGCTCCTAAGGGGCAGAGCTTGATCCCATTGGTTTTTACCCTTCAGTGCTCAGTCACCATAAATGATCTGGAATTGGCTCAAACACCAGTTCCTACTTCCCACTGGACAGACTGGGAAAAGCCAGGCAGTTCAAATAAGGCCAGGCCAAAGGGGTGGGTCAGAGCCTGTCATGGGTGTTATCACATGTTCCTTCCAAGAACACCAATGTCAGTTAATTCAAGGTTCTTAAAATTCATCCAAGGGAGTAAGGAAAGAAAGAAGAAAAGGAAGGAAGCCAGCTAGAGTCGGAGAACTCACTATACTCAGGCTACTCAGGAAGCAGACAGCAGGGCCTTGCTTTTCCCAGGAAGCTGAGGAGCTCTCCGCCTGGCCTGGCCTTGGCAGCAGGCAGATTCAAGGTACCAGCATTGCAGGACGAGGCACAGGCACAGGCTCACTCTTGATGACATCTGTGTCCGTCCTGGCCACACCCAGGGCTCTAGGACTAGCCTTGTATTGGTGAGAACTCCTACCCAGGGTGGGTGGGGGTGAGTGGGAAGGGAAGACAGGAGACAGGGAGGAGTCCTCTGAATTACTGTGGGCCTTCCTTGGCTCCAAAGTGAAAGATAATTTGGACCTTTAGAGTGAGCTGCCAGAGGAATGCCGGGGTTGCCCGTGGCCTCACCTCTCCCATCTCTCAGAGTGGACCTGCCCAGGCCCTTTGGCTGCCCAAGGGACCTCTTCTTTAGTGTCCTTCTCCACCCCAAGCCCAAGGCTAATGCCTTCCCAGGACCTCACCCATGCTCTGCCTCACTTCCCTGGCATCTGAGACCCAGGAAAATGTGAGAGGCTGCTTCTCCAGGTCCCCTCCTGTCTGGTGCCCTAGTCACCAGCTTGTCCTGCTCCTGTAGGGATGTTTCCAGTCATACAGCCTCTGGGCTTCTGGAGAGCTCTCTGCACCTGTCTGGAGCCTCACCTGCAGAATTCTGGCAGGAGGCAGCTCTGTGTTCTGGAGCCAAGGCCTGGCAGGGCAGGGCTGGAACAGGAATTAGGCCTCAGTCACAGCTGCTTCCTGCCACTTACTACATGAGGAGTCTTTTAAAGCCTGTAACTTTCTAGTACCCAGGAGTCCTCATAGGATATGGGAAGGGGCAGGGGGGAAGATGTAGGAAAGGACAGCCAAACAACCCAGAGAACAGCCTGTGCCAGAGCTGGCCTTACCTTCTTCCATCTGAGAACTCTCCTCTTCATCATTTGTGGCCATTTGGGTCCCTGACTCACTGGACAGTGGCACTGATATCTCCAAACAGGTTACAAAAAGGCTTTGTCTCCCAGATCCCAGGAGCCGTGGCCAAGCCAGCAAGCAGGTGTAGGAGTTCCCAGCAGGCTGTGTGCTCAGGGCAGCTCAGAAGAGCACCAGCGGATGGGCAAGCACAGCACGGAAGCTGAGGCTTGGAGGAAGGGTGGAGCCAGGGACATGGGGGTGCAGCCTCCAGCTCCGGTGCAGGTCTTCTCAGAGGTGCCTCTGCAGTCTTCCCCAACACACTCACTCACTTATCAGCTGTCCATGAGGTATTCTCTTTGCAGGCTCTACACTGGCCCCTGGGAATACAAAGAGGAATTAAGCACTATTCCCAACCAAAGTAGCTCACAGTCTAGTGGGAGAGAGAGTCCCAGAGCTAGAGTTACAGTACAGTGTGGAGGCTGCTATGATGAGGAAGGCCTAATGCAGCTCTGGGGCAGGTGGGGGACAAAAGAAGGCCTCTTGGAGGAGTCACTCCTGAGCTGGACCCTGAAGGAAGAGTTAGGAGTGAGTGGGTGAAAGGAATTACAAGCAAAGGGAACAGCATGTGTAGACCCAAGAGACCACGCTCCCTTCAGGAAACTGGAGGTGTGCTGTGTGGATCAAGCATGAGGGTGGTGTGTCAGAGTGTGCTGCCTAATGCCTCCAATGCTGTGGCCTGTGCATCCTCTTCCTGGTATTGGATGAAGGCTGGAGACACCCCATCCACTGTCCAGAGGACGGAGCCCTGGGGTCTGGAGAGGACAGGACATGTGAGAGGCAGAGCCTCCCATCCCCATCCCTCAGGCCCTGCCCTCTTGCCTCTGCCAGCCTCCCCCACTGCGCCTCAGCAGGCCACAGAAGCCCCTGGGAACTGCCTTCCAACCCCGTTTGCTGCCTCCTCTTCCTCCTCCTCCTCCCCACTCCTAAAACCAGAAAGCCAGCCTCGCTGCTGAGCACCTCTGACTGGTCATCAATTCAGTGGGGCCCTGGGGCCTAGGCTGGGTGGGTGTGGGGTGGTCCCAGCCCTGCAGGGGGAAGAGAGAGGACAGGGCTGGGAGTGGGTCCCTGGACAGCCTTGACACAGCACTTACCCTCCAGCTGTACTTCAGTCCCTGGGAGGAGAGGGAGGAGGGCAGGATCTAAGAGGCCAGCCAAGGCCCCACATTCAAGCAAAGGGAGACTGAGTCCCTGATCTTAGAGTGACAACATGGCTTAAGAGGGGAAAATGGCTTAGGCCTTGGAGTTACACAGATTTGGGTTTAAGTTTAGACTCTCACTTATTAGTGGGCTACCTTAGGCACATCACCTAACCTCCTTAGATTTAGTGTCATTGATACAGTGGATGAGTAGTGCTGTGCATCTTTCAGGGTTTTTTTAAAATTAGATAAGATGAAATCTAGAAGCATCTAGCATAGAGAACTTAACTATGTTCTCAGTCTATAGCAAATAGTAATGTTATGTTATTTTATTTTTTTATCACTGGTGGTGATTTTGCTGTTAGAAAAACCCAATTATCCCAGGGAGCAAAGCATTTTTCTGTCAGGCTGTAGGACTTGACCTAGGAGGTGACCCAGAAGCAGGGCTCAGAGGCCAGGCCTAGAGGAGGGAGAGACAAGGAGCCTCCTGGTGAAAGGCAGCAGGGCTGGACCGTAGGGCAGATGGGGCCACCACATCCCCAAATGTAAGGCCTCTTATTGGACCAGGCCCAAATGGGGATTGAATGATGTCCACCTGCACCTTCACCTGTTCCCTGTTCAAGCCTGAGAGGGATGCAGAGCCTTAGCGTGGACTCTGTCCTGGGAGACTCAGTGCAGGCCTCCTGCTCCCGAGCCAGCATTCACCACCCAGCCCAGGCTTCTCACCAAGCCTCTGAGACCAGCTCTTCGAGGATTCTCCACCATTTCCTTTGCGGCCATCACCAGTGGCCGCAGCTCTTTCTCCCATGCCTCTTATCCCTGGGAGGGCCAGGAGATTTCACGTCACTGCCTGTTGCCATATCTTAACCATTGCTCCTCTACCCCCAGATAAAAATGCTCAAGAATGGGGACTCCCTCAGCTCCTCTTCCTCACTGTCTTCTGTAAGCTCTTGGTCACTGCCTCATAATTATTACCATGTCATTCTCCTCCTCCTGCTCCCCTTCCCGTCACTCTTCCTCCCGCTCCCTGTCACTCTTCCTCACCCTCCCCCTCCTGCTCCTCTTCCCACCACTCTCCCCTCCTCCTGCTCCTCTTCCTGCCACTCTTCCTCCCCCTCCTCCTGTTCCTCTTCCTGCCACTCTTTCCCCTCCTCCTGCTCCTATTCCTGCCACTCTTCCTCCTCCTCCTCCTGCTCCTCTTCCCGCCACTCTTCCTCCCCCTCCTCCTGCTCCTCTTCCCGCCACTCTTCCTCCCCTTCCTCCTTTCTGCCACTCTTCCTCCCCTTCCTGCTCCTCTTCCCACCACTCTTCCCCCTCCTCCTGCTCCTCTTCCCACCACTCTTCCTCCTCCTCCCCCTGCTCCTCTTCCCACCACTCTTCCTCCTCCTCCCCCTGCTCCTCTTCCCACCACTCTTCCTACCCTTCATCCTCTTCCTGCCACTCTTCCTCCTCCTCCTCCTGCTCCTCTTCCCACCACTCTTCTCCTCCCCCTCCTCCTGTTTCTCTTCCTGCCACTCTTCCTCCCCCTCCTCCTGTTCCTCTTCCCGCCACTCTTCCTCCCCCTCCTCCTCCTGTTCCTCTTCCTGCCACTCTTCCTCTCCTGCCTCCTTCTGCTCCTCTTCCTGCCACTTTTCCTCCCCCTCCTCCTGTTCCCCTTCCCACCACTCTTCCCCCTCCTCCTTCTGTTCCTCTTCCCACCACTCTTCCTCCCCCTCCCCCTTCTGCTCCTCTTCCTGCCACTTTTCCTCCCCCTCGTCCTGCTCCTCTTCCCACCACTGTTCCTCCCCCTCCTCCTGTTCCCCTTCCCACCACTCTTCCTCTCCGTCCTCCTGTTCCCCTTCCTGTCACTTTTCCTCCCCCTCCTTCTGCTCCTATTCCTGCCACTGTTTCTCCCCCTCCTCCTGCTTCTCTTCCCGCCACTGTTTCTCCCCCTCCTCCTGCTTCTCTTCCCGCCACTGTTTCTCCCCCTCCTCCTGCTTCTCTTCCCGCCACTGTTTCTCCCCCTCCTTCTGCCCCCCTTCCCACCACTCTTCCTCCCCCTCCTCCTGTTCCCCTTCCTGCCACTCTTCCTCCCCCTCCTCCTGCTCCTCTTCCTGCCACTCTTCCCCTGCCACTTTTCCTTCCCCTCTTCCTGTTTCTCTTCCTACCACTCTTCTTTCTCCTCCTCCTGTTCCTCTTCCTCCCCATCCTCCTGTTTCCTTTCCCGCCACTTTTCTTCACCTCCTCCTGTTCCTCTTCCCACCACTCTTCCCCCTCCTCCTCCTGCTCCTCTCCCACCACTCTCCCCTCTCCTCCTCCTGCTCCCCTTCCCGCCACTCTTCCCCCTCCTCCTTCTGTTCCTCTTCCCGCCACTCTTCCTCCCCCTCCCCCTCCTGCTCCTCTTCCTGCCACTTTTCCTCCCCCTCCTCCTGCTCCTCTTCCTGCCACTTTTCCTCCCCCTCTTCCTGCTCCTCTTCCCACCACTGTTCCTCCCCCTCCTCCTGTTCCCCTTCCTGCCACTCTTCCTCCCCCTCCTCCTGTTCCCCTTCCTGCCACTCTTCCTCCCCCTCCTCCTGCTCCTCTTCCTGCCACTCTTCCCCTGACTCCTCCTCCTCCTCTTCCTGCCACTTTTCCTCCCCCTCCTCCTGTTTCTCTTCCTACCACTCTTCTTTCTCCTCCTCCTGTTCCTCTTCCCGCCACTCTTCCTCCCCATCCTCCTGTTTCCTTTCCCGCCACTTTTCTTCCACCTCCTCCTGTTCCTCTTCCCACCACTCTTCCCCCTCCTCCTCCTGCTCCTCTCCCACCACTCTCCCCTCTCCTCCTCCTGCTCCCCTTCCCGCCACTCTTCCCCCTCCTCCTCCTGCTCCTCTTCCTGCCACTCTTCCTCCTGTTCCTCTTCCCGCCACTCTTCCTCCTCCTCCTGTTCCTCTTCCTGCCACTCTTCCTCCTCCTCCTGCTCTTCTTCCTGCCACTCTTCCCCCTCCTCCTCCTGCTCCTCTTCCCGCCACTCTTCCTCCTCCTGTTCCTCTCCTTGCTGCTTTTCCTTCCTTTTGTTCTCCTCTTCCTTCTGTCATCACTATCATTATCATTATAGCTGTCACTTATTAAGCTCTTCAGTTTATCAGCTTTCCTTGAATTCATTCAGTTCTCATAATGACCCTATAGCTAGGTACTGTTATTATCCCCATCCTAGAGATTAAGAAACTAGGGTACAGAGAGGATATGTTACTTGTGTAAGGTCACACAACTAGTTAAGTGGTAGAGCCTAATTAAAACTCAGATCTCACTGCCTCAGGGATCTTCCTAAGAAATAAATCTGACCACCTACCTTCCTGGTTAGAATCCTCCATCAGTCAGCTCCTATCTGCCATGGTCTGTGAGGATGGTAAGAACTACTGTTAACTCTTCTCCATGCCAGGCCCTGGACGATGTGGTTTATATGCATCATCTCAGCCAGCCATCTCCACAACCCTACAAGGCAGATACTATGAGTAGCAGTAAGCAGTAGAGCCGCATTTTGGACCGAAGGTGTTTCACTTTAACCATTGCACTATAACACCTCCCATTTATTCATTGATTCAGCAAATCCAAAGCAATCACCAACATCATGTGCAGTCCCGTTCTTCAAGCACAGTCTCACTCACTCGACAGCTCCCTTTCCCAGTGCTTTCCTTCAGATCCAGCCAGTCCAGTACCAGGGACTGAATGTCACCCATGGGAGAGAAGCTACAGCCAAGGTGGTAACACATGGTGTCACCTTAGTAGCATCTCAGTGCTGCTTCCCATTCCTGTGTCCTGTCCGGGGTCCTTGATCATCTCAGATCTCTACCCTCATCATCTTCAATTCCACTGTACCTCCATCCTATTCCAAAGAAATTGCATGTCCAGCTGCACAGGGAAAATAAAGGTTGTCACCAGCCAAGAACTCTCGGCTTCCTGCTTCCCATCTACAAACTTACCTGCATCCCCATTCATCCCTGCTTCCTCCTCTACCATCCCTCCTGTGCCTCTGCCATTCATGGTCAGTTCTCTCCTGTCCTGGATGCCATCTCCCTTCACCTTCTCAGGACTGTCTTCATTCCTTTGTCTCCTTTCTCACCTCTTTGCCGGGTCCTCCTCTCACATCTATGAATGTATTTGGATCTCTTTCACCTTAAAAATAAAAGCCCTCTCTTTAGCTTATGTTCACCTCTCTTCTTTTCTCTTTCAAGTTTCTGGGAAAAGTCATCGCCTGTCCCAGTGTCTCCCTGTTTGCCGTCTGTTTCTCAGCCTCTCCATCCTGGCTTCCAAAGCCACTCTCACCTGGCAGTGACCTTCTGATTCTAAATCCAGCAGACTCAACCTCTGCCCTCCCTTTAAAGGAGCAGCTTGTCAGCAAGCATCCAGTGAGCATTTACTGTGTAGTGGGCACAGCGCTGGGTTCTAGGGATAGCCCCTGATTCTTAAAACTCATGGCCAAAAACCCGGGAAGCATCCTGATTCCACCATTGCCTTTGCCTTCCATATTCGACTCTTCAGTCTCCAGATCTTTCATTCTCCCTTCTAAATCTGTCTGGCTTGGATTATTTCAGCAGCTTTCTGTCTGTTTCCCTGCCTCCAGTCAGGTCTCTCTCCAATCCCTTCTCTATGTCTGTATTCTAAAGAATCCTCCTAAAGTGACCAGGTGCTTCATTCCCCTGCTTTGGATCCCCATTTCCTAGATGCAGTGGTTCTCAAAGTTCCTTCTCATACCAGCAGCACCAGTATCACCTGGCAACTTATCAGATGTACATTTTTCAGTGGGGGCCTCACCTTAGAGCTTCTGAATGAGAAACTCTGGTTGGGCCCAGCGTTCTCTTTTAATAAGCCCTCTGGATGATTTGCGCAGGCTCAAGCTCAAGAACCAATGGCCTGCAGGATAAAACTTCAATTCCACAGCACAGAACTCCATGATCTGGCCCCTTCCAAGCCTTCCCTTCTCCTTGCCACTCTTTTTTTTTTTTTTTTGAAATGGAGTTTGCTCTGTCACCCAGACAGGAGTGCAGTGGCACAATCTCAGCTCGCTGAAACCTCCGCCACCCCCTCCAGGTTCAAGTGATTCTCCTGCCTCCGCCTCCCAAGTAGCTGAGATTACAGGTGCCTGCCACCACGCCTGGCTAATTTTTATATTTTTAGTAGAGATGGGGTTTCGCCATGTTGGCCAGGCTGCTCTCAAACTCCTGACCTCAGGTGATCTGCCTGCCTCAGCCTCCCAAAGTGCTGGAATTACAGGTGTGAGCCACTGCGCCCGGCCCTTGCCACTCTTTAGCACCCGCCATGTACTCTCCACTCTGGCTATATGGACCTATGGATCCTATTTCACGCCTCTATGTTCTACCTGTTTCCCTACCCATGGATGTATGAGATGCTCCTCTTCTTATAAGCCTCAGGAGGGCAGCAGCTGTCTTGTTGATCTCTGTAAGCCCATCACCTCCAGCAGTGAGGCATAGTTGGTATACATAAGTAAATAAGCAGATGTGGAAACTGAGGCCCAGAGTGCAACAGTACCTTCGAGGAGAGTCAGGATTCTAACTCCAAACTCCTGCCTCTCAGTCAGGCTCTTTCCTCTCAACTAGGCTACCTCCTTTCATTGCCCTGGAAGGTCTTTCTTTTAGGTTCAGACCCTTGCATCCTTTTGCTCTCTTCTTGCCTCTCCAGGGCATCTCTTTCCTCTTAGCCATGTTTGATCTTCTTTATGCAGTTCCAAGATCATTCTCCTTGATAAAGAAATGAGAACTGAACAGTCCCTGGCGCTCTGCCTTTCAGTTGCCTGTTGGCATCACACGGACCGCCCCAAGCCGGCTCTTCTTTTTGTTCATCGCTTTTTTCCAAATATAGCTTTCAAAAAGTTTTCTGACCCTCTCCTCATAGCACACATCAAAATAAATCCCAAACGGACTAAAAAGCGAAATATAAAAATACAACCAAAGGGAATTTTAAAGTAAGGATAGAAATCAAATCCCTGGAGGGAAAGAACTTTCAAGACACAAGTGCTAGAAGAAATCAAATTTGATAACATATTAGAATTTCAAGTTAACACAAAAAGACTGCCGCACAACCTTGAAAAACATATTTAGAACATATGGCAGGCAAAGGGTTATTATGAGAGTTAACAAGAAAGCCATTAGAATCCCAGCAGATAATGGACAGGAAACTGAACAGATCACACAGAAAGAAAGATAACTAGTAAACAACAGAAATAGGTTTAACCTTCCTAGCAGTCAGAGAAATTAATGTGAAGGAAACAGGGTGCCATTTATCACCTACCATGTTTTCAAATAATGTGTTAAATTATCCTACATGATGCTGCCAAGAGTGCAGTGACAGTTGTATCAAAGGCTACTGGTCGGAGTAAACAAATAGGGACCAGTTTTTTGGAAAGGAAATGGAACTTGGTACCGAGAGCCATCACCCAGAGGAAGGAAAAGTCTGTGCACAAAGATTTTTATTGTAGTGTTACTTTATATTTTGTAGTGTTGTTTGTAATAGCCAAACCCAAATATTACCTAAGGGGTTTTTTTATGTGAGTTATGGTCTCACTACATGATGGAGTATAAAGCAGTAGCACAGCAGTCCTGCCGAGGGTGTGGGCACCTGGACCAGCCAGCACAGCTGCTATCCCCAAACCTTCAGTGCAGGCAGGATTGGCAGGTAAAGCACTGGCCTCAGTGTTAGGAACTGAAGACAAATCTCATCTTCTGCCACAATTCACATCTTTGAGTTTCATTTTCCTCATCTATAAAATGGAAATCATGAAAGCTTCCCTGCATAGCTACCTGTTATTCTGCTATAAGAACTAGTAGGACAATGCACAGGACAACAGTGACACACTGTGCTCATCTGCAATGACAGTCACCTTCTGAGAAGTGAGAATGGGCACAAGAAATATTGCCTGCCCACTGGGCAGAAACCCAGACCACAGGATAAGGAGTGAGAGTGTTGGCGAGAGCAACAGGGCCTGGGCCTAAGGGTACAGATGCCACCTGATCAGGAGGGTCCTGCCACCTTGTTTCTTGGCCTTCAGGATACAGATGAACCTGCATGTTTTGGGCATAGAGAACAACATTGGCAAAGAGCATGGTGTATTTAGTGAATTAAAAATAATTCAGTATAACCGGGGTGTGGCATGGGCATGGTACTGCCCTTTGACCTGAGAGAGGCATCTGCCCTGGGCCCCACTGTGGTCCTCCTCTGGCCACAACCTTTGCCGTGGAGTGAAGAGGAATATGCAGAGCCAAGAGGGATGTGCCCACCCCAGGTCCATCTGCCTTGAGAGACCACTATCAGGTAATGGAGACCTCAGAATTTCTTGCCCTAAAAGTGAGAAGTCCAAGTCCACTTCCATCTTCTTGAGGGCAGAATGTAACTCTCTGTGCGTACCCTAAGCCCAAGGAGGGTATTTGCAGAGGCTGTGAGCAGAGCTTGGATGTGTGGAGTGAGGAGGAGTCTACACACATGCACAGACTTCTTTTTTTTTTTTTTGAGACAGGGTCTTACTCCGTTGCCCAGGCTGGAGTGTAGTGGCACGATCTCAGCTCATTGCAGCCTTGACCTCCCTGGGCTCTGGTAATCCTCCCACCTCAGTCTCCCTAGTAACTGGGGCTATAGGTGCACACCCACCACACCTGACTAATATTTCTTTTTCTTTTTTTTTTTTTTTTGTAGAGATGGGGTTTTGCACAAGGCTTCTTATGGTATGGGATGGGACCGGGGTGGGAGGTGGGCCAGACCACCATGGTCCAGCACAACAGATCTCCAGGGTCAGGATTCCAAATTCAAACCTGTCCTTCTAGGACATTTTTCAAGGAAGGATATATATAGATATAGATACATCTATAGATATAGATATCTATAGACATATCTGTAGCTATAGATATCTATAGACATATCTGTAGCTATAGATATCTATAGATATATCTGTAGCTATAGATATCTACAGATATATCTATAGATATCTATATCTATAGATATATCTGTAGCTATAGATATCTATAGATATAGATATAGATATGGATTTTTTTTTTTTTTTAGACAAGGTCTGGCTATGTCACCCAGGCTGGAGTGCAGTGGTGCGATCTTGGCTCACTGCAGCCTCTGCCTTCTGGGGCCCTGCCATCCTCCCACCTCAGGCTCCCAAGTAGCTGGGGGCTACAGGTGCACCCCACCATGACTGGCTAATTTTTGTATTTTTTCGTAGAGACGGGTTTTCACCATATTGCCCAGGCTGGTCTCAAACTCGTCAGTTCAAGTGATCTGCCCACCTCAGCCTCGCACGGTGCTAGAATATATTTAACAGCTTGATAGCTTGCCTCATAACTTTCAGATATTTAGAATTAAATTTTAGACACGTGATATGTGTGTAATACGTCCATTTGTAATTTTGTCCTTGGCCCAACAATGTTAGGGGTTGAACCTACATGGATATGGTGGCAGTGGCTGGAGATGAGGCTAGGTGAGCAGGGGACAGATGGTGAAGGGTCTTAAAAGCCAAAGTCTCATCAAGGAGCCTGGACCTTATCCTGAGGACCAATAATAGCAGAAGCTAACAAGAGCTGACTTTGTGCCAAACATATTATATGCATGACTTCAAACTGTCATAACACAAAAACACTATAAAGGAGAGCTAGTATTACTGCCCTTATTTTATAGGAGAGGATGATGAGACTTAGAAGAGTAAAGAACTTGCTTAGGGGTACAGAGTTAGAGTAGTTGGGGGTGTGAGGGTTCACAATCAGACCTGCACTCTTAATTGTCAACACAAGCTGTTGCAGTGGGCAGTGGAAAGCCACTGAAGATTTTAAGCCTGAGAATGTCGAGATCAGATTTGTGCAGGGATGTGAATAAACTGAAGGGAAAGCAAGAGGGAGTCAGAGAGAGCTGATGGCTGTTAGAGTCACCCCAGGAGAGTTGGTGGTCCGTCCTAAGGCAGTAGCAGCAGGGAGCATAGGCGTGGACACATCTGCCTACTCTTGCTGTGAAAGCCTACCATGGTTAATCTCTATTCCCAGACCTGTGAGCACACCAGGAAACATTCTCTCAGGAGCCTGGTGGGGAAAGTGCTTTCTTCCCAGATGTTTTCCCCATTGCTCCTGGATGTTCTGACAAGAGCAGAACAGGTTGCATCAGCAGGAGTCTGGCAGCTTCACACAGGGGAGCTGGGTCCAGACTTGACTGAGGCAGGGACATTCCTGAAGGAGGAGGGATTTGACAAGGAATGCAGCCCACAGCTGGCCTTGAGGAGAAGCTGGACCATGCCGGGCCAGCAGCACTGGCTGGCTTTGTAGGCCTCTGTTGTGTCCTGTGGATTGGGGAAATGAGATGTGAGAAGCCTTGGGCCAGATGTGGACACTTGCAGGCAGAGGCCTTGTGGAATAGGACTGTGTGCTGGCAGCAGGGCTGGCAGTGTCTCCAGCAGCAGGCAGACCTCCCCACCGGGAGCCAGGGGGAAAGGCTGGCTCTCCCATTCAAATGCATGTACGTGTGCAGGTATGGATATGTGAATGTGTTCCGGCCTCTCCGGTGGCTGATGTTGCTGACCACACCCTCCGCTTCACTCTCCTGGCCTCTGTGACACTCACTATAATCATAATAAGTAAGATTTATTGAGCTTGCTGTATACCAGACCCCGTGCCAGATGCTGTAAAACGCACAGCATCTCTAATCCTTACAGCTATCTGGGAAGTAGGTCTTCTCAGCCCTATTGTATGCACAAGGAACTTGAGGCTTAAAGAGAGGACACAATGTGCCCCTGGTCACAGAGATGTGGAGCTGGGATTAAGCCTCTGTTTTTCACACTCCCAAAGCTGCAGTGGTACACAGATGTTCTGTGTATGTGCCTGTGGACGTTTTTCTGAGAAGAGGAGTTACAGCTTTTTTTTTTAGGAAACAGGCTGAGGTTTTGTTGGTACTTGATATTTTTGTGGCTGGGGAAACACGGAAATGCCCAAACCATATCTTGGTCTTACTGTTTCTCCTTTCCCTGAAATCTCTGAGGAAACTACACCAGGACAGTGGCAGACAAGAAAGAATAAAAGGAGCGCTGGACTGTCGCTGTGTCGGGCTCCCAGTTCTCCAGTGCAGGGCTCCCTGGGATCGTGACCTAAAACAGGGCTCCTTCCCCAGGGTCCCAACATGACTCTCAGCCGCTGCTGGCCGAGTAAGAACCGAGGGCAGTAAGACCTCAGCGCAGTGAGCCACGAAGGGCAGAGGCAGAGGTGGCCTGCTCCAAGGAGGAGGCCCTGCCCAGCTCACCCACCGCCATGCAGAGGCAGCAACTCAGGAAGGGCTGCCTTTGTGGGAGAGAATTTTCACCTCACACCAGTAATCGTGACACACTCAGTATCCTCAAATCTAAGCAGTCCCATCAGGCATTTCTCCTCCCAGGAAAGAGTAAAGATGAGAAGAGACGTGGCAGCTTTCCCCTCCCCATCAGATCGCCAAGGGGGTTGAGTTAATAAGCGAATTTCCTGCCATTTGAGATGGTGATTAAATCCGGGACTTTTAGCATATGGAACAGACCAAGAGGGATTGTTTCAGAGAGGGCATCTCATGTGCAGAAAAACAGGTTGTGAAGTCAAACGCAGCTCAGATTCTCACCAGCTGTGCGTGTACCCTGACGAGTCCCCTCACCATTCTGGGCCTTAGTCCCCTCTGAAAAATGGGACATGGGCACCAGAGAGACTCCTGAGAGCTCCCTTAGTGCTCTTAGAGGAGACAGGGGAGGTCTCCTTTATCTTTGACCCCTAACCCCTCAGACTTCCAGAGGCGGGAACTGCAGCGATGATACAAATGGTGTGGTGGAAAGAATGCCGTTTTGGAGTCAGGACACCTGGGTTTGAATCCACTTGCAGCCACTTGCAGGCTGCTTGACCTTGAACGTATCGTGTCGTATCGTTTCACCTTGGGATCTGTACCTGTGAAGTGGGTGAAAGTTAAAGAGATAATAAAGTAACAGTCGTGAAACCAGCCTGGAGCCTCCTCACACAGGCCCCCAGCTGTGCCCAATCCTGGTTCTCCCTGTTCCTCCCGAGCAGCCCCTGTGCTTTCTCCCTCCTCTTTGGTGTGTGCAGGGCAGGCACAGGCAGGAACCCCAGGTGGGAAGCTGTTGGGGCCTGCTGGGCCTGGAGAAGGGACAGGGGCTGTGCTGTGCTGTGCTTGGCACAGGCTGGCACCTGCTGTTCCTGTCAGTCCACATCTGGCCCACCCAAGAGGGGCTTCCCCTCAGCTATGCCTAAGGTCTTGGCCATTTCTCCACCCGTCCGTTTCCTACTGTCTCCCACCATCCCTCCCTTTACCTCCCTTACGCACACCCCACTTCTGGAGACAGGAGCAGGAAAAACTGGGGTCGGCTTGCTCAGCCTGACTGGGGCTGAAACAGAAGTTTGCCACAAGGTTCCAATGTTTGAACTGACCTTTGGAGGACAGACAGTTTGCCAGAGAAAGAGATGTTGCCACAGAGTTGGGAGCCATGAGGAGGGAGTGGCTGGAACAGAGACAATCCACCAAAGGAGCAGCAGCGGAAGACGCTGAAGAGCTGCTGGTCACTGGGCGCCCTGGGTGGAGGTCAGGTCTCCTTTAGTAACCGTCACTGATGCCTCTTTGCTGTCTGTGCTGTGCCACGCCCTGGGCTACAGAGGTGAATCAGATGTGAGTCCCTGCCCTATGGGGCTAGTGTGCACTCAGCCTGGATTGGCTCATTTAATTCTTACAATAGCTTGTAAGCTAAATACGCGTGATGTCCCTGGTTTATCCATAAGGAAATGGTACATTCCTTGCCCAGGATCTGCACATGGTGAGTGAGCAGATCTGAAGTTAAATCCTAGGACCAAGGATCTGAACTCCATATTTTACCACCTCTTGAAGGTCAGATGTCAGTTCTGCCTTGGGGTGGAGGGGGCGAGGAAAGACATGAAGGAGAGGCAGCTGCTGAGTCTTAGAAAATGGATGGGTCATGTGGATAGAGGTGGGAAGGATGTTAGAGACAAGGAGCAGCATCAGCAAAAGTGTGGGGCATGAATTAGCAAGTGGGGACTTCAGATGGACTGAGACTGAAATGAGAGACAGATGGGTTACTGGCTAAAAGGCTCAGCTCTTCTTTAGGCAGTGGTGATCTGATTTGTACATGGAAAATCATTCTGGCAGAGAGAAAGTGGTTTGAGAGGCTGGGCGCAGTGGCTCACGCCTGTAATCCCAGCACTTTGGGAGGCCGAGGTGGGCGGGTCTTCTGAGGTCAGGAGTTGGAGACCAGCCTGGCCAACATGGTGAAACCCCATCTCTACTAAAAATAAAAAAATTAGCTGGGCATGGTGGCAGGCACCTGTAATCCCAGCTACTCAGGAGGCTGAGGCAGGAGAATTGCTTGAACCCAAGAGATGGAGGTTGCAGTGAGCTGAGATCATGCCACTGGACTCCAGCCTGGAGTGGTTTGGGAGATACAGGCAGCCCATCGTAGGCACTCATTAATGCTCGCTGAATAAGTGAATAGAATTGTACAATTATGTATTGTGTACCATTTATGTTTCAGTTTTATGTTTCAGTTACTCTACTGGGCTTTGGAGTGTTCAGCAGTCAAAAAGACAGACACTGTAAATGGCCAGTCATTAGAATAGTCCAGATGAAAGATGATAAGACCTGCCCTGGAAGTGGTGGCAGTAGGTTTGGGATCAAGGGATGGATCTGTACCGTTCTAAGCAGATAGACTCGAACTTGATGACCAGCAGCACAAGGTAAGATGGACTGGAAAGGTGTAGGAGAATCTCAAGTCAGTTCCCAGGTTGCTGGTTTGGAAGACTGGATGGACAGTAGAGGATAGGGAACAAGGAGAAGGAAGAGGTCTGGGAAAACTAGAAACAATTTAGATATCCAACAACAGTGTTGGTTACATACATTATGGTACATCCATAAGACAAAATTCCTTTTTTTTTGAGACAGGACCTTTCTCTTTCACCCAGACTAGAGTGCAGTGGCTCGATCACGGCTCACTGCAGCCTAGAATTCCTGAACTCGAGTGATTCTTCCACCTCAGCCCCCCGAGTGGCTGGGACCACAGCCTCATGCCCAGCTAATTATTCTATTTCTTGTAAAGACATTGTCTCACTATATTGCCCAGGCTGGTATTGAATTCCTGGGCTCAAGTAATCCTCTCACCTCAGCCTGCCAAAGTGCTAGGATTACAGGCATGAGCCAGCCACCGCACCTGGCCCAAAATTCTTAGAAGATATCATTTTGATAACTGTGACATTCTTTTACATAAATGTATCATTTAATGAAACCTCTGTTGTAAACTTTTGGATTTTTTTCTGTTTTTTCACTTTGTAAGTAATACTGTAATAAAGAGCTTTTTACAAAGGTCTTCATTTTGATTATTTTTAGAAGGAAAATTTTGAGGTCATAAGATATAAACAGCTTTGAGGTCTTTGACACATAGATTGTTTTTTAGAAGGGCTGTGCCAAATTTACTCCTATAGCAGTCCAGGAGAATTTTCCCTCAGCAGACTACCACTAGCACCAAGATATAGATACACAAATATACACATACACAGATTTTAATGGTTAAAAAAATAATAACTTGTTAGTTTAATGTGCATTTCCTTGTCATTAGTGAGTTAAATTTTTCCATGCTTATTAACCTTTTGTTTATGTGCTTTACCCATTTTTATGAGGCCTCACTGATTCTTCATGAGTTTTTAAAATATGCATTTCTTACTATTTGTGACAAAATTTTTACCACTTTTTTGTTTCCCTCTCTATACTATCTTGCATATATAATATATAATATATAATATATATAATATATAATATATATAATATATAATATATATAATATATTATATAATATAATATATATTATATTATATAATATATTATGTATTATATATAATATATTATATTATATAATATATTACGTATTATATATAATATATATATTATATATTATATATTATATTATATATAATATATAATATAATATATAATATAATATATAATATATATTATATATATATATATTTTAAACAGAGTCTCACTCTGTCATTCACGCTGGAGTACAGTGGTGCCATCTCGGCCCACTGCGACCTCTGTCCCCAGGTTCAAGCGATCCTCCCACCTCAGCCTCCCCAAGTAGCTGGGACTACAGGTGTATACCACCACACCTGGCTAATTTTTGTATTTTTTGGTAGAAACGGGGTTTCACCATGTTGGCCAGGCTGGTCTTGAACTCCTGACCTCCAGTGATCTGCCCCTCGGCCTCCCAAAGTGCTGGGATTACAGGTGTGAACCACCACGCCCAGCCTTATTTTGCGTATATTTTTGATGTGCCAAAGCACTTAAAAATGTTTATGAAGTCAAAACGTGTCAGTCAAAACATGTCTTTTTATTTCTTCCATTGCATTAATGTATAGATAATTAAGTGATAAAATAGACATCTAAATTTTTTTCTTTCTCTTTTTTTTTTTTTTTAAGAGAGGGTCTCACTCTGTCACCCAGGCTGGAGTGTGCAGTGGCGTGATGATGACCCACTGTAGCTGCCGCCTCCAGGGCTCCGGCAGTCCTCCCACCTCAGCCTCCGATGGCGTGAGACTACAGGCACACGCCACCATGCTCTGCTCATTTTTGTATTTTCTATAGAGACAGGGTTTCTCCACATTGCCCAAGCTGTTCTTGAACTCCTGGGCTCAAGCAATCCACCTGCCTCAGCCTCCCAAAGGGCTAGGATTACAGGCATGAGCCACCACGCCCAGCCTAGATTTCCCTTTTTTTGTTTTTTAAACATTTACTTATTTTGTATATGGTGTGAGGAGAGAAAGTAAATGGATCTTCTTCCCAAATGGAAAATTTTCCAATCTCATTTGTTCCCATAACCTATACCTGTGTTGAACTGCTTCTAGGTGACCCTGTTTCACTGATCTTGGTTTTGAATCATATATATATATATAATTGTTGTAATAAGTGCAAACCCATAATATACTGTAATACCTAATTTTTAATTTGAGGGTGTTATGTTTACCTGATAAATCTTTTGGATGGGTTTTTAGAATCCATTTGATAAATCTCAAAACATCCTACTGAGATTTTTTTCTTAGAATTATGTTAAACCTGTACATTAATCTGGGAGGAGCTGGCATTGGAGCCTTCCCATCCAGGAATATGATTTTGTCTTTCCTATTTTTTAAGTCATCTCTTTATATCAGTAAAAGGTTATAGTTTTCCTCCTATAGTTCTCACATATTTCTTATGTTTATTGCTCAATACTTGACTTTTTTGTTACGATTGCAAATAAGATCTTTTTGTTATATCTGATGACTGTTTCCTATTGCTGCAGTAAATTATTTTATCCATTCTAAGTTTAGTTGATTCTTTTAGGTTTTCTTTCTTTTCTTTCCTTTCTTTGTTTCTTTTTTTTTTTTTTTTTTTTTTTTTTGAGACAGAGTCTCGCTCTGTCGCCCAGGCTGGAGTGCAGTGGTGCAATGTCGGCTCACTGCAACCTCCACCTCCCAGGTTCAAGCAATTCTCCTGCCTCAGCCTCCCAAGTAGCTGAGATTACAGGCAACTGACACCATGCCTGGCTAATTTTTTGTATTTTTAGTAGAGATGGAGTTTTGCCATGTTGGCCAGGCTGGTCTTGAACTCCTAACCTCAGGTGATCCACCCGCCTTGGCCTCCCAAAGTGCTGGGATTACAGGCATGAGCCACTGCGCCTGGCTGATTCTTTTAGGTTTTCTATGCAAATAACAGTTCGGTTGGAGCCCGTGGTTTGGCAGTGCCGCCAGTCTGCAGGGTTGGTTTGTGACCTCCAGCAGTGCTCAGGAGCCCAGCTGTAAAGGTAGAAAAAGAGGATGTATGGGTTGATCCCAAGTTCGGGATTTCCCTAGACTAGGGCAATAGAAGGACAAGGGGCAGAGTACTGGAGGAGCTCACAAGAGAGTAGCTGATGTAATATACTTCAGGGTCTAGACAAGGAGGGGTGGACGCACTGAACAGTAAGGGCTGGGGAGCTAAAGGCCTCTGTGTTGTGGAGAGGGAGGAAGAGAGAGACTTGAAAGGAGGGGAAGCTGTGCCCCAGAATGGACACTGGGATGTCGGATTTCAGAGGTGATGCCTTTCTAGTACAGTGCAGAGACCCTCCGGTAAGAATGATCCCGTTTTATGGTTAAAGAAACAGGCTTGGAGAGCTTGTTGCCCAGTCACCCAACTCTAGTCAACAGCAGTGTTGGTCTGCTATACTCTACTTGCTCACGCTCTGTCTCCATTTTTCAGGTCCACTCTAGAACAGTCGATGGAGAGAGCCAGGAGAGAGCAGCAAGGGAAGTGGGAGCACAGGAGGGCAGACAGGAGAGAGGGCAGGCACCTCCCAGCCCCTCAGCTGCTGCAGATAGGGAGGCAGGGCAGCTGCACTGCTGGGTCTTCTTATTGGCCCAGGAGCCCCCTCAGGCCACAGCAGCACACCCACAGCATCCCACATCCTGTGCCTGCCCGACGACTCCCTTCGTATCCTCCTCTGTTACACACTGGAGCCCCACCACACGCTCTCTTCACCATCATTCCCCTTGTCCCTGTCACACACTCCATTTCCCCAAACACAGATGGGCTTCCTACACCACAGGCCCTGGGTTCCCCATTAAACGCCTCATGCTCCCGCCTCACTGTCCCTACTTGGGGTCCCTGCCACTCCCCTAGGCTCATCCCTTGCTGTGTGCCTCGTTGAGGCCCGCTTTTGCTGTGTCCACAGAGTGCATCGGATGGCTTCTGGAAATCTGTGGCCACTCGAGTGCCCAAGGAGCCCCCTGAGATTCGAATCCTCAACCCATATTTCATCCAGGAGGCCGCCTTCACCCTCATTGGCCTGCCCTTCAACAATGGCCTCATGGGCCGGGGGGTGAGATATCTGGGCCCTGGGAGAGGGAGGAGGAAAGCTGGGTCAGAAGTGCCTTGGAAGGAAGGGTGGGTGGTGGGTGGGGCAGTGCTTCTGCAAAATAGCTTTCTGGGGAAGAGGGCTCAGTCCTTGGGCATGGAGGCTAGCTCTAGGGAGCTTGGCTGAAGTCTCAGCTGTCCCAGCCCTCCAGCTGAACTCTGCATGCCTTCTCTCACCCCTGCCCCCGTCTTCTAGAACATCCCTACCCTTGGCAGTGTGGCAGTGACCATGGCACTACACGGCTGTGACGAGGTGGCAGTCGCAGGATTTGGCTATGACATGAGCACACCCAACGCACCCCTGCACTACTATGAGACCGTTCGCATGGCAGCCATCAAAGAGGTTCGGGGCTGGGTATGGGGGCAATCCCTGGGTGGGGATGAGGGGGAGGTGCATAAATGAGTAGTAAAGGGAGGAGCCAGTGGCTGGTCTGGCTGCCCAGAACTCCCCAGAAGGTCCTGACACCAAGCATCCTACGTGCCCTCTCCACAGCCTCCCACTGAACCCAGGGCCTTCTCCCTGAACTTTCCTTCCAAGGGACTCTCCGTGCCCTGGTCCTGCACCTCCCTCCCCCTCGCTGCATTCCCCAGTCAGGAACACTAGTCTAGCACCAGCTCAGCCATCCTCTCTACTGCAGTTCCTGCCTTCCCCCAGAGGACGCTATTTTCCCTCAAAAAACCCACAACTGAACACTGCCTCTGGGTCTCAGGACTTCTCCATATCTCTTCCACCCTTCCCCACAGCCAAGCACTGCAGCTCTTCATACCCCGAATTGCTTCCCAAACATCCGTATGTAGGGTACATTACAGGTCTCCAGCCTGTCAGCCAGCCTTTTCTGGCATTTCTCCCTCCCTAGCCAAGACCCCATGTGGAAAATCTGAACCCTTCTGAACTCCGCTTGCCACACTTCTGCTTTGACCACCAGCCTTCCACTGATCCCAGCCTGAAACCTGGAAATCTTGGGCCAGTTCTTCAACAGCTTCTCTGCTGCTACATCTGGGTGATGGGAGGTTGTTGGAGGGAACCTCCCATCTGTGCAGATTCCTGTTTCTGTAAGTCTGGGGGCTCTGGTCTCAGCCCTCATTCCTGCTTATCAGTCTTCTTATCTATCCTTCTCCATCATCCCCCTCCACTATTCCAGAGCCTTCCATGCCCCAAAAGCTCCTCCCTCTTCCAGTGAAGAAACTGAAGCCACAGAGGGGACTCTGATCTGTCGGGCTCTGCACTGTACTCCCACTTGGCCCTTCACCCCTTGCAGCCTGGCTCCCCTCACACCTGACCCAGCTCCCATCAAGGTCACCACCTCAAGGTGGCCAATTCCAGTGGACACAACGTCATCTTTCCTGATCTCTCAGAAACACTTTTCGTGTTGGCCACTCCTTCTTCTTTGAACTTCTGAGTCAGTAATTTCCAACATTCCTCTTATTTCACTCACCATTCTCTCACATTCTCTTTCTCAGCATCATCAATTCTGATCTACGCCTTAAAATTCATCATAGCTGGGCACAGTGGCTCATGCCTATAATCCCAGCACTTTGGGAGGCCAAGGCAGGGGTATTGCTTGAGCCCAGGAGTTTGAGAGCAGCCTGGGCAACATGGTGAAACCCCATCTCTACTAAAAATAGGAAAAATTGGCTGGGCGCGGTGGCTCACGCAGGTAATCCCAGCACTTTAGGAGGCCAAGGTGGGCGGATCCCCCGAGGTCAGGAGTTCAAGACCAGCCTGGCCAATATGGGGAAACCCTGTCTCTACTAAAAATACAAAAATTAGCCAGGCGTGGTGGTGGGCACCTGTGATCCCATCAACTCAGGAGGCTGAGGCAGAAGAATCACTTGAACCCAGGAGGCAGAGGTTGCAGTGAGCCAAGATCACACCACTGCACTCCAGCCTGGGCAACAAAATGAGACTCCGTCTCAAAAAAGAAAAATAGGAGGCAGGGCATGGTGGCTCACGCCTGTAATCCCCGCACTTTGGGAGGCCGAGGCGGGTGGATCACCTAAGGTCAGGAGTTTGAGACCAGCCTGGCCAATAGGTGAAGCCCTGTCTGTACTAAAAATACAAAAATTAGCCGGACATGGTGGTGGACAACTGTAGTCCCAGCTACTCGGGAGACTGAGACAGGAGAATTGCTTGAACCTGGGAGGTGGAGGTTGCAGTGAGCCGAGATCATGCCACTGCACTCCAGCCTGGGCGACAGAGCAAGACTGTCTCAAAAAAGAAAAAAAAAAAAAAAGGCCAGGCATGGTGGCTCATGCCTGTAATCCCAGCACTTTGGGAGGCCGAGGTGGGTGGATCACAAGGTCAGAAGATCGAGACCATCCTGGCTAACACGGTGAAACCGCATCTCTACTAAAAATACAAAAAACTAGCCGGGCATGGTGGCAGGTGCCTGTAGTCCCAGCTGAGGAAGGAGAATGGTGTGAACCCAGGAGGTGGAGCTTGCAGTGAACCGAGATCACACCACTGCACTCTAGCCTGGGTGACAGAGCAAGACTCCGTCTCAAAAAAAAGAAAAGAAAAATTGGAAAAGTTGTCTGGGAGCGCTGGTGTGCGCATGTAGTCCCTGCTGCTTGGGAGACTGAGGTGGGAGGATCACTTGAGCCCAGGAAGTCAAGGCTGCAGTGAGCCATGATTGTGCCACTGCACTCCAGCCTGGGTGACAGTAAGACCCTGTCTCAAAAAAAAAAAAAAAAAAGCACTAGCCAAGGCTCCATCTCAGACAGCCTTCTCTTCTCACTCTGCATGTTCTCTAGGAGATTTACATCCCTGTCCATGACTTCAGGTACCACCTATATTGTATCAGGCTTTTTTGGTTCTTAGCCCCTTCAGACTGCTATAACAGAATGCCATAGTCTGGGTGGCTTTTAAACAACAGAAATTCATATCCCACAGTCCTGGAGGCTGGGAAGTGCAAGATCAAGGTGCGGGAAGATTCAGTATCTGGTCAGGACCCACCAGAGAGGTGGTTCATAGACAGCTGTCTTCTTGCTTTCCTCATATGATGGAAGAGGCAAGGCAGCTCTCCTGAGTCTCTCTCTTTTCTTTTTGAGATAGGGTTTCACTCTGTTGCCCAAGCTGGAGTGCAGTGGTGTGATGATAGCTCACTGTAGCCATAAACCCCTGGGCTCAAGTGATCCTCCCACCTCAGCCTCCCTAGTAGCAGACTGCAGGTGTGTGCCATCACACCTGGCTAATTTTTTTTATTTTTTGTAGGGATGAGATTTTGCTATGTTGCCCAAGCTGGTCTTGAACTCCTGGCCTCAAACGATCCTCCTGCCTTGGCCTCTCAAAGCGCTGGGATTATAGGCATGAGTCACTGCACCTGGCCCTGAGTCTTATAAGGGCACTAATCCCATTCATGAGAGCTCTGCCCTCATGACCTGATCACCTCCCCAAAGGCCCCCACCTCCAAATTCCATTACATTGGGGGTTAGGTTTCAGTATATGAATTCATGGGGAGGACATAAACATTCAGTCTACAGCAGGTTTATTCCAACTACCTCAAGTGATTGGGAGTTATTTCAAGGATATATAAGGCACTTGGAAATCTCATAGGAAGCTAGAAACAGCCTTCCAGCTGGGCCTCCTGTTGTCTCGGATAGGGTTCAGGAGTGAGAAGCTCATTGTGGGTCTGGGACAGTTCTAGAACTGCCTCACCATCACCGTGGCCCCGAAAGTCTTCCATCCCTGCCATGCTTCACGTGCCTTCTTGCTGCTTTGTCCACAGCCAGCGCCCACTTCAGATTGCCCTCACAGCTTTTATCAGCCTCCTGGCTTCTACGTTTACTTATATCTTTGGTCTTTTACAAATGCCTTTTATGTAAACTTTATGTAAAGTTGTATGCAGAGGGTGAGAGCCATAGACGTGGGCGATGGCCAAATCGCAATGGGCTTTCTGTGCCACGGAAGGAGTTTGCACATTATTTAGAAGGCAGTGGGGAGACATGGGTGAGTTTGAGGCCTTACATTAGCATGTAGTGGATCACTGTGGCTGCAGAATGAAGGAGAGGGGGCGAGGCAGGAACAGAACCTAGTTGGGAGTTGCTGCACTTTGGGCAAGAGATGGTAACTCCTGAACCAGATCTTTGGCTGAGACAATGAGAGGTGATGAGAGAGGCGATGAGCCAGATCTTCGGCTAAGGCGATTAGTCAGAGGCAAGAAGTCCAGGCTGGAAGTATAAGGTGATGAGACAGACTCAAGAAATAGGATTTTAACTCAGTAAGACCTAGGGATTGCCTTGGTGCAGGAATGAGGTAGGGCACTGCCTTCCCTGCAGCCCTCTCTGATGGAGTCTTTTCATTTGCTTCCACCTGCCATATCTCCATTGTCCCTCCATTACATGTAAAACCTCACTGGCTCTGAGGCTCCCAGCATCTGCTGCACTACACTCCCTGTAGAGTGCTTAAGAGTGTGGCTTCTTGGCCGGGCACAGTAGCTCATGCCTGTAATCCCAGCACTTTGGGAAGCTGAGGCGGGTGGATCACCTGGGGTCAGGAGTTCGAGACCAGCCTGGCTAACATGGTGAAACCCCGTCTCTGCTAAAAATACAAAAATTAGCCAGGCGTGGTGGTGCATGCCTGTAATCCCAGCTACTCCAGAGGCTGAAGCAGGAGAATTGCTTGAGCCCAGGAGGGCTCAAGTGGAGATTGCAGTGAGCCAAGATAGCTCTACTGCACTCTAGCCTGGGTGACAGAACAAGACTGTGTCTCAAAAAAAAAAAAAAAGAGTGTAGCTTCTCAAATCATAAAAGATGACTTCAGGACCTTGGTTCAGGGGCTGACTCTAGACCTGCATTTCCTTATCTATGAAAGGGACAGTAACAGCACCTACCTCCTAGGGTTTGGAAAGGACCGGATGTGATCATGTGTAAAAAAGGCCTGCCACGTAGTAAGCACTCAGAAATCTTAGCCATTATGATTAATATTTTACCCCTACTTGCCACTGTTATTTACCAATCCCCAGAAGAGGATTCACTGAGAATGTTGGTGCCCGGGTTTAGAATCCCTCTGTTACCTGGGGTGTCTCACATGGACCATTCAACACCTTGGCTTCTCCTCACTTCACCTGCATTTGCCTTGATCAGCTCACTCTGCAGGCCCAGCAGGAGTGTGTGGGATGTGGAGACACATGGACCAAGGATTGAATGCCGGGGATATGGAAGGGATGTCAAGGGAATCCATAAAGGAGACAGAGGAATCAGGAAGGTGCCACATCGTGGAGGCCAAAGGAGCAGCATTCCAGGAAGAGCATCTACAATGTGGTGCTGGGAAACCCAGTAAGATGAGGGCTGAGAGGTGGCCGTCGGATGTAGCTGTTAGGAGTTAACTGCTGACTGTGGTGAGAACAGTTTCAAAGGAATAGTGGAGTGGAAGCCAGATTGCAGTAGTGAACAGTGAGTAGACGGCACCTACATCTGTGGTTAGAGACCACAGATGTTGCTCGTGGTAAGGGATCTCTCAGGATGCTTGGAAGAGAAGGGAGTAGAGAGACTGGGCAGTAGCTAGAGGATGACGTGGCTTCATACGGGAATCTGTCACACAGCAGAGAAGTCCAGGCTGGAAGTATAGATCTGTGAGTTGTTAGCACAGCCGCTTCTTCAGATATAAGGATGAGATTTCCCAGAGAGAGGACAGAGAGTGAGAAGCGCGGCTCATCCTGGCAGGACCCTTGAACGTGGATACTTAACGGTTGGGCGAGGAGCCAAAGAAAAAGAGCTTCTGGCCGGGCGCGGTCCCTCACGCCTGTAATCCCAGCACTTTGGGAGGCCAAGGCGGATGGATCATCTGAGGTCGGGAGTTCCGAGACCAGCCTGACCAACATGGAGAAACCCTGTCTCTACTGAAAATACAAAATTAGCCAGGTGTGGTGGCGCATGCCTGTAATCCCAGCTACTCGGGAGGCTGGGGCAGGAGAATCGCTTGAACTCGGGAGGCAGAGGTTGCAGTGAGCCGAGGTTGCAGTGAGCCGAGATTGCACCATTGCACTCCAGCCTCGGCAACAAGAGTGAAACTCCGTCTCAAAAAAAAATAAAAGCTTCTGAGAGTGTGGACTGTGACATGGGATGGACATCAATACTCAGAATCAAGGGCCCTGGTAAGGCTGGAGACCCCAGGATGACCAGAATCCTCCACCAGCCGCGGCCAGTTCAAAGCTCAGGTGAACTCAGAAGTTGTCTGCATAGAATTAGGAAAAGAGCACCAGAGAGGTGGCATTGCCGGATCCAAGAGAGCTACACCCCAGGGCTGACTTTCTTGTTTACTTTTTTATGATGGAAATTGTCAAGCATATTACGAGTACAGAGGATAATATCATGAACTCCCACGTTCCTGCCCCCCACCTTCCACAGGCATCAACAGGCGGCCAACATTGTTCCATCTCTTCTTTGTCTCATGCTCCCACTCCACTGATTCAAACATGTCTCAGATACCATATATCCCTCCAACCATAAATACTTCATTCAGGCCGGGCGTGGTGGCTCACGCCTGTAATCTCAGCACTTTGGGAGGCCGATGCAGGTGGATCACCTGAGGTCGGGAGTTCGAGACTAGCCTGCCCAACATGGCGAAATCCTGTCTCTACTAAAAATACAAATTAGCCAGTGGTGGTGCGTGCCTGTAATCCCAGCTACTCAGGAGGCTGAGGCAGGAGAATTGCTTGAACCCGGGAGGCAGAGGTTGTAGTGAGCCAAGATCGCACCATTGCACTCCAGCCTGGGCAACAAGAGTAAAACTCCATCTCAAAAACAAAAACCAAACCAAAACAAAAAACTTCATTCATTTTCTCTAAAAGATAAGGACTATTTTTTAAATTATTACACCTAAAAACATGAACAGTAATTCCTTAATATCATCAAATGTCCAGTCCTCTGCTGACCTTTTAACCCTCAATGACTCCTAGTGGGTGCTGTTGACCCTGACCCATCAAATTCGTTACTACTTCTCCAGAGGAGTGATGAGGACGAGGGATAAGTAAAGAGGCAAACGAGTTTCCACATCTGCTTGAATCCTGGCCTTGTCTTTCCTCCAAGTCTCTGTTTTCCCTGTAAAACCTAATTTCATTCAACAAATATTGAGGCACCTACTCTGTGCCTAACAGTCCCTACCCTCAAAGAGAGACAGTGAGCCAGATGCTTAAGTCTTCAAAGAATGGGGATGAGTCGCCCAGGGATCTGCAATGAGGAGGGGCAAGTGCAGATGGCAGAGTATAATGACAGGAGCCTTGAAGGGGCCGGAGGGCTTTAGGGAGTCTGAGGGACAACGGGGTGTAAGGAAGACGCTTCCCGCCTTCAGAGGCTGTGGAGTGTGGAATGTGAGGGAAGAAACGGTCACCACTTGAGAGGGGGTATGGGGGCACTCTCCTTCAGGGCAGCTGGGTTTGTGATTAGCACAAGAGGTTGAAGGGAATGCTCAGAGAAGAGGAATATTGGGAATTTGGCTGATGACTGCGGGAATTTGGCTGATGACTACCTGAGTTTCAGATGTAAAAGATTTGGAAGGTGGAGAAGGTTGACTGGATCAGAATAAGGGCTAGACAGAGCAAGCCATAAGTTCTTTGTAAAAAATTCATTTATTTATTATTTTTCAAAAGATGGGGTTTCTATATGTTGCCCAGGTGGACTAAGCTCAAGTGATCCTCCTGCCTCAGCCTCCCAAGTAGTTGGGACTACAGGCACAGGGCACTGCATCCAGCTCACTTCTCAGCACCACTAAATAGTGGCTGTTAACAGTTATTGGCCGGGCACGATGGCTCACACCTGTAATCCCAACACTTTGGGAGGCTGAGGCTGGTGGATCACAAGGTCAGGAGATAGAGACCATCCTGGCCAACATGGTGAAACCCCATCTCTACTACAAATACAAAAAATTAGCCAGGTGTGGTGGCAGGCACCTGTAGTTCCAGCTACTCAGATGACTGAGGCAGGAGAATCCCTTGAACCCGGGGGGCGGAGGTTGCAGTGAGCCAAGATCGTGCCACTGCACTCCAGCCTGGGCAACAGAGCAAGACACCATCTGAAAAAAAAAACAAAAACATTTATGGTGGTCCGGGCACGGTGGCTCATGCCTGTAATCCCAGCACTTTGGGAGGCTGAGGCAGGTGGATCACCTGAGGTCAGGAGTTCAAAACCAGCCTGACCAACATGGTGAAACCCCCATCTCTACTAAAAATACAAAATTAGCTGGGTGTGGTGGTGCACTCCTGTAGTCCCAGCTACTCAGGTGGCTGAGGCAGGAGAATCGCTTGAACCTGGGAGGCAGAGGTTGCAGTGAGCTGAGATCACACCACTGCACACCAGCCTGGGCAACAAGAGCGAAACTCTGTCTCAAAAATAAATAAATAGATAAAAAATAAACAGTTATGGTGAAGCTCAATGCTGACAAACGCAACAGAGAGGTCACTTGGGGACAAACTCTGATAAGGCTGCTGTCATTCAGCCCTTCATTCATTAAATCAAGCCTTTTTCATCAAAGTTTTCTGGTGAGAGTCCTGGGGTTAGGAAAGGACCCTATCCCAGGTACAGTCTTCCCCAGAAGCCTCTTCTAGTAATTTTGAAATATATGACATTATTATTAACTATAGTCAAATGTGCTCACCATAAAAAATTGGTAAGTAGGTGAGGTTGGCTTGATTTAATTATTCCACAATGTATACATCTATCAAAACATCACATTCTACCCCAAAAATATGTACAATTCTTTCAATTAAAAAATTAGTTTTAATTATTATTTTTTTTTTTTGAGACAGAATCTCTCTCTGTTGCCCAGGCTGGAGTGCAGTGGCGCGATCTCGGCTCACTGCAACCTCTGCCTCCCGGGTTCAAGCGATTCTCCTGCCTCAGCCTCCTGAGTAGCTGGGATTATAGGCGCTACCATCACACCCAGCTAATTTTTGTATTTTTAGTAGAAACAGGGTTTCACCATGTTGGTCAGGCTGGTTTGAACTCCTGACCTCGTGATCCACCCGCCTCGGCCTCCCAAAGTGCTGGGATTACAGGCGTGAGCCACCGCGCCTGGCCTATTTTTAATTTTCTAAAAAAGATTTGCCATCTCTCCGCAGGCCCCATAGCTCCTCTGATCTGGGAGGCAGGATTTCATCCGCCGCCCCCAGGCCTGGAGAGTAGATTGCATCAGGCCAGGGAGTGACTCAGCCACCCCTTGCTGTTGGACTTCAGTGACTCACACTGCCTGCCCGCAGGGTGTCTATAACCTAGGTGCTTCATGACAAGAAGTGGCTTGAAGTCTGTGGGAACAAGGTCCTTCCGCCAGCACTGAGGAGGGAGGTTGGGAAGCTTAACGGTTTTCCTGGGACGAGGAAAGGGGTATGAAGGTTCTTTTTTCCCTGTCTTGGGAAGGGAGGAGGATGAGCTGTGGCACTCCTAGAGCAGGGTCATCATTACCGTGTAGACACAACTGATTACCAGTATCTGCCTTCAGGTTTCCACAGTCACGGAGTATTGGAGAGTGGTGACGAAGAAGGCACCGAGCCCTGGAAGGGGCAGTAAAGGTTTGAGCAAAGGCCCAACTGATCACTTCATCTCTCCTTTCAGTCCTGGACGCACAATATCCAGCGAGAGAAAGAGTTTCTGCGGAAGCTGGTGAAAGCTCGCGTCATCACTGATCTAAGCAGTGGCATCTGAGTGGGCCCAGCACATGGCCATAGAGGCCCAGGCACCACCAGGAGCAGCAGCCAGCACCACCTACACAGGAGTCTTCAGACCCAGAGAAGGACGGTGCCAAGGGCCCCAGGGGCAGCAAGGCCTTGGTGGAGCAGCCAGAGCTGTGCCTGCTCAGCAGCCAGTCTCAGAGACCAGCACTCAGCCTCATTCAGCATGGGTCCTTGATGCCAGAGGGCCAGCAGGCTCCTGGCTGTGCCCAGCAGGCCCAGCATGCAGGTGGTGGGACACTGGGCAGCAAGGCTGCTGCCGGAATCACTTCTCCAATCAGTGTTTGGTGTATTATCATTTTGTGAATTTGGGTAGGGGGGAGGGTAGGGATAATTTATTTTTAAATAAGGTTGGAGATGTCAAGTTGGGTTCACTTGCCATGCAGGAAGAGGCCCACTAGAGGGCCCATCAGGCAGTGTTACCTGTTAGCTCCCTGTGGGGCAGGAGTGCCAGGACCAGCCTGTACCTTGCTGTGGGGCTACAGGATGGTGGGCAGGATCTCAAGCCAGCCCCCTCCAGCTCATGACACTGTTTGGCCTTTCTTGGGGAGAAGGCGGGGTATTCCCACTCACCAGCCCTAGCTGTCCCATGGGGAAACCCTGGAGCCATCCCTTCGGAGCCAACAAGACCGCCCCAGGGCTATAGCAGAAAGAACTTTAAAGCTCAGGAGGGTGACGCCCAGCTCCGCCTGCTGGGAAGAGCTCCCCTCCACAGCTGCAGCTGATCCATAGGACTACCGCAGGCCCGGACTCACCAACTTGCCACATGTTCTAGGTTTCAGCAACAAGACTGCCAGGTGGTTGGGTTCTGCCTTTAGCCTGGACCAAAGGGAAGTGAGGCCCAAGGAGCTTACCCAAGCTGTGGCAGCCGTCCCAGGCCACCCCCATGGAAGCAATAAAGCTCTTCCCTGAGCCTGGCCTCTTTTTGCCTTCTCTGACTTTCCTGGAAGAAACAGGAACCTAAAGCCTTAGCAACTATGCCAAACCCTCGGGCCCTCTCTCCAGTCCACAGAGTCCTGGGTCCCTTTCACTTCTTGTGTCAATGCAGGACCTAGGTAGCCATCCAGAGGCCTCTGGAGCATCTCCTGTATCCTCTTTGCTTTGAGACCAGAGGTTTCAGGGCACACTCTTAGAGGAGACAGAGGCACAGGACTGGAGCCCTAGGACATTGCCTTGGGGTGCCACAGCCCCACCTCTGGAAGGACAGATATTCCTGCAAGCACAGGAAAGATATACTGCTGAGCCCCTGCAGCAAGCAGAGGCTCACAGACCTACCCTACTACTGACACTCCCGTCCCTCTGGGAAGGACATGCCCCAGCCCCAATCATTAGCACAGAGGCACACCCTCTCCCTTCAGCCCTGCTCTAGGTATCCTCTGTCATACTTTAGAAAAGATATCACGTCGCCTTCTTAAGAGTCCTAGAGTCTGATCCCTCTCTTCCCCAGCATCCCCAGGCAGGCCTGAGAATGGACAGACCAGACTGTCGCCTGCACTTGAGGCCATGAAGTGAGCTTTCTGTCACACACTGCCACTGTGGCAGGCAGTAAGTGGGGTGGCCGGCTCCTGCTCCTCTCTCCTGCCCACCCCAATCCAAGACTCCAGGCAGCCCTGGGCTGCCCTCCCACTGGTGAGCCCTAAGGCTGGAGTCCCGGCCATCCCAGGGACCAGCAGCCTCCCACATGCTCCTTCCCACTGTGGCCGGCCTTAGGCAGAAGCCTCCTGGGCTAGGGGGGTAAGGGAGGCCCTGACTGAGGGACAGGTCAACCCAGAAACCCCCTCCATTTCTACCGGAAATAAGGCCACTACCATGCACATGTTCCTGCCTGGATGGTGCCCCGTGGAGTTGTACAGGGCATAGGCTGAATGGCCATAAGTGGTGTCCCTGGCTGAAAAAGCCCCAAGGCAGGTGCCCCAACTGAGCAGCCGGTTGTGGGAGGTGACAGAGCAGACTGCTCCCTGCTTGGCCTCCTATCCCAGGGGGCTCCTGGCACGCCTGCAGCAGCCCCACCACCTCCAGCAGCAGTTCTCTGTGGTCTGACTTCTAGTCCTCACCACCGCGGAAAACTACTTTCACACCAGCTATGGTTCTGAGCCCTGGCCATGCACCAGAATCACCTGTGCAATTTGAAAACTGCACATGTCCACCCTGAAAGTCTGATTTGGGTCTGGGTTGAGGCCCGGATGTGGGTAGTTTTTAAAGGTCCCTAGTGGTTCAGAAGCATAGCCAGGGTACAGCTGGTCCACACACATCCCCAGCACTCTCATCCCTGACCACAGCTTCCAATTGCCAGTTGGTTGACAATTCCCAAATTGCCTTTGCCAGCGCAGCTCTCTCTGCTTCCTTCCAGGCTACAAATTCACCGGCTTCCTGAACATTTCCACTTGGATAATCCACAGGCCCTTCCAACTCAACATGTCCAACACCGAACTCATGAGCCCCTGCCTTTCCTCCCAGGAGCCGGGATGTACCCCTCCCCCAGGTCACCCCGCCAAAGGCACACTTTTGCAGGGTCTACCTACCTCCTCACCCTATCCAGTCAGGCACTAATGAATTTTCAAAATTGCGTGTTCCAGATTGGGGCCTGGCAGCCCCACGCTCCCCTCATGCCCTGCATCAGACCTCATCCTCTTTCCACAGCAGCCTCCACCTTTCTCTCCAACCCCATCCTCTTTACTACAGCCAGAGTCATCCACAAAAAATGCCTGTCTGATTACACCATTCTGCTCAAAACCCTCCCATGGTCCCCAGTGTTAGGATCTTTCCATCCATGTTACTCACCCAGCCCTCAACCCACCTGCCAAATTGCCATAATTAGGCATCTGAAATGCTGCCCTCCAGCTACCTACTTCAAGACTCAGCTCAGATGTTCCTCCTCTGTGACCCCTGCCTTCAGCCCTCAGTACCCACTTCTGCCAACACTGCCCCTGCTGTGCCCCAGTGACTCCCGTGTTTGCAAGTGTGTCCGTACTCCAAGCCCTAAGCAGCACAGGAGGTGAGCTGTGGGGAGACTAGAGCAGAGTCAGATCCTGAAAGCTGCGCAGAGGCTAAGCAACCCAACAAGGCAGGTGAACTGGCCGCTGAGAGAAGAATCGGGTGGAGCAGAGAGCAGCTGCTGCAGGGCAGACAGCCGGACCCCCAAATCTGCACGTACCAGCAGTCAGCCGCCCCACGCAGGGACCGGCTTACCCCTCGCTCCCCGCCCTCACTCACTTTCTCCCGCCCTCGGCCCGGCCTCCCAGCTCTCTACTTCGCGAGTCTACAAACTCAACTCCCGGTTTCCGTGCCTCTCCACCGCTCGAGTTCTCTACTCTCCATATCCGAGGGGCCCCTCCCAGCATCTACCCCCCTCCCAACCTCGGGGGACCTAGCCAAGCTAGGGGGGACTGGATCCGACGGGTGGAGCAGCCAGGTGAGCCCCGAAAGGTGGGGCGGGGCAGGGGCGCTCCCAGCCCCACCCCGGGATCTGGTGACGCTGGGGCTGGAATTTGACACCGGACGGCTGCGGCGGCGGGCAGGAGGCTGCTGAGGGATGGAGTTGGGCCCGGCCCCCAGACAAGGCCCGGGGGCTCCGCCAGCAGCAGGTCCCTCGGGCCCCAGCCCTCGCTGCCACCCGGGCCTGGAGCCCCACACCCGAGGTAAGCCAGCCCACTTGCCTGTTTCTGGTCCCAGCCCTGGATGGACGCTCTTGGGCTGGGGGAGAGGACAGGACCACCCCCCTCCTCTCCTTTCTTGCATCCTCCCTCTCTTGGGCCCTCGGCACAGTTCTCCGCCCCTCCCAGCCCCTCAGTCCCTCTTGTCGCTTGTTGGACTGTGCTGGCCTTGCCGGCCCACTGTAATGTGAGGCTCCCGCTGCCGCTACAGGGTGCAGACTGGCTGCCAAGGCCACACTTTTGGCTAAAAGAGGCACTGCCAGGTGTACAGTCCTGGGCATGCGCTGTTTGAGCTTCGGGGGAGAGCCCAGCACTGGTCCCCGGAAAGGTGCCTAGAAGAACAAGGTGCAGGACCCCGTGGTGAGTAGCGGGCTGGTGGATGGGGAGGCAAGGGCCAGAGAACCAAATGGCCCTAGACCACAAGGAGGTAGGAGGCAGGGCCTGAGCTGCCCTCAAGAGACCTGCTCCCGGGCTCCCCCTAGCGCAGAGGGCTCCTAAGGCTGCCCTGCCTGCCTTTCCCTCCATCACGGACAACAGTCACTGGCCTGGCTCGGAGGCCTTGATTCCACTTAGCCAAGAGGCACACACCAGGACCTGGAGGACAACCCCGGGAAGGCCTGGGGGTCTGTTCCACAGGTGTGCAGGCATTCTGTGTGCTAAAGGATGGGGATGAGGGTGGTAGCTGGGACCCAAGAGGAGGCTGGCTAATGAGGACTTACGAAGGCTCTAGGGCCCCAAAAGGGTGTTTGGGAGTGCTAGCAGTGGGAGCTCAGGAAGGCTGGCTGGGATCAGGAACGATGGCTCAAGGGGGAAACTTCTAGGAGCATGACTAGGCTGCCAGATCCATAGGAGGCTGGGAGGGGGACAGACCTAGACCAGCTCCCAGGGTGGCTCAGCTCTCAGAGACCAGGCTGGTATGGAAGCCTAGCTGGCCCTCCTGGGAGTGGCTCAGGCCTGAGTGTAGCTGAGGGGATGGAAAAGCCCACCCTGCTTGGAATCTGCAGGCTTGGCAGACTCTGCCCCCTTGTGGCCACAGGAAGCCATGACCCAGGCCCCATGTTTTCAGAGGGCCCATTAGCTCCCACCATCCCCCGGCTCTGTGGTCATCGAGGGACACCTATAGTCAGAGGAGAGAACTCAGGTGGCTCTGGGTCCAGAACACAGTTCACAGAGGGGCGAGGTGAAGCAGCTCTGGGTGGGCAGCACAGGCTGAGGCTTGGGGCTCACTATCATTAGATAACTCTTAGAGTGACCAGCTAGCACCCTAATTCTTCTCCAGCCCTCAGCTTCCTCTCCGGCAGCCTGGGGTGAAGGCCTCTGTAGGACCAAGTGTGTCCAGCTATAACTCCTTCCAGCCACTTCTGGCATCTCCAGACCTACAACGCAGAGCAGGAAGGTTCTGGGAAAAGAGGACCCCTCTCTCCCCTCCAGCTGTGTGACCTTGTAACCTTAGACAACCTCTGAGCTTCTCTGAGCCTTGTTTGCTCATCTGGAAAAAGGGGATTAAACCATTTACCTCATGGAGTTGTGAAAGAATAGCTGCAAAGCACCTAACACATAGTAAGGTTCCCAGTGCAGCTACTTCTGCTGGGTTGAGTCTAGCTGTGTAGGCCCCTTGTTCCTCACCTGGAGAAACTGGGGTGGCAGGCCGGTCCCCCACAAAAGATAACTCATCTCTTAATTTGCAAGCTGCCTCAACAGGAGGGTGGGGGAACAGCTCAACAATGGCTGATGGGCGCTCCTGGTGTTGATAGAGATGGAACTTGGACTTGGAGGCCTCTCCACGCTGTCCCACTGCCCCTGGCCTAGGCAGCAGGTGAGTGGTTCTCCCAGTGACTCCTACCTGGTACTGAGGAAAGGCGGCTTGACTGGTGAGGGAGAGCAGGGCTTGGCTTGGGCAGCGGTTAGGTGTGGGAGGGAAAATGGTCAGGGAGGGACCAGGTGAATGGGAGGAGGAGCGGGACTTCTCTGAATGGTCGGTGCACTCAGGTGATTCCTCCCCTGGGCTCCCAGAGGCAGCAAACCCATTATACTGGAACCTAGGCCCTTCCTGAGTTTCCCCTCCACACAGCTAGGAGCCCATGCCCGGCCTGATCTCAGCCCGAGGACAGCCCCTCCTTGAGGTCCTTCCTCCCCAAGCCCACCTGGGTGCCCTCTTTCTCCCTGAGGCTCCACTTGGTCTCTCCGCGCAGCCTGCCCTGTGGCCCACCCTGGCCGCTCTGGCTCTGCTGAGCAGCGTCGCAGAGGCCTCCCTGGGCTCCGCGCCCCGCAGCCCTGCCCCCCGCGAAGGCCCCCCGCCTGTCCTGGCGTCCCCCGCCGGCCACCTGCCGGGTAGGTGAGAGGGCGAGGGGGCGGGGCGGGGCTGGCCCGGGACACCGCGCGTGACTGGGTCTCATTCCAGGGGGACGCACGGCCCGCTGGTGCAGTGGAAGAGCCCGGCGGCCGCCGCCGCAGCCTTCTCGGCCCGCGCCCCCGCCGCCTGCACCCCCATCTGCTCTTCCCCGCGGGGGCCGCGCGGCGCGGGCTGGGGGCCCGGGCAGCCGCGCTCGGGCAGCGGGGGCGCGGGGCTGCCGCCTGCGCTCGCAGCTGGTGCCGGTGCGCGCGCTCGGCCTGGGCCACCGCTCCGACGAGCTGGTGCGTTTCCGCTTCTGCAGCGGCTCCTGCCGCCGCGCGCGCTCTCCACACGACCTCAGCCTGGCCAGCCTACTGGGCGCCGGGGCCCTGCGACCGCCCCCGGGCTCCCGGCCCGTCAGCCAGCCCTGCTGCCGACCCACGCGCTACGAAGCGGTCTCCTTCATGGACGTCAACAGCACCTGGAGAACCGTGGACCGCCTCTCCGCCACCGCCTGCGGCTGCCTGGGCTGAGGGCTCGCTCCAGGGCTTTGCAGACTGGACCCTTACCGGTGGCTCTTCCTGCCTGGGACCCTCCCGCAGAGTCCCACTAGCCAGCGGCCTCAGCCAGGGACGAAGGCCTCAAAGCTGAGAGGCCCCTGCCGGTGGGTGATGGATATCATCCCCGAACAGGTGAAGGGACAACTGACTAGCAGCCCCAGAGCCCTCACCCTGCGGATCCCAGCCTAAAAGACACCAGAGACCTCAGCTATGGAGCCCTTCGGACCCACTTCTCACAGACTCTGGCACTGGCCAGGCCTCGAACCTGGGACCCCTCCTCTGATGAACACTACAGTGGCTGAGGCATCAGCCCCCGCCCAGGCCCTGTAGGGACAGCATTTGAAGGACACATATTGCAGTTGCTTGGTTGAAAGTGCCTGTGCTGGAACTGGCCTGTACTCACTCATGGGAGCTGGCCCCTATTTATTATTTCTAAGTTATTTATTTACTTCTGTGGCTTGTCAGATCCTTTCCTGGGCAGCAGGGGGTTGGGAAGAAGAGGCTGGATGGAGATCATGCCTTGCTGATCGCACTCACACACCTCAGGCTGACTCAGCAATCACAGACCTGGCCTGGATCTTCGGCCCCCACCCAGCAGCTCCGGGATGGGAGGCATGGAACACAGGCAGGGGCAGGGCGGGCAGCAAGGGTGCAGTCACTAGTCCTGGCAGGCTGCTCACTTGGGCCTGGGCTTACCTCTGGGGAAAGAGACTACAGAGGCTTCTGTGGAGAAAGCCCTGTCTCTGTGACCTCTGGCATCTTTGTGGCCCCCGCTTAGTGGGTAAAGACACAGAGAAGCACCCATTGCCCCACCCCACTGTCATTGATCAGTGTCTTACCATCCAGGGAATTGTCTTGAGGGTGCCTTGTCAGATATACACATGCCTCTGCTTGCAGACAGGCCAGCATGGTTAACTCACTATCCACATTCCATGAAGCAGCCCAGGGCATGAGGGCATCTGAAAAAAACCGAGGGTTGGTAGAGGGTGCGGTGGGGTGCTGGCTCCGGTGAGCAAAGCACAGAGCTCCATGTGGATAAGGAGGCAGGAAAAGATAAGGGCCCCAGCAGGATCTGCATCTTGGGTGATGAACAAGGATATTCATTAATTCAAACAAATATTTATTAAGCACCTATTATATGTCAGATACTGATTATATGACAGATGCCAAGGATACAGAAGTGAAACAGACATGATCCCTGCCCTTGAGAAGCTTCAACCAGGAGAGACAGACAATAAGTAAGCAATTACAGTAATAATTATTTAAATTCAATTTGGCAAATGGTACGAAAAGGACAGGAAGCTAAGAAGTCCACACCTTCGTGGGGAAGAAAGGAGAAGTTACTGCTGACTCTGGCCTCTCATACCACCCCCAAGTCACCTCCAAAAGGCCAGGGCTATCCCTAAGCTTTTCTGGATATCCTTTCAAACCTTGTTTCCCATGTCCTATGCATTTGTATTGGGGAGGCCTCTATGATTTTTCTTTTTTGGAAATGAGATGGGGGCATGGATTTGGAAAGGATGCTAAGTCTGAGGAACTGTGGGACATCCAGAGGGGTTGTCAGGAGGCAGTGGGATCTGCTGGTCTAGAGCTGCCGAGGGAGGTCTGGGCTGGATTGATGTGACAGCTGTCAGCACAGAGGCAGGAGCTGCAGCCGGGGGTGAATGAGAGTACCATGAGAGATGGAGAGGGTCGAGGGCGAGATCCCTCAGGCATTTGACGCTGCTGAGAGAAATTCCTTCCAATCCGCCTGTGTGCCTTCCTGCTTTGGCACAGATGCCCCCTTCACCCAGGCTAGAGTGAGGAGCTGGCAAGAGCTCTCTGAAGGCTGTGCCCATTCTGGGTCAAGGAGGAGAAACGTGTGTGTGCTCCCACTCTTCTGCATTCACTGCCCCAGTTCTAGATGCTCCAAAAATTTCGATGCCTTTGCTCCCTTCAAACACCCTGTTGGCCCCTCTCTGCCTCCAAACGGATTCGGGATCCTTAGTTCCACCTTCCCTCCTGCAAAGAAAATGGCCCCAGGGCCATACAGTTTACAGAGGGCTGGCTGCAGGCAGAGAAGGACATTCTGTCAATTCCAGGGTTATTGGGGCCAGGCAGCCCCCTGCTAGTGAGACTTTAAAGCCTAGCCTAGTCCCCAAACCCTGCCACTCAGTAGACACGGCTGCTCCAGAGCCAGTAAAGGAGACTGACTGAAGCCATCTCTGACAATGCTCACAGTGAGAGGGCCACAGCCCAAGCCAAAGGTGCTGGCTGTCAACATTCCCCAGGCTGCCAGCTTTTGAGGGAACAGGGCTCACCCCAGCTGGAGGCTGCATTCTGGGCCCCAGACAGCTTGTGCTCAACATCTCAGAGTCCGGAACAAGACAGCAACAGCTCCAAGAACACATTCCCATATGAATTAGCCTCAGTTTGCAACTCAGGACAACCCAAATCAAAAGGAAGACAGTGAAGGAGGGAAGGAGGGGAGGGAAGGAAGGAGGGGAGGGAGGGAGGGAGGGGAGGGAGGGAAGGAGGGGAGGGAGGGAGGGGGAGGGAGGGAGAGAGGGAAGGAAGGAAGGGGAAAGAGAGAGAGAAAGCAAGAAGCAAGCAAGAAAGAAAAGGTTGTTTTCCCCAAAGGAAACAGGCTGCAGAGCTGTACCTCTGTTTACCACATAGTAGCTATAACCTGTCACCAGGTGGCACATTGTAGCTCCTGGGGCCACAGGTGACTCTGGTCAATACTAAAGCCAAAGGCCATTTAGTCCTTTGAAGTCTCAGAAGCATTCGATAGTGTCAGTCCTCCTTGAAAACCTGTCTTCCCGTGACTCTCTTGGTCCAATACTCTCCGGGTTCTCCTTCCACTCCTCCAGAGGCTTGTTCTCAGACGACTTCTGAGTTCCTCTTCCTCTCTCTGCCTCTCATGTTCCTCAGAGCTCTGATACCGACTCTCTCTCCTCTTCCCATTCTACTCTCTCCCTGAGCAGCACTGTCTACTCCCGTGGTTTCAGTTACCACCTCCATGCTAACCATGCTCACATTTTATCTCCAGCCTAGAACATTCACCTGAGCCCCAAGTCTGTAATTCCAATACCTCTATCTGTATATCCTGGGAGACATCAAGCTTAACATATCCATACTGGATGTCTTCCGTTTCCTCCTTCAGATCTGCTGTCCACCCTTCTCCAGCCTGCTCTGCTCCTCACATCAATGAGCTTCCCTGCTGTCCAGCTTCCAGACCCTCCCCAGTGTTCCCTGCTCAGTGAGTGCACCAACCTCATCCAGTGACACAGCCAGAAACTTGGGCAATCTCCTAGGCTCCTTAAGCTCTGTCATGTCCCTTAAGCATTGGTCACCAAATCCTTAGATCCTGCAGATCCATCCCCTTTCCCTATCCCCAGTGCTATTCTGCTGAAGCCTTCATAATTTTTTGGATGGTTTATTCCTCATCCTCCTACCTGGTCTCACTGTCTCCAGTCACAACTCCCTCCAACCATTCTCAGCGCTGCAGCCAGATAAGTTGCCTTCTCTTCATATTAACCGAGCATGAACTGTCGTGCACTGGGCTAGTTTCAGGGATTCAGAGACCAGTGAGAAACATGTTTTGCCATCAAGGAAACTATACTTGGAGATGGAAGTAGGGGTAGGGTAGCAAATAAAAGTAAAAGACATCCTGTTAAATTTGGATTTCAGGCCCTGCGTGGTGACTCATGCCTGTAATCCCAGCACTTTGGGAGGCTGAGGTGGGCGGATCATGAGGTCAAGAGAGTGAGACCACCCTAGCCAACATGGTAAAACCCGGTCTCTACTAAAAATATAAAAATTAGCTGGGCGTGGTGGCACGCACCTGTAGTCCCAGCTACTTGGGAGGCTGAGGCAGGAGAATCGCTTGAACCCGGGAGGCAGAGGTTGCAGTGAGCCAAGATTGTGCCACTGCACTCTAGCCTGGCGACAAAGTGAGACTCTGTCTCAAAAAAAAAAATGGATTTAAGGTAAACAATAAATACACCTTTTTTTTTTTTAGATAGGGTCTTGCTGTGTCCCTCGGGCTGGAGTGCAGTGGTGTGATCTCAGTTCACTGCAACCTCCACCTCCTGGGCTCAAGCGATCCTCTCACCTTAGCCTCCTAACTAGCTAAGACTACAGGTGCATTCTACCACGACTGGCTAATTTTTAAATTTTTTTAATTTTTATTTTTTTGGTAGAGATGGGCTCTTGCTATGTTACCCAGGCTGGTCTCGAACTCCTGAGTTCAAGAGATCCTCCCACATTGGCCTCCCAAAGTGCTCGGATTACAGGTGCGAGTCACCATGCCTGGCCTAAATACTTGTTTTCAGTATGTCCAATGCAATAATTGAGACATACTTATACAAAAAAATTGGCTGGGCGTGGTGGCTCACCCCTGTAATCCCAGCACTTTGGGAGGCTGAAACAGGTGGATCGCTAGCGCTCAGGAATTCAAGACCAGCCTGGGCAACATAGTGAAACCCTGTCTCTACCAAAAATACAAAAACTTAGCCAGGTGTGGTGACGTGCATCTGTGGTCCAGCTACTTGGGAGGCTGAGGTGGAAGGATTGCTTGAGCCCAAAATCGTACCACTGCACTCCAACCTGGGTGACAGAATAAGACTCTATCTCAAAAAAAAAAAAAAAAAAAAAAAAAGGCTGGGAGCAGTGGCTCACGCCTGTAATCCCAGCACTTTAGGAGGCCGAGGAGGGCAGATCACGAGGTCAGAAGATCGAGACCATCCTGGCTAACATGGTGAAACCCTGTCTCTACTAAAAATACAAAAAATTAGCTGGGCGTGGTGGTGGGCGCCTGTAGTCCCAGCTACTCAGGAGAATGGTGTGAACCTGGGAGGCAGAGCTTGCAGTGAGCTGAGATCGTGCCACTGCACTCCAGCCTAGGCGACAGAGTGAGACTCCATCTCAAAAAAAAAAAAATTGTTGTTTATCTCATATTCAAAATTAAATAGATGGCCAGGTGCGGTGGCTCATGCCTGTAATCCCAGCACTTTGGGAGGCCGAGGTGGGCGGATCACGAGGTCAAGAGTTTGAGACCAGCCTGGCCAATATGGTGAAACCCTGTCTCTACTAAAAATACAAAATTAGCCGGGGATGGTGGTGCACACCTGTAGTCCCAGTTACTCAGGAGGCAGAAGAATTGCTTGAACCTGGGAGGCAGAGGTTGCAGTGAGCCGTGACACTGAACTCTAGCCTGGGTGACAGAGCAAGACTCCATCTCAAAAAAAAAAAAAATAAATAAGTGTCCTGATTTTTTTCTGGCAACCCTAGGTAGGGGTAAACAAGTACCCCAGTAGAAGTATGACTGAGGTTATAGGTATGTGTGTCAAGGAGGGGGCAGATTCTACAATCACAAAGGAAGAGGAATCAGTTTTTTCCTGGATAGACGCAGAAGAGGAAAAGTCTTTGTGGAAAAGGTGGTATTTGAACTGAGTCTTGAAAAATGAGTTTGTTTGCACAGGGTGGATTATAGGGTGGATGAGAGGCATGGAACCCGAACTGGTTATTGCTGATTGCCTTTATTTCCTCTCACTTCTAAATGTACACTGTTCATTGTGGCCATGTCCTGTCCTGCACGGTGTGGTTCTCAGCCCTGGACAGGAATGGAGTGGAGAGGTGAGGGCCTCTTCCTTGGGCTCTCCATCTCAGCCTGAAGACTCTGCTAGTCCTATATTCTTTAGATTTTTATTTGTTTATTTATTTATTTATTTACTTCTTACTAGCCAGTTCATCACAGCTTCAATTCCCTGTTACACTTCAAAATGCTTATGTTGAACTTTCCCTGCCTGCTGACTGTGTGATGTCTCTCTCCTGATGGCATCCAGAATGACACAGAGCCTTCTCAACAGAGGAAGTAGCATGAACAAAGACAGGGAAGTGTGAAACAGCCTGGTGCGCTCCCAGGATTGCCAGCAACTTCAGGTGGACTTGGGGAGGGTCCTCATCAAGACAAAAGACTGGAGAGGTCACAAAGGGCTTTGAATGTTATACCGAGAAGCTCAGCCTTCGCTCTGAAAGGAGCCACTAAAGGGTTTTAAGTGGGCTTGGTTAGAGATGTGTTTCAGATGGATCACTTGCTACTGTGTCTAGTATGGATGGAAGAGGCAAGGTGGGTGCCAGCTAGAGCTGCCATAGTTAGAGCCGTTCAGGCAACAAGCACAGGTACCTTGAGTTAGGGCAGAAGCAAATGTGCAAGGACAGAAGAGATGTGAGGGACAATAAGAGAGGTGAGGGCTGGATGAGAGATGGTTTCCAGGTGTCTAGCTTGGGGGACTGGTACAGAACACAGGGGATGTAGTATTTTAGCATGTGATAGGGGTAAGATGTGGGGAAAATGTGAGTTCAGTTTTGTACATGTTCAACTTTGGGTGCCTGTGGCAACTTCAGAGGGCCAGGAGGCAGCTAAATATGCAGGTTTGAAACCCAGGACAGTCTGGGCTGGAGAAATCCAAGGAGTCACAGCTTGAAGCCAGGGGAGTGGTGAGATAATGAGGCATAAGACAAGAAGCGGAGACTAAGGAGGACCAACATTTAAGGAACAGGTGGAGGAACAGGGATGGGCCAGTGAAGGAAACCAAAAAGGAGTAGTCAGAGTGTCGGGAAAAACAAAACCAAACAGAAGAGCTGAGGGACTGGTCAATAGGGCCAGATGCAGCACAAAAATCAAGCTGCATCAGAACCGAAAACTGCCCGTTAGGTTTTCTTGCAACATGGTGGCCTAAGGACTTGGGCTAAACTTCCTCCTGAAAACAACTTTAAATACTAGACTCTATCTATCTTTAAAATTAAATGCATCCATAAGCTAGCAAAAATGTAAGAAACACACTGAGGCCAAAAAAGTAAATGAAAGCAAGAAGCTACAAAGGTAAGCAAAGCTCTGTCATTGGCTTTCATCTTGAGGGCAGTTGCCGAACCCAGAGAACCTGATCATTGGTTTTCAAGGGGTCTCTGGGCTTATGAGAAAGACAAAGCCCAGGGCCCCCTCACCATGGGGAGTCTATTTAGAAACTTCTCCATAAGGCCAGGACCTCAAAGGCCAGTGTATGCCTACACTGTGAAGGTGAATTAGAAAGAAACCTGCCCCTGTCTGACCTAACCTCTCTCCCTCAAACCAGGGGACTACAAAGAAAACTGCCTACATCCAACCTTGGTACTAAGAAAGGGGAATAATCTCCCCCTGAGAATTCTTTTTTTTCTTCTTCTTCTTTTTTTTTTTTTTTTGAGACAGAGTCTCGCTCTGTTGCCCAGGCTGGAGTGCAATGGCGCGATCTCAGCTCACTGCAACCTCCACCTTCCAGGTCCAAGAGATTCTCCTGCCTCAGCTTCCCAAGTAGCCGGGACTACAGGTGCCCGCCACCACACCAGGCTAACTTTTGTATTTTTAGTAGAGACAGGGTTTCACCGTGTTAGCCAGGCTGGTCTCGAACTCCTGACCTCGTGATCCACCCACCTCAGCCTCCCAAAGTGCTGGTGGCATGAGCCACTGCGCCCGGCCTCCCGCTGAGAATTCTTAACTGCAAGCAGGCAGTCGTCTGGTTTTGCAGACCAAATTCACATGATTTTGGTAGGCTGAAAAACTTCAAAGTGATCATTTAATTTGACATGAACATGGATTGGTAGTGGTTCCAGGTGACCAACAAAAGCTCCCTCTCCTCCTCTGCTGAGTTTTGGGATGTTCCCTCCTGAATCTGCAGACCTCTCCCAGGGTTGCCACAGGTTCTTGCCCCTATAGGTCTACACTTGTTCCTTAGAGAAGAAAGAGCCCTTCTGGCTCCCAAAGACTTATCTGCCACTTGGCTCTGAGCTATCCTGCACTAACATCCAAATCTCCTGGAGATCACCTTTGGTCTGGCCTCCGGAAATGCCCCCAACTCTCCCCAGGGCCTACTTCAGTCCATCTGTCCTAAATAGTGTTTGCAAAGGATGTTCAGGAGTCATTGCTGTGAGACTGGGCTTCTTTCTCTGCCAGATCCCTGGAACCTCCAGGGATGAGGAGGAGCCCTGGATGGGAAGCAGGAAGAAAACACATACTGACTAAGTTGTGGTCTCTGGGCTGAGCCCCCCACCCCTAAAACCCCTTAACTAAAATGAGTTTCAGAAGAAGCTAAGGTCTCATTGCTAGAAAGAGGCATAAACAGGTTTTGAACTCAGGACTAAGTCCAGAATTTGTGCATTTAAACCCCACTCCCAACACCATCTCCCCTGCCCACCACCACCTCCACCAGTGAAACCGCCAGCCAGCACCAGGCCCAAGGTATTTCACACCCTAGGCACAGGCCTGGAATCAGTTACTTTATTTTGGCTTTCTATTTCCTCCTTCCAAATGTCTCCTGCCTCTCTTTCTTCCTTCAATTTGTCTTTCATGTTGCAGATTTTTCTAAAATGCAAATGTAATCATCATTGCTCACTTGAAACCCCATCATGGTTTCATATTGCACTTAGGATAATGTCCAAACTCCTACAAGAATCTATTGCCACCAACTTGTCTTTCCAACCTCATCTCTGTTACTCATACCCTTCCCCTTCCCCACCCCACATATATTCTCTTAAAATGAATATAAATTACTTACTATTCTTTCTTTTCTTTTCTTTTTTTTTTTTAGACGGAGTCTCACTCTGTCGCCCAGGCTGGAGTGCAGTGGCGTGATCTCAGCTCACTGCAAGCTCCACCTCCCGTGTTCAAGCCATTCTCCTGCCTCAGCCTCCCGAATAGCTGGGACTACAGGTGCCTGCCACCATGCCCGGCTAATTTTTTGTATTTTTAGTAGAGACGGGGTTTCACCGTGTTAGCCAGGATGGTCTCGATCTCCTGACCTCGTGATCCGCCCGCCTCAGCCTCCCATAGTGCTGGGATTACAGGCGTGAGCCACCGCGCCCGGCCTACTTGCTATTCTTTATTGATGAAGACTTGCTGAATGACTTAGAGTCCTACTGGATTTTGCTTACCAGCTAAATGGGCCCCTCTCCTTCCCAGGCTCTCTATTCTTCAAGCTCAGATCAAGTTTCTCTTCTCAGGGAAGCCTTCATGGACCTTCTCAGGCCTCAGCAGCTGCTGCCAATGCCAGCTTCCAATGCCAGCTTCCTCCATTTGAACAAAACTACGGAGCTCTTTGCACTTTTAATTTTTTCCTCTTCCCTGCTAGGGTAGCTGGCAGGAGTTAATAAACAATAAAATACAACTGGAGGGGTGACAGGCAGGAACTACCGGGGCCTGTGGCAGACCAGATCTATGGCATGGTCTGCCACCCTGTCTGTGTGCCAGGGGCAAGATAAGCCTAACTTTCCCCAAGCTCGATTTCCTCATCTCATCTGAAAATGATGAATAAAAATATCCACCTCAGAGCTATTAAGAAAACTGAACCTAAGGTAAGCAAAGTCCTGCTCCTAGCACTTAAATGTAAGCTACTCTTACTCTAGTTACACATAAAGTTACTTCCAAAAACCTTACGAAATTCCCCGAGCACTGTCCATGGTATGTGGTTTCCCGGTTGCTTATTGGGTGGTCCCGAGAGCCTTCCTTTTTTCCTTCCTGAGGCGTGCCAAGTCCCCTCTCCTCTTCTCTGGGTGGTGCTGACGCCTTCTTCCCAGGCTGCACCTTTGCTGGGCCGGAGGATGCCCCCGGCAGCGGAGCGCCAGAGTGACCAGGCAACCTCCCCAGCCTCCACCCTCTAGCCCGGGCTCCCACCTCCGTCCTCCGGCCCCTCGAGTCACGTCGTCCTACTAAGGAGTTGGGCCGCAGCGCCCCGCGCCGGTCTGACCCGGAATGCCTGCTCGCCGCGGTAGGCCGAGGACAGGCGGGGCTCTGCAGGTCCCCAACCCACGTGCTCCCGGCCTCCTCCGCAGGGCGCCGCCTTCCGGCTAGGCGCAACACGGACTACATTTCCCAGGGTGAACAGCGGCGGGGCCTAGACTCGGCCGCGGCCTGGGGCGGCGAGCCGCTCCACCGCCTGCTCAGGGGAGTGCGAGCTGGCGCGAGGACAGGGCTAAGGACCCGGAATGAGTTTCCGCGCAGTTCCGCTGGGCCGTGCCGGCCTGTACCGGGCCGTGCCGAGCCAGAACTGGCAGGAGTGGGGGCCTGAGTTGGAGGTGCCGGGGACAGGCGCTCGGGGCAGCCCGCGCCTTGCCGAGGTCCCTGCCCCGTCCCGGCCGGCCTGGCTTGTCTTGTCAGTCACTGGGGCGGAGGCAGCGGCTGTAGCGGGGCTGTAGCCGGGCGTTGAGCACAGCGCGGGCCAGGCCGAACGGAAGGGACCTGCCACAGCCCCTCAACTCCACGGACTCTTCGCCCTAGACTAGCGGAGCTGCATCTCCGCGCTTCGTTGGACGCCTCCGTAACCACGAAGGGCTCTCTCTCTCCCGTGACCCTCCAGCCCCATGACCTGTTCATAGCAGCCGAGAGCTCACCCAGGCGGGGGTGTTGTGGGTACAGGCCATCGACCCTGTGACCCCTCAAGAGCCAGGGACTCGGTTTCCCCCGCAGGCCTCCCTCCCCTGTGACTCCCTCCACACAGATTCTGGGGACAGAGCTGTTACCTGCCACTAGGATCCCCGCCTGAGAGCTCCTCACTGACGGCTCCCTCCTCGGAGTCCCCTTCATTGGGTCTCCTAAGAGCACCAATTTTGGTCTCTGGCAAGCCTCCCACCCCCAAACGAGGTGGGGAGGCCTCGGCAGCCATGCCCGCCCTGGGCCCCCCCTCACCCCACCACTCCCTGGGCACCCAAGCCGGGGTCTAGCAGGGGGCCAGCAGCCAAGGGGCTGGGGCAGGAGACAGATCAGGGCCCACCTCCCTGCCAGGGAGGGAGCAAAGATGGAGCGGCGGGAGGAGCAGCCGGGGGCTGCAGGGGCTGGAGCAGCACCAGCCTTGGACTTCACTGTGGAGAACGTGGAGAAGGTATGAGGGCTCTGGGGTGGGCACTCCAGTGACAGAGCAGAAGTTCTGGGGACTGTCACTGATGGCAGAGCTCAGGCCTGGGCTGGGTGCCCGCTGGTATGGTGCCCCCAGAGCACCTGGCATTTGCTCTCTTTCTGGGCAGGCAGTATTGCAGTGCCCTAATGGGCTATTTTTGTCTTTCCTTACAGGCAGGTCCCCTGTGGATAGATACTCTAGGGTCTTGGGATGGTCCCTTCAGGGTGCTGTGACTTAGCCTTCCGTCCAGACTGGCTATGTTCCAGCTCCATGGGAACTGCATGAGCAGTGCAGTAGGAAACTGGGAACCCAGGAGACCTGCAGCTCAGTCTCCTGGAATTATACTGATGCCAAACCATCCTGGACCTGGTTTTGTTGAGCCAAGGGCTCAGAAAATAATCTGGAACTAAAACAATCTGGGTTGTTTTGACTCTTTGGAGAAGGGTCCTTCCTTTATTGGATGGAAGCCAGACCAGTCCTGAGCAGGCAGGCCTGGGGCTGTCTCCCTTTGTTTTGTGCTGAGTCCAAGGGTCCTGGCCCTGCTGGGAGCCTTACAGGGCTCCTCCCTACTCGCCTGCCCACATAGCTCCCTGCCATGGCCCTCCCAGGCTCCCCGACTGCCCAGCCCATCTTTCTGAACTGCCTCTTTGGTTCTTTTCTGTATCTGCTCCCTACAACTTGAAATGCAGGAATGCATGCACCCTGGGATGAATGGGGAGATGGGGCTCCCTTACTTGAAAGCAGGGAATGATGTTCACTTGTTATCCTTAACCCCCGTTTGCCATAACAAACAATGAGGATGCATCTCTTCTGCCTGCTTTGGCGTCCCTGAGGGGCCAAACAAGGGCCAATGGCCATAACTGGCTGTCAGGGGTACAAATAGAGCTAAGCTTACTTGGATGGAGCCTGCTTAGGGGTCAGGGTCCTGGCCATACTCTTCCGCCCCTTGGAGCAGGGCAGTGTTGGCATGGTGGCGCACTGTTCCATGTGCTATTGGGAGATAAATCTCACTGTTTTCTTACTTCATAAAGTCCCGTTGGAATTGAGACCCCGGGGATTCTGCTAGTGGAGAGCACTAAGCTAGGTGTTTGCCAGGGCTGCAGCTATGGCCAAGGCTTCTCTGGATCAATTGGTTGGACATGTGCCCTCTGAGGAGTGTTCTCACCCTCTCCTCCAGCATGTCTGCCCCAGGGCTGCCTGGCAAAAGTCTTAGTCCTGCTCTGATTTCACACTGGCTTTGGTGCCAGCATCTGGACTGACCTAGGGATGATCCTGGGGGAGCTGAAAGGAGCTGTTGGAGTTGATGGGAGCAGCTGTGCCTGGGAGGGTCAAGTCCCCTCAAGCTGTTCCATGCCCTTCTCAGACTTAGCTTCATCCCTGTGAAGCTGTTCCTTCCACCTGGGCCTTGCCCTCAAGTGCCTCCCCTTTGGGGAGATCAGCCTCCTCTTTTTTGCTTTCCTGTGGAGATTCCCTCTCTGAACCCATAATGTTTTGCTGTAAGGAGAAGAGGATATGGTAGAGCATGGGCAAGGTTCAGGCTCTCAAGATATCAGCAGGACCCCAGGCCCAGGAAACACTGCAGAGCGCTGAGCTCTCCCTGCTCAGCCCCCCAGTCAGGGAGAGGGAGCAGCCTTGCAGGACCAAGTCACGCCTCTGTTCTGGGCTCTGGCAGGATCCAGAGTGGCCAGCACCTGCTCAGTCCTGTGCTGTCCTGCAGGCGCTGCACCAGCTCTACTATGATCCCAACATTGAGAATAAGAACCTGGCTCAGAAGTGGCTGATGCAGGCCCAGGTCTCCCCACAGGCCTGGCACTTCAGCTGGCAGCTACTGCAGCCCGACAAGGTACCAGAGATCCAGTACTTTGGGGCCAGTGCTCTTCACATCAAGATCTCTCGCTACTGGAGTGACATCCCCACTGACCAGTATGAAAGCCTAAAGGCACAGCTCTTCACCCAGATCACCCGCTTTGCCAGTGGCTCCAAGATTGTACTGACTCGGCTGTGCGTGGCACTGGCCTCACTGGCTCTCAGCATGATGCCTGACGCTTGGCCATGTGCTGTGGCAGATATGGTACGACTCTTCCAGGCTGAGGACTCACCAGTGGATGGGCAGGGCCGCTGCCTAGCCCTGTTAGAGCTGCTGACAGTGCTGCCTGAGGAGTTCCAGACCAGTCGCCTACCCCAGTACCGCAAAGGCCTGGTGCGGACCAGCCTGGCGGTGGAATGTGGGGCTGTCTTCCCGCTGCTGGAGCAGCTGCTACAGCAGCCCAGCTCACCCAGCTGTGTGCGTCAGAAGGTGCTCAAGTGTTTCTCCAGCTGGGTGCAGCTGGAGGTGCCGCTGCAGGACTGTGAGGCGCTCATTCAGGCTGCCTTTGCTGCTCTGCAGGACTCGGAGCTCTTCGACAGCAGTGTGGAGGCCATTGTGAATGCCATCTCACAGCCTGATGCCCAGAGGTGAGCTAGTACCCACTCACCCAGAAGACAACCTCTTTGGCCAGCCACACATCCATCCATCCATCTGTTCAATAAACATTAATTGAATGTGTACTGATACCTGGTCCTATGCTGGAGATACAGCAAGGAACCAAAGAAGACATGGTCCCTGTCCTCATGGTTCAGACAGGGAGGCAGACATTAAACAACTAATTATCAGTTATTCAATTAAAATATTTGACTCTCTTTTCCTTCTCTCAACTAGTCACCAAGTCCTGGCTGTTCCCCTCCTGACCATATTGCAAATCTATTTTTTTCCATTTCCATTGCTACCACCTTAGTCCAAGCTGTCATCATCTCTCTCCCCAGATTACTGTAGAGCTTGTCCTCACTCTTGTACCCTTCATTGTCCCAGCAGCCACAGTGATCTTTTGAAAATGGGGATCTAATCTTTCTGATCAGAAGCTTTCAGTGGCTTCTCAATGCTCTTAGGTTAAAGCTCAGAATCCTTAATGTGACTCATAATGGTGCTGCACAGTATGGCATCACTGGCCTCATCTCATGCTACTCTCCTTGCTCTCTACACGCTCACACAGTTTCTTTAATTCCTTGAATGTCCCATGTTCCTTTCAGCCTCTGGCTCATTACATATACTTGACACCTTGCCTCAGCTTAAACTTCATTTCCATAGGGAAGTCCTCCATGGATTCTTAAGGCTAAGTTTGATCTTCTCTCTTATATTACCTCAGAGCTCCCAGTATTTTTCCTTCTTAGCCCATAACATGATTTCTCTCACCTCTGTGAGGACAGGGACTCTGTCATTTTACTTTGTCGCATTGTGCTCGGCACATGGTAGCATTTGATATTTTGTGAATGGAGGAAAGTAGGAGTTGCCTGAGTTGGGAGGGGTGGGGCTGGAAGGGATTGGGGGAGGAAGGTGGATTGTTCTAGGCTTTAGGAACCACAGCATGTGCAAAGACTTGTGGGCAGCATCATGATATATTCAAGGGCCCTAAAGAAGTGAGTGTAGTGAAGTGTTTGGCAAATGTTCATTGAGCATGTCCTGTTTTGGGCCCTGTGCTGAGCTCTGGGAGCACAGAGACAAATGCTTTAGCTTCAGTCTCAGGAGCTCACAGTCTAGTGGACACATGAGTGGCAAGTACAATCAACATGATGAATCCTCTGATGGAGAACGCAGGGGCCTTGAAGAACCCAGAGGAGGCTTTCACTGAGTCTGAGGGCTGTGAAAGGATTCGCAGAGGAAGTGACAACCCAGCTGTGTAAGAGTTAGCCAGATGGAAGTGATGGATGGGGAGGACATTCCAGCCCAAGCAAGGGAAGGGTGAAAGCCCAGAGGGTCTGGTGATCTGTAAATCATTAGATGTGATTAGACAGCAAGATTTAAGGGCCAGAGGTATAGGAGACCTGGGCCCAGATCATGCAGGACCTTGGCCAAGTTTAAGATTTTGATCTTCATCCTGAAGACGATATAAAGATATTAAAGGATTATAAGCAGAGAAAATGGCCTACTGAGACTTTTGGTATGAGCTGGATTAGAAGAAGTGAGACTGGAGGTCCTGATGCTGACATTTCAGAGATGGGGCTTTGGGACCTTTGGCAGAATTGGAAGGGAAAACCATTGAAAGAGACTTCATGGAAGAGTGGCTGATGACTCAAGCCTTGGCATTAGTCACATCTAAGTTTGAATCCCAGATGGTTCACTTATTAGATCTGAAATCTTGGATCAGCCATTCCTAAGGCTCCGTTTCCTCATCAATAAAATGGGGATGATCATATCAACCCCACAGAGTTGAAAAGGTTTAAACAGGATAATGTGCACAAGTCCTGCCCCTGGTGTTCGGTAGAGAATATTTTGACTCCTTGAGTAATGGGAGTTCTTTTGTGGTCTCTGCTAGGGTTGGGATGGTCAGTAGCATGCATTTGTACCTTTGGGTTATTGATACGTTACATGTTTTAAAATGGGAACTGTGTGTATATGTTCTACCTTTATACTTTATGTGATCAGTTAATGGTAATTGTTTATTTATTTATTTTGAGACAGAGTCTCACTCTGTCACCCAGGCTGGTGTGCAGTGGCACAATCTCGGCTCACTGCAACCTCCGCCTCCCGGGTTCAAGCGATTCTCTTGCCTCAGCCTCCAGAATAGCTGGGATTACAGGCGTGCATCACCACGCCCAGCTAATTTTTGTATTTTTAGTAGAAACGGGGTTTTGCCATGTTGGTCAGGCTGGTCTTGAACTCCTAACCTCAGGTGATCCATCTGCCTCCGCCTCCCAAAGTGCTGGGATTACAGGTATGAGCCACCATGCCTGGCCAACTGTTCATTTTTTTAAAGAGAAACATAGTTACTATTAAATGGATTAAGGCTGTTTACTTTTAGTACTGGTCATAAGAAGTAGAACTGGAATCATGCAATAGAAAGTGGGCCTAGTTGTTCAGTGGCTAAATTTGAAAAGGAGTTGGTTTCCTATATATATATGTGTGTGTATACATACATATATTTATATGTATATGATACACACACACACATAGATAATGTGCTTAATCACTGCCTTTTGAAACTTTAAATAAAATATTGGGTTGATTTTAAAAAATAAAAGATTGTTTCGGTATGAGGATTAAATAAGAGAATGTGAAGCTTTTAGCATGGTTCCTATATACTCTGTAAACGGCAGTTGCCAGTATTTGGTTTCATTATTGTGTTGGGAGTTATTATGATACTTATCCCCTGGCTTCCCAGGCTTTCCAGCTTAAGGTGGATACCTAATCCCAGATCTCTTGGCAGCCTGAAGCTCAAGTGCTGGGTGGGCTCTGACAGTTGGTGACTAAGGGAAACAGATCAGGGCAAGTGTGTGGGTGATGTGAGGTGTCCTTGGATACACCCAAGTTTACCCGCCCAGCCAGTCTCAAGGGCTTTGGCAGGTAATTGATGCCCCTTCTCCTCTGAACGAATGAGCGAGCAAGGAGCCAGTGAGGTAACCCACAGCCTCCTTGGTGCCCATTGGCTGCAGCCCCTTGGTTGCTTAGCAACTCTCCCCATTTTCTCAGCTCTGCTCCTGAAGCAAAGCTCTAATTGCAGGTCTGGGCTGAGCTCCGTGTGAGCAGCAGCAGAGGAGTCCCAGCAGCCCTGCCTCGGCTACTTGAACTGACCGATTGGAGCCAGGCCTCTTGAACCCAGCCTCAGCTGTGGTCATAAAGACATCCTCCCTGTCTCCTTCCCCCAAACCTAGAAACCTCTGGGACCTCAGACTTGTTCTTCTGTCCACTCACAGGTCGCAGACACAGGTGCTCAGGTGGTAGGAAATTTATGCAAGAACTTCTTCCCATGGGTGAGCTGCATCCAGCCCAGAATCCGAGCCTGGCCCTTGCTCTCCCCAGTCTAATTTCCCAGCTTTGGCTTGTGAAAGTCACCTTCAGTGACTTTGACTCCTGGGTCATCCAGGCACGCCTTCCCCAGGTGTCCTGACATTGGCCCTCCCCTTGGCTGAGCTTGCACTCAAGTCACCCTTTTCCTGCCCCTCCACAGCTGCTGCTGCTTCCTGGCTCTCTCCTTTGAAATGTATTTTTTTTTCCTGAACTATGTTTTTAATGCTGGAAAAGCTTGTCCTTGGGAGTTGGGGATGGAGGGAAAGTGAATTAGGCAGGCTCTTGGGGGCTCCCATCAGTTAGGACTGGAGATATGGGCTGAGACGTACATAAATCCTTTGGGGAAATTCTGGTTGGGCCCTGAAAGAAAAGCAGACCTGTAGCAGTTTAAGGGGCAGTTTCAACCTGGATTCTGCTTCTAAGTTGTTGTATGACCTTGAGTGATATGATACTCTGAGCTCTTTGAGGCTGTATTATCCTTGATTTGTCCTATTTTGAGGCTCAGATGAGACAAATGAAGAACATTTGCCGAGTACCCTGCCATCTGCATGAACTTTGGCAGGTGGAGGAAGGAGTCTTAGAATACAGTGGGGAGCTATGGGAGTAGAGCGCTACCTCCTGCACCCATCTCAGCTGCTGAGGAGCTTGTGGGCCATAGCCTTGGCCCTGCCCCTTCTCTTTGTGCCAGAGTCTGGCCTGAAAATGCCCATTGTCTGGTGGTGCAGCCCGTGTCAGGGTCAGGAGACTGAAGCTATCCCGGCTGTCTCCAGGCAGCACCCCCTGGGGCTGTCTCTGGGCTGGGGATATCCTGGCATGGGTGACTTTTCCTACCAGAATGGGGATGTGGAGAAGGAGGCCGATGTCCCTAGGCTGGTTGCCTCTTTTTGTCCTTCTCATCCTCCCACCAAGGATATGAGGCTACTGCCTAGCAACCTGCTTGGGGCAAGTCCAGATAGAACTCCCTCTGGGATCCTCAGTCCCCAACTCCCTAACATAGATTGCTATGGTGACACTATGATTGACAACAGAGGGGTCCCAAGCATCTGATCCCCGCTATTAGAGTGTGGCTTCCTCTGCTTAGTCTCATCTCCACAGACCAAGGTGCTGGAGAGGGATCCAGTGGGCTGAGCCAGGCTTCTCTCAGTCCCCTTTGTATACTGGGCTGTCTGTCCTTCTCCTTTAGAGATCATTGTGTTTCAGGGCTGTGATCTGGACCCTCTTATTTTTTTCTCATTCAACACTTTCTCCTTGGGCAATTCTCATCTATTCCCATAACTTCAATTACCAGCTGTTAGCTGATGACTCTCAAATCTATGGCTTTTGCTCTAACCTCTATGCTGGGCTTCAGGCTTTTATATCCAACTCTTTCTAGATGCTTCTGCCTGCATAACCTATCAGGTGTCTCTGAATCAACTTGTCTAAGACTGAGCTTATCACCTTCCACCTCCCATTAAAGGTGTTACTGTTCCCCGCTACTCACCCCACAGGTCTCAGTAAATAGCTCCACCGTCTACTTAGTTGTTTAGCCAGTGACCTGAGAGGTGTCTTTATTCTTCTCCTTCCTCATATCCAGTCAGTCATCAAGTCCTGTCTGTTTTGCCTCTTAGCTCTCTCTGAGTTCATTGTCTACTTCTCTTCCTCCCTGCTGCCACCACACTCCTCAAGAGTTGGGATTTGGTGGTAGAGGGTGGAGCGGATGGCAGGGATTGATGCTCTCATGAGCTGTTGCTGCCTTCCAAAGTCTTTTTTTTTTTTTTAAATCAGGGCTTATGAGCCTGTGTTTACTCTTCTGTATCCCACTCTTGTTCAATCACCCCTGACAGACTGTATTAGTTTCCTAGGGCTACCATAACATAGTACCACAAACTAGGTGGCTTTAAAGCCAAACAGAAATTAACTGTCTCACAATTGTGAAGGATAGAAGTCTGAAATCAAGGTGTTGGCAAGGCTGTGCTCCCTCTGAAACCTGTAGGAGACTCCGTCCTTGCCTCTTCCTAGCTCTGTGGTTTGCTGGCGGTCTTCAGTGTTCCCTGGCTTCCAGCTGGATCACTCCACTCTCTACTTTCATCCTCACGTGGCATTCTCCCTGTATGTCTCTGTCTTCACATAGATATCTTCTTATAAGGACACCAGTCATATTGGAGTTCAGGTCCATCCTACTCCAGTATAACCTCATCTGCAATTATCTTATTTCCAAATAAGATCACATTTTGAGGTACTGGGGATTAAGATTTATCAAAAAATGTATCTTTTTGTGGGGACTTAATTTGACCCATGACAGTCTGCCCTCTGGTGCCCCAAACTTCATGTTATCCCCACATGCAAAATATATTCACTTCATCTCAATCTCCCCAAAAGTTGTAACCTAGCTGGATGTGGTGGCTCCACCTGTAATCCCAGCTACTCTGGAGGCTGAGCAGGAGGCTGAGTCTCTTGAGCTCAGGAGTTCGAGACCAGCCTGGGTAACACAGCAAAACCCCATCTCAAAAAAAAAAAAAAAAAAAAAATCTTAACCCATTCCGGAATCAGCTCTCAGTCCAACTGGAGAACACAATTCAACCCATAATGCTGACCTTCTCATACGTCCTTCTCAGAGTTCTTCTGGGGGTCCCTGATCTAAGGTTCTTCCCAACATTGGGAACATCAAATCTGCCATGTAGACCCTGACCCTTTTTTTGCTTAGGATTTGATAAGGGAAGGGGAGCTTTGATGGAAGACAAGGAGATTATGCCTTTCTCTTAAAGCCAGTGTGGGGTTGAGCAGAGAGCTCTGATGGATTTTCTCACCTCATGCCTCTAGGTACGTGAACACACTCCTGAAACTCATCCCGCTGGTGCTGGGTCTGCAGGAACAACTGCGGCAGGCAGTGCAGAATGGGGACATGGAGACCTCCCATGGCATCTGTCGCATCGCTGTGGCCCTGGGCGAGAACCACTCCCGGTAAAGGGTGGAGCAGCTTGGGGTGGGATAGTAGGGCCCTCTAAGAAATGGGGTTCTGGAAGTCCCTGGAAAGGTAGAATGACCTGACTCTCTCCCCAGGGCCTTGCTGGACCAAGTAGAGCACTGGCAGAGTTTCCTGGCACTCGTCAACATGATTATGTTCTGCACAGGCATCCCTGGCCACTATCCTGTCAATGAGACCACCAGCTCCCTAACCCTCACCTTCTGGTACACACTGCAGGTGTGTCTGTGTGACCTCCAGTAGGACTGGGCTGTGGTGGAAGAAGGTGGATCATGGGCTTCTATGACTGCTGGTGAGGTGGCTAATTCTCTTCCCTGGCTCTCTCAGGATGATATTCTATCCTTTGAGGCAGAGAAGCAGGCTGTATACCAGCAGGTGTACCGGCCAGTCTACTTCCAGCTGGTGGATGTGCTTCTGCACAAGGCCCAGTTCCCTTCTGATGAGGAATATGGATTCTGGTCCTCAGACGAGAAGGAGCAGTTCCGAATTTACAGGTGATGGTAGCAGGCCAACTCCTCTAAAATGGAGTCCAGAAATAATGAAGGCAATGAGGGAAGGGGCCCAAGTCCAGGCTTTCTGAATTTTGGTGCTCCTTTCTGTTTTCTAGGTATTGTTGCAGAGTTGTGGGGGTACTGGGGTAGGCTCCTGGGCTTGGGGGCAGGATCCAGGGTCAGGATCCAGGCAGTATAAAAGGCCTTCATCTGCTTCTCAGGGTGGACATCTCAGACACGCTCATGTATGTCTATGAGATGTTGGGGGCCGAGCTGCTCAGCAACCTCTATGACAAGCTGGGTCGTTTGCTCACCAGCTCAGAGGAGCCCTACTCCTGGCAGGTACCTCCCAAGCCTGATTCCCTCAGCCTTCCCAGACCTGTCACACCCTCCTCCTCATCCAAGCCAGTGGCACCCTCTTTCCCCAGCACACAGAGGCCCTCCTCTACGGCTTCCAATCCATCGCAGAGACCATTGACGTCAACTATTCTGATGTGGTGCCTGGGCTCATTGGCCTCATCCCACGGATCAGCATCAGCAACGTGCAGCTGGCAGACACTGTCATGTTCACCATTGGTGAGACCTGGCACACACCCATGACCATATTCCCAGAGCCACAGCACCCAACCCTGGCCACAGCCAGCATGCTGGATCCTATCCAGAATGGGAGAGCCACATGCCTACACACAATCAGTGTTGTAACAAACTGACTGTCCTGGCAGGTCTAGGGGGTCCATCTGATGGCACACTGAGCTGCAATTCAGTGAGGCTAGTTTACCGTCAGTGAAACAGCAGTACTGGGCCTCTGTTGAGTAACCCCTTCCTGCTTCTCAGCTGTAAGGCTCATGTTTGAGCATGCACATGCATATGTCCTCTGAATGGGGCAGTACTCTGTGCTGGGGCTGCAACTTGACCCTGCCAGGAACTCTGCTTGCCTCAGAGACATGGTACAAAGCCAGCCTGGCCTGCCTCAAAGATCCTCCTGTCTCCCTCCTTCCTCCAGGAGCTCTGTCTGAATGGCTGGCTGACCACCCCGTCATGATCAACAGTGTTCTGCCCTTGGTACTGCATGCCCTAGGCAATCCTGAGCTGTCTGTCTCTTCTGTGTCCACCCTCAAGAAGATCTGCCGAGAGTGCAAGTATGACCTGCCTCCCTATGCTGCCAACATTGTGGCTGTGTCCCAGGTATGCAGGGGCCCTGGATGGTGCTGGGCCTCAGAGCACACTCTGCACTGTGCTGATACTACATTCCTTCTTTCTCCCCTCAGGATGTGCTGATGAAACAGATCCACAAGGTGCGGCTCAAAAGTTTCTAGGGGTCTCCTTGGAGGTCTTGTGGGAATCACTTATCCCTGAAATCCTGTTTTTTGGCCTTCCCCTTCCTCTTATCCCTTATTCTCTGTTTTTCTTCTCCCAAGAGGCTCATTTTCCTTCCTACCCCACAACTAGATGTGGCCAGGACTGACCATCCATGTTCTGCCCCACAGACAAGCCAGTGCATGTGGCTGATGCAGGCGCTGGGCTTCCTGCTGTCAGCTCTTCAAGTGGAGGAGATCCTTAAGAACCTGCACTCGCTTATCTCACCCTATATCCAGCAACTGGAGAAGCTGGCAGAGGAGATAGTGAGTGAGCTCTGGGGGCCAGGGAGCGGTACTGAGATGCTGTGGCTGATGAGGGGTGAGGTTGGAGCTGGCCCTCAGAGCTGAGGCTCAGTGATCTGGGGACCAAACTGGGGCTGGGAGATCTGGAGCTTGGTTTGCTTCTCCCTGCAGCCCAATCCCTCCAACAAGCTGGCCATTGTTCACATCTTGGGGCTTCTCTCCAACCTCTTCACCACACTGGACATCAGTCATCATGAGGATGATCATGAAGGCCCTGAGCTTCGGAAGCTGCCAGTGCCACAGGGACCCAACCCCGTGGGTGACATTTGCCCACGGCAAAGACATTTGTCTTTGCCATCCCCCCAACCCCCACCTGTGGGAATGTCATTGTCACTCTTCAATTCTGTGGGTAATGTTGTCATTGTTCTCCCTGCCCCGTGGGCGTGATATATTTGGTCCTCTGACTCCATGAATGACCTATAATTGCCTCACTCTGTAGGCAGCAATGTCATTATCTCACTCAGCTCTGTGTGTGATGTTGTCCTTGTCCCCAGCCCAATTAGGGTGATGTCATTGAGATTCCTCAGCCCCATGAGGGACATTGACGTTATATCCTTCAACCCTTAAGTGATTTTATGGGCCCCTGTTCAACCCCTAGCTCTGTAGGGCCTTCTACTTCAACATTTACTGTCCCCTGTGGGCACTAAGGATGCTCATTACCTCCTCCGCATGTAATAGTTCTGGCCTTCAAGTTGCTCCCAGTGTAGAGGAAATTCAGGTTGCTCAAATTGTCACAAAGCAGTGTGATAAGTCCTGTGGTAAGCTTGGGCATAGGTTTTGGGGTGACCACTTACAAGCTGCTTGATCTGGGGCAAGCCTCAGCTTCCCATTAAAAACTATGAACATTGAAATGTCTGGCTTACTCAATTCATAGAACTGTGCTGGATAGTAGATGTGGTCTTAAGTGAAGGTAGTTTGCATATTGTAAAGTTCTTTACAAATATAAGGGACTGCTTTAGTCGTTGTTCCCAGAACTCCCTCCCAGATTTCTCCAGGAGAAAAGGAAGCCATAGGCATCCTGGCCTCTCTGCTTAACTCCCCAACCCAGTTTCAGTTAGCCTCTTGGCTTTAGACCACCCCTGGGCCACTGTCATCCCACAGAGCTGCTTCTTTACATGGTAGTCATCATCCTGCCTTTCCTCACCTCCCAGGACCTCAGTCTGCTCTCTGCTCCTCCATAAGCTGGGAGAGCAGCTTAAGCCTGCATCTGTGCATTCCTTGGGGCTCCCTACCTCAAGCCTATTTGGAGGAGATAGCATCTCCACTTCTTCAGAGGCTAGCCCATAGCCTTGGTTTTACAGAGCAGAGATAGGGAGAGATTTTTTTTTAAGTTTACAAAGTTTTTGTAACCTTATGAAGCACTTGTGATATCTCTGCTTTGCAGTTTGAGGCTTCCTTTGAGATGATCCCTAGAATTCAGGAAATACTCCTTTTTCATTCATGAGAGAGTTCAGCAAACCACTTCTTCCCCCAGGGGTCCCATGCCCTGGGTCCTCAATGTGTGTTCTGGGGTAATAGGTCTGAACTGCTCCCCTCCTCCCTGCCACCAAGTCCTCCTCAAGTGGGTCACAGTGATGGATAGCAGAAGCGCCTCACTTCTTCCTGTGCCTTCAGGTGGTGGTGGTGCTGCAGCAGGTCTTCCAGCTTATCCAGAAGGTGCTGAGCAAATGGTTGAATGATGCCCAGGTTGTGGAGGTGAGCCCTGACCCTTGCCCTCCGCTCCCATAGTGACTGCTCAGAGGTGTAGCAGGGTAAGATGTTACTGCCACACTTCAGCTTACAATGGTTTGGAGAAAACAAGGGAGGTGAATCCTGCCCCATAGAGATAAGGAATCTTTTGGGAAGACATTTAGAACTCCCCAATATCATGAGAAGTGCTTAACGTAAGGACTCTAATATTAGGGTCGAGTGACAGTCAGGCATCTGTTTTAGCACCAAAGACCTGCCTTTGGTCCCTTTTCAATTCAGGTTTTTGTTGCTGTTGCTGCTCCCTGAGAGGAAATGTTAGAGATGTAAGTCGCAGGAGTTAAGTTCCACAGTTACATCCTGTGCCCCTCAGTGAAGGGCCTTTGCCCCCTGCCTTTCAGGGTGAGGGTCAGACTTGCTTACCTTCCTTGGTTTGCAGGGCCAGGCAAGGCTTATAGGTAAGGGCCCAATCGTAGGCCCCCTCTGTGCAGGGCTTCAGCGCTGTTCCAGCCAGTCATGACCTGCTGACCAGGGCCCCTTTGCTTTCTTCCCAAGGCGGTGTGCGCTATCTTTGAGAAGTCTGTTAAGACGCTGCTGGATGACTTTGCCCCCATGGTGCCACAGCTGTGTGAGATGCTGGGTCGGATGTACAGCACCATCCCCCAGGCCTCTGCTCTTGACCTCACTCGACAGGTGGGCCTTCTGGTTGGGGCAGAGATCCTGACCCTGGGTGGGGGTGGGTCAGATGGCTGCCGTGGCTGGGGTCCCCACTTGCATTCCAGGGATATTGCCATGTCCTGGTGAGACTGGGTCTCAGCTGACCAGCATTCCCTGCTTTCTCGTAGCTGGTCCACATCTTTGCTCATGAGCCTGCCCACTTTCCCCCAATTGAGGCCCTCTTCCTGCTCGTCACCTCCGTCACACTCACTCTCTTCCAGCAAGGTAGGTCCTGACCGGGGTCTCTGCTGCTGCTGCCACTGCCACTGCCTCTGCTTCCCCAAATGGGGAGCCAAAGCTGCCCACTCTGTTCTTCTCTGTCCCCTGAGTCACACGTGGGACTTGATGGGAAACCTGTGAGATCAAGCACAACACCTTATAAATAGTTGAAACTTTAGGTTGAAGTGGATAAGAGGGTGAATGATGTCTTCTGCTGGCCTGCTGGGCTCAGGGCCAGTCTGGATATGGAAGAAGGAAGTGGGGGTGGGAGGTGGGCAGAGGCTCTGAGGGGCTTGGGGCACTAGGCTGGCTCCTTTACTTTGGGATATAATGAAAAGTGGAAAGAGCACGGGCTTTTGAAGTCAGCTAGACCTAGATTCTAAGTTCATCACCACCAACTAGTTGTGTGTCCTTGGGCAAGTCACTTACCTTTGCTGGGCCTTCATTTCCATATCTGTGAAACGGAGATAACATATACTTGAAATGATTGTTTACAGGTATTAAAGTCACATCTTCTGGGCCCTTGGCTCAGGGGCTTTTGCACAGTGAAGTACTCAGAGACTGTTGGTTCCTTTCCCTGCATCAAGGCTTAGTACTTTCTAGGCCAGAAGTCAAGTACCTTTGGCTGTGGTCCTAGCCCTCTACTCACTGTGGCCCTTTGCCTGAGAGAGTTGGCAGCAGGGGCTTCATTCAGGCTTCTCGTGTTGTCTAATCCAGGCTTCCAGTTTGGAGAAACAAAAACAAAAAAACAGCACTGCTCAGCTAGCCTCATGAGCCTTGCCTGGATTCATGGTCACAGGTTTGAGGCTCACCAGGGGTCTCGGTTGGTGCCCAGAGTACTCGCAGCTCATATCCTCAGTGCCTGGTCTCATGATCCTGGCCTCTGTTTCTGTGGGCCATGGAGTAGGTCCAAACTGGGGAGAAAACTGAACCAGAAACCTGGTGTGGTCATCCTCAACTCCACCTCTCCCAACTCCCTGTACCCAATCTGGGACAAGCCCCATTGATCCTGACTCCTGATTCTCTCTCGGTTGGTCCACTTCTACCCACCTCCGTGGCCACTGCCTCAGTTTAGGGTCTCACCTGGATTATCAGCAACCTTCTAGTGGGTTTTCTTGGCATCTCCCCTTCTCTCCAATCTGTTCTGCACACTGCAGCTATAATCTTCATAAAAACACAAATCTGAGCATTTGTCATCCCGGGCTTAAAACCCTTTCATTGTTCCCATTGCCCTCAGCTTATTGTTCCATTCCCACCCACATGACAAGGCTCTGGCATGCCTCTAATGTCCTCTCCTGCCAATGTCCTCATGACTCCAACATTTCAGCCACACTGCCTCTTCCTTACCGTGTCCCATTTGATCCCTGTGCCTTGCTCCTCTGACTGGAATGTCCTATGCCCTTTACTGGGTGAACTCTCACTCCTTCATGCCTTAGAAAGGAGGAAGACTGCATCACTTCTCAGAGTAATTTCTCTCTGAGGCAGAATTGGGTGCTTCTAACTGTACTGAAACTGCATCCCATACACACTGCTGACACAGCACTGATCACACACAATAATCAGCTTTCATGTCTGTCTCTCTTACTAGACTTAAGCCCCTCAAGGGTAGGGTTGAGTTTCTTCTCTCTGCATCCCCAGTGCCCAGAATGAGGCCAGAATACAGCAGGCCACAGACACTGTTAAATAAAGGAGGGGGAGGGCTCCCTGCCCTTGGAACCTTTCCTTCTCATTTTCTGGCCCACCTCTAGCAGGGTGGCTGCTGAATATCAAACCTGCATGGTGCACACTGGGCCTCACTTTCTAGGACTTAAATAACTCAGGGTTCAGATACCAAAGGGACAGACTTTATTGGTGACTCTTCATAGCCTAGAGAAGGAAGCAGGGCAGAGATTATCTGCTTTACAGATGGGGAAACTGAGCATTTGTGGCTTGCGCAAGATCACACAGCTACTTAGTGGTGTCTTAGGCAGATGGTTTTGTACCACATCCTCCTGAGAGTGGAGAAGCCTGGGTAGGAGCTCCAGGTGCATGCCATATTCTTGCCTCAGGAATGATCAGAACTGGAGGCAGCAGTGTCCAACATCATATACGTTGGGCTTGTTGGTTGTCTCGCTGGACAGGATGGCTCCCATACCTGTTATGCCATCCCAATCTTAGCCATTCCTTCCTCGGGCTCTGCCTTCCCACTGGACCATAGGATGACATGTTTCTTGTTTCCCTGTTTCTTGGCATGTCCAGATGATGGGAACTAGTCCTCAGCCCTGAGCTTGGCTCTCTGCAGAGTCCATGTCCATGTGGAGGAGGTTTGCTGGGGTGGGGCTCTTGTTTTTGGCCTTATGATACTGTTTCCTCCTCTGGGCCCTGCCAGTGACTTGCCAGGCCATCTCCAGAGCATGCTGGGCACTGCCCTACCTAAGCAAGAGTCCTGTGGTTTAAGTGGACTGAATAGATTATTTTCCTTTGCCAGACCAAGAGCCCTAAGGCCATTGAAGTGAGGTGGCACTTACTCAGGCTCTGATGCCCTGGCCTTTCTAGGGCCCTCAGATAAACCTCAAAAGGAGATACCAAGGACTGACTCCCCCACCCCCCCACCGCCATCCCAGCTTTCCTCTTCAATGACTGGCTGATGGGAGGTATGTGCTAGGAGCAGTGTAGGGCTACCCCAACCTGCCAGAGGCCACAGTAAGTGTGGTGGCCGTTTCTTCAGCTATATGGAGTCCAGAATTGCTCAAGTACCAAGGGAACATGAGGGGATGGCCTGAGGAGGAGTGGGGAGTAGGCGGAAGGCCCCTTGGAGGGAGCTGGGGCAGGCCCGTCCTTCACTTTGCCGTCTCTTTCTGTTGGGCTTCTCCCAGTTCATGGTTTTTGTATGTTTTGTTTCTTTATCTTGCTTCCTGCTGCTCATGTGCCCCCACGCTGTCTCCCTGCAGGCTCTCAGTCCCACATAACTATATGAGGTTGAGTTGCTGTTTGTATAATTTTTTCTTAAGTTCCATCTTTATTATATTTTAGGGCCCAGGGATCATCCTGATATTGTTGATTCATTTATGCAACTCCTGGCACAGGTGTGTTTTAGTTTTATTCATTCACGTTCTGTTCTCTCTCTTTCTCTTTCTCTTATGTTGAAATTCAATTTAAGCCTATTTTTAGCTTTCTGTTGACAAATTTTTTTTCTGTTCAGTTGAATAGAGTTTCTTCATCTGTTTCCGTGGAAGTTGACAACCCAACATCCTCCTTTAGTGCCCCTATGCCTCACTAGCTCAGTCTTCTACAAAGACCAGGGAGAGGCTGATCCCAAACGGAGGGAGCTGGGCTGGCATCGGGTGGGGAATGGGAAAGGGAGGGGGTGGTGACTGCGCCCAGCAGCTTCTTGTTGCCCAAGAAGTTCACGTGTAGGGCTGGAGTTGAAGGGTCTGGGGTACACTGTCCCCGTGCTCCTGCCGGGAACTGCCTGCCTCAGTGCCCCCAGCCTGCTCCTGAGAGGTAGGCTGGGAGCAGCTCCAAAGCGAGGGGCTGAAGAGGAATGTGCGCGGTGGAGCCCAGAGTTGGGCTGTTGGAGAGGTTGAGCTGCTGCTAGGAGGTGGAGTGCAGGCTCCATGCTAGGATGTGTTTGCATTTTGTATGTGTTTCAGTGTGTGAGACCTTATTTTGTATGTTTTGAGTTTGGTTTGGGAAGGGAACAGAAATCACCTGTAAGTAGTATGTGAATTGTGTTGGGTGCTGAGATGAATGTGTGCCTTGATGTGTGCTGTATGTTGATGTGTTGTGTGTTTTGTGTTGTTTGTTGATGTGTTAGGCCTTGATGGATTTAGAGCGTGGACGTGTGTTGGAGGTGTGTGTGTTGGGTTGTCGGAGTGTATATTATGGAGGATAGGAGTGTATGTTGTGGCATTGGTATGTCTGTATCAGAGTATGGTTTGGAGATGCATGTTGGGCTGTGGGGGTATGAAGTTAGTGTGATGGGGGCTTCTGTGTGTTAGGGGATCCTAGCACGCAGACCCCCTAACCTGTGAATTGGGGTAAATGGAGTGTTTCTTTGCTTAATCATTCCACAGATATTTATTGAGTGTGTGATACATGCTGTACTTTGCTAGGTACTGAGGATATGATAGCGAGCAAAACCAGGCACAGTTCTTGCTCTCCTGGAACTTACAAGTCTAGTTTCTGGGGGATGGGTAGGGTGGGAGGAGGGAAGAATAGGGAGTGTTCTGGGCCTGGATGGATATGTGTGTGGGTGTTTTCAAAGGTGTATCTTTGATGCGGAGGGTGTCTGAATGTGTATTTGTGGATGGGTATGTTGGAAGAGTGCACAGGGGGACTGTGGGAAGGCTGAGGGTGTAGGTGTGTGGACATGGTTTGGGGATGTGCAGGTGTTTGGTGTATGACTGTGTAATGAGGGTGTGTTCCAGATGGGGAGAGTGTGTGTATGTTAGCGGTGTTAGAGAAGTGTGTAAGGAGGGCATTTCAAGTGATGGTGCATGTGGGGGTGTTTGCACATGAGTAAACATGGGGGGTAGAGGGGATGTGAGGGGCTGGAGGGTAGAGGTCTATGTGGTATGCACTGGGGGCATTGCTGGGGAGCAGCAGTGTTTGAGGATGACTGGAGCTGTGCAGAGCATCTCCTGTGACCTGAGGATGTGCCAGTCATGTCCTGGTACCACTCGGGGCAGGCCATCTGCCCCCTTCACTTCATCTCTTCCCCCTCACCCACAGCAGCACTGGCTCCTTGGTGTGTGTATGGCCGAAGAGGGCCTGGACACAGGGTACCCTGGGTGAAAGATGGGGCTGAGGCTCCAAGGCTCCTGCTGTACTTTTCTTCTTTTTGAGCAGGAGCTGGAGGGTGCCTCAGGAATACAGGAGGGACATGGGAGGAGGGCTGTTGGGCTGAGGGCTCCCTGTCTGGCTGCCATCTCTTCTTCCTGCTACCCTGTTCACAAACTGGGGGTGCTTAACTCCCTCTGTGAATCAACATGAAGTCACTGCTGGCAACCTAGAGCCTGCGAGACATCTGGCCCTGATGGAGGGGGAGGGAAAGGTGTCTGGAACCCAAACTTTCTGCATTATGATCCCCACCCCCAACCTCTCTCACGTACACCTGCGTGTTCATGTACACATACATGTACATAGCATCCCTTGAGCTGTCCTCACCTGACCTACTGAACTCTGAGGTGGTCCGGGTCCCCCAGAGATGGCTGGGTAGCTGGTTTTGGCAGCCTCTACCTGTGAGGTGTGAAGTTGGGGGCTGGGGTGGCAGGTGAGTGGGGGGGATGGTCCTTGGAGCTGGCTGGGGCTGGGCTTACCAGCTCCACCTCCTGCAGGCTCTGAAGCGGAAGCCAGATTTGTTCCTGTGTGAACGATTGGATGTCAAAGCTGTGTTCCAGTGTGGTAAGTGGGGCGAGATGGACAGGTGGGCCTGGGGCTCCCCTAGAAGGATCGTTAAACTGATCTGCCTCTGCCTTTCCCACAGCTGTGCTGGCCCTCAAGTTCCCTGAGGCACCTACTGTCAAGGCCTCCTGTGGCTTCTTTGTGAGTCCCATGCTGAACCCTGACCCACTGCCACCCCAGTGCCCTCCCCTGCCCAGGACTTCAGACAGTAGGGCTGGGGTGTACAGGTCTTGTCCTCAGGGAGAGCTGGGAAGGAGCTGGGCTGATGGGCCTCTCCATCCTCTGCAGACAGAGCTGCTGCCTCGGTGTGGGGAAGTAGAGTCTGTGGGAAAGGTGGTACAGGAAGACGGTCGTATGCTGCTCATAGCAGTGCTGGAGGTGAGACGGAGCAAAGGGGGGTTTGATGGGGGTGAGGGCCCCTCACTGCTGAGGCAGCTGGCCTTCTGGGAGGCTTGAGCCTTTGGTCCCCTAAGCTCTCAGATTCTGTTTCTTCTTCAATTAAATGCCTGAAAGTTGTTAGGATTGCTGTGGGGATCAGCTGGCTCTCAAAAAGCAGCGCTCACTGTGATGTGCAGTTTGGCTTAGGAACTGTCCAGAGGGCAGTTAGGCATTCTTGCTGCAGAAGCGGCGGAAGGGGCAACACCCTGGTGTGCTGAGAACCCCTCTCCCTCAGGCCATTGGGGGCCAGGCCTCCCGCAGCCTCATGGACTGCTTTGCCGATATCCTGTTCGCCCTGAACAAGCACTGCTTCAGCCTCCTGAGCATGTGGATCAAGGAGGCCCTGCAGCCACCTGGTTTCCCCTCTGCCCGCCTCAGCCCTGAACAGAAGGATACCTTCAGCCAGCAGATCCTTCGGTGAGCAGAGCTGGGGTGGGCCTGGGGTCAGGCAGAGAGGGGGCAGTGGTGGTGGCTGGTGCTAACCTGCTCTCCCTTTTCTCCTTCAGCGAGCGAGTGAACAAGAGGCGGGTGAAGGAGATGGTGAAGGAGTTCACACTGCTGTGCCGGGGTCTCCATGGCACAGATTACACAGCTGACTACTGAGGGGTGCCCCCATCCCATCCACCCCTTCTCTTCATCCTTCCCTATTCCCAAAGAGTAAACCTGGACCCTCACTGCTGTCTCTGCCTCCTTTCTGCTGTCACCACCACCTAACTGAAAGCCTGGGTCCAGAAGGCCTGGGGGAAGGATGGGAGGATGCTTGGACCCAGGCCTTGGGAGGGAATGGTGGGAACATCCTCTAGCTCCCAGGTTGGAAGAGATACTACTGTAGCCAAGCCACCTAGGCTGGAGCCCTTCAGAATACTGTCATTGTCCTTGGGGCGGGGTGGTTGCAGTAGTGTCATCAACCCCCCCATCCCCATTAAATTAATCCCAACATGCATGTATGCATACATTTATTTAATCAACACCGCCGAATATTAGGCCCCTAGCTCTGTCCTGCGTCGTTCTGCCCTGAACAAAGGTTGATCTAGTCCATAGCTACCATGGAGAATGGTAGGAAGTGAGGGAAGGCTGCATGGAGAAAGTTTTTGACAGGAATAGTAGGCTTTCTAGGTAGAGGACTTGAGACTTTGGGCTGCAAGTGGGGTAGGGCTGGGTCCGTTTAGGAAGGAAGAAATGGAGTGGAGTTTTGACTTCCGGGAGGGGTTTCTGGTGTGGAGTTATACAACATCGAACTTGCATATGGTTGAGGAGGGCTATAGAAAGGGGCTGAGTGTGTGTGTATTGGGGGGTGGGTGGGTGGCAGGGAGGTGAAGGAGAGAAGATATCTCAGCCGCAGAGGAGAAAAGAGGAAAGTAGGACCTAAGGTTGTCCATATGTCCGCTGCTCCCCGCTTACACAGGACCTCCAGCACAGGATGGTCAGGGATCAATCAGCACCAGGGACAGCTCCTGACCTATTCTTGCTTTTCTCCCTTAGCAGTGTTGCCTCCCTTTCTGTCTCCTCAGCTATAGTTTCACCTAGGCTGCCTCTCAGGTACCCCAGGCTTCTCCTCAGTAAGATCTGAAGAGCAGAATGAGTTCTCCCCACTTTTACCCTTGAGCTTTCAATCTCCTTGTGGGTGATGGGGAACTCGTTACTCCCACATTCATCCCACTCCTTCCCTGTTCAATAGATCCGGGTTTGATGCTGGTTGTGCCACAGAATTAGTGTCTTATTACACAAGTAGTCTCTTTGAACCTCAGTTTCCGTATCTGACAGAGGTATGTAAGGAGGGCATTTCAAGTGATGTTGCATGTGGGGGTGTTTGCATATAAGTAAACATGGGGAGTAGAGGGGATGTGAGGGGCTGGAGGGTAGAGGTCTATGTGGTATGCACTGGGGGTATTGCTGGGAAGCAGCAGTGTTTGAGGATGGCTGGAGCTGTGCAGAGCATCTCCTGTGACTTGAGGATGTGCCAGTCATGTCCTTGGTACCACTCGGGATAATTCTTACTCCAAAGACTGTAAACACTAAAAATGAAGTGCCTAATGTACAGTAAGTGCTCAGTATTTGGCTGATTAAATAGCAAATGCTTTCACTGCATGCGATATCCAAAGAACTACTTTGTAAAGTTTTGTATATAAATTAATTAGACCCTCACAACAATCTTATTAAGAGGTACTATTGTCACAACTCCCCATTCTTCAGATAAGGAAATGGGCATAGGGACATTCCTAAGATACTCAGTAGCAAGTGACCAAGCACAATATTCAAACCCGAGCCGGTCGGCACCAAGTTTAAAATTATGCAGTGTAGCCGGGCACGGTGGCTCACGTCTGTACTCTCAGCATTTTGGGAGGCCGAGATGAGTGGATTGCTTGAGTTCAGGAGTTTGTGACCAGTCTGAGCAACATGGCAAAAACCTGTCTCTACAAAAAATACAAAAATTAGCTGGATGTGGTGGTGCGCCTGTAGCCCCAACTACTCAAGAGGCAGAGGTGGGAGGATGGCTTCAGTCCAGGAGGTGAAGGTTGTGGAGATCGCGCCACTGCACTCCAGTCCAAGCAACATAGCGAGACCTTGTCAAAAAAAAAAAAAAATGAATGAATGAAAGAATTATGCAGTGATACTGCCCAGAGGATAGAGTGCACGTGAAATGCTTAACAGTGAAGTCGGTGTTCCTGATGGCCGCGGGTCGGCTGAACCGGACTCCCAGCGCCCGAGAGGAGGCCAGGGGAACTACAATGCCCACAAGGCTCCGCGCCTTCCTCGATGTACTTCCGGCTGGCCTGGGACTCAGGCTGAACATTGGTTCTCTGTGCGGGGCGGTGGCGGGGATTGGAGGGCGGGAGCTGTGCTGACTTAGGATTGGCAAAATCGCTATCAGCCACGCCTCTAAAACCCGGAAGTAACCTCCCCGGTAGTCCCACGTGTAGCGGAGAAACAGTAGTTAGGATGGCTGAAGGGGATACTCACCGGCTGAAGGCCGACTGTGATTCCCCCTACCCCCACAAGGCGATTTTGACCCCCTGAGGGCTGCTCTAGAGGACTCAGGCCCCGAAGCTGTCCCAGGGAGGTCCCCGCTGCATCCCACCACCCAAGCTGTGCCTCATGGAGTCGATGTTTAGCAGCCCTGCCGAGGCGGCGCTGCAGCGAGAGACCGGGGTGCCAGGACTGCTTACTCCTCTTCCGGACCTGGACGGAGTGTACGAGCTGGAGCGAGTCGCTGGATTTGTCCGCGACCTGGGGTGTGAACGAGTGAGGACAGACTTAGGGAAGGGTGGCTCGCCTCTGTCGGGATGGGTCGCCCAGAGGATCCGGATCTTGGGGGATTTTGTGAGGGCGAGAGGGTGGGGGAATCAGTCTGTCCGCAGCGCGTTGACCATCCCTCCCTTCCACCTACTACGTGGGGCAGAGTGCCCCTCTGGGACCAGGGGCTTTGAAGGTTGAGTGGGAGCTCCTGGAAGATTGCTTTAAAGAAGCCCTCAGTGGGAGAGAGGCTGTCCCTGACTCCATGGTTTATGCTTATAGGTTGCCTTGCAGTTCCCTGACCAGCTATTGGGAGATGCTGTGGCTGTGGCTGCACGACTGGAGGAGACGACAGGGTCAAAGATGTTCATTCTGGGTGACACAGCCTACGGCAGGTGTGAACTTGGCCTTAGGTGGGCCAGGCCTGGGGATCCGGGGCTCATGGGGTTTTACGTCTATGACAGTGATTGCCTTCAATGGTGGTGTTTCTCCTTGATGATAATGGTAATGACTCCCCTTCTGATGCTAGCTCCTTTCATTGACAATGTCTTCCTTTAATGAAACCATTTTATTCACTGACCACATTTCCCAGTGATGACAGCAACTCGCCTCCAGAAGAGAACCCATTTCTCTGATGCTATCTTCCCTGCAGCTGCTGCGTGGATGTGCTGGGTGCTGAGCAAGCTGGAGCTCAGGCTCTCATACATTTTGGCCCTGCCTGCTTAAGCCCTCCAGCCCGCCCACTGCCCGTTGCCTTCGTGCTTCGTCAACGTTCTGTGGCCTTGGAGCTCTGTGTCAAGGCCTTTGAGGCCCAGAACCCAGACCCCAAAGCGCCTGTGGTGCTGCTGAGTGAGCCGGCCTGTGCCCATGCCCTGGGTAAGGGGTTTTGCCTGTGTATGCACAAAGGGTGAGCCAACTGCTTTATGCCTTAATTTCCCCATTTCCATATACCATCCATAGAACTCTTGATATGGGCTTGGCCCCAGCCTACTGGGTCATATTTAGTCTCCTGGGGATGAGGGAGCTCCTGCTTTGCCAGGCTCCAACCTCAACACTACCTCCTTCTCTTCCAGAGGCTTTGGCTACTCTCCTGCGCCCACGGTACCTGGACCTGCTAGTCTCCAGCCCAGCTTTTCCCCAACCAGTGGGTTCCCTGAGTCCAGAGCCTATGCCCCTAGAGCGTTTTGGGCGCCGCTTCCCCCTTGCCCCAGGGAGGCGTCTAGAAGAGTATGGTGCCTTCTATGTAGGGGGCTCTAAGGCCAGCCCTGACCCAGACCTTGACCCAGACCTGAGTCGGCTGCTCTTGGGGTGGGCACCAGGTCAACCCTTCTCCTCCTGCTGTCCAGATACAGGGAAGACTCAGGATGAGGGTGCCCGGGCTGGACGGCTAAGGGCACGAAGACGATATCTGGTAGAGAGGGCCAGAGATGCCCGCGTGGTAGGGCTGCTGGCAGGCACACTGGGTGTAGCCCAACACCGTGAGGCACTGGCCCACTTGCGGAACCTGACTCAGGCTGCTGGCAAGCGTAGCTATGTGTTGGCCCTGGGGCGGCCCACCCCTGCCAAGCTTGCCAACTTCCCTGAGGTGGATGTCTTTGTGCTATTAGCCTGTCCTCTGGGTGCTCTAGCCCCCCAGCTTTCTGGTAGCTTCTTCCAGCCTATACTGGCACCATGTGAGCTGGAAGCTGCCTGCAACCCTGCCTGGCCACCTCCAGGCCTGGCTCCCCACCTCACACATTATGCGGACTTATTGCCTGGTGAGTAGTGGGGGCATTGCCTAAGCTGGAAACCTGGGGCACGGAGTCAGGGGGTGAGTATGGATTTTCTTTCCTCCTCCCTTTCAGGCTCTCCCTTCCACGTGGCTCTCCCACCACCTGAGTCAGAGCTGTGGGAAACCCCAGACGTGTCACTCATTACTGGAGATCTCCGACCCCCACCTGCCTGGAAGTCATCAAATGATCATGGAAGCTTGGCTCTGACCCCACGGCCCCAGCTGGAGCTGGCTGAGAGCAGTCCTGCAGGTAAATGTACAAGTCTCCACTCCCAGCTGAGCTTTTTCTCCAGATGCAGCGCACTCAGACTGAGCCCCCTCCCTCTACAGCCTCATTCCTTAGTTCCCGGAGCTGGCAAGGGCTGGAGCCCCGCCTGGGTCAGACGCCAGTGACAGAAGCTGTGAGTGGAAGACGAGGGATTGCCATCGCCTATGAGGATGAGGGAAGCGGCTGATACCATGTGGGGCTGGAGACATAGATGGACTTATGAATGGCTGCTAGGACCTTTAGTGCTCCCTGCACCAACCTCCCATCCCCCTGCCAAGATCCTTGAAGGACCCTGGAAGGAGGGAGAGCAGGCAGCCCTTCACAGGATAGGATCCGTCTCTGTCCTGTCCTGGCACTGGCACAAGCTCAGCACATGCCCAGTAATGCGTGTTGTTTGGCTGATGGAATAAAGGGCTTAGGGACTTCCCTGAGGCCTCTGGACCCATCTGTCTTCCTGAGGGCAGCCCAGGACCTTTGGCCAATCCCAGTTCCCAGGCTGCAGTTGAGGGTCTGTCCTTGTCAAAAGGCAGGTGCTAGACAGTCTAGACCAGGGTTTCTCAAACTCGTACTTGACATTTGGGGCCAGATAATTCTTTGTTGTGGGGCTGTCTGGTGTATGGTAGGGTGCTCAGCAGCATCCCTGGCCTCTGCCCACTAGACATCAGAAGCACTCCCCCAGTTGTGACAACCAAAAATATCTCCAGACCTTGGCAAATGTTATCTGTGGGGGAAAATTGCCCTCAATTGAGAACCACTGGTCTAGCTAGACCTGCACTGTCCAGTACAGTAGCCACTAAATACATGTGGCTAAACTTAAATTTAAGTTAATTAAGATTAAAAGCTCAGTTTCTCAGTCACATTAGTCATTCAAGTGTTCAGACAGCCACATGAGGGGACAGTGCAGCTACAGGATATGCCATCATGGCAGAAAGTTCTATTGGTTGGACAGCGTTGGTCTATACTGACTCTTATTTCTCAGGGAGATCACAGCAACCTAAATAAACCAGATACCTTTTCTCTTTGTGTTTCTTTTTAATTCATGAAATACTGCAGGTCCTGCACTGGTCCTGGGATGTAGATGTTAACTGTATTTAACCAGATTCCTTTCCAGTGTACCTGGAAAGAGAGTTAAATACGCAGTCAGTACACAGTGAAACAGCTCTATCTGGGAGGAGGGAAGCCCCAGGGACAGCTGGATCCCACAGGAGATACCTGACAAGGACTAAGAGGAGGCTTCCCAGAGGGCATAACACCTATGCTGGATCTTTTGGAGGAAAAAATAATTGTCAGGAGAAAAGGAGTGAAAAAGACCTTTGGGCTTAAACATGAACCAACATGGCGGATGCTTCAAGCAAGTGGGGTTGCTGGGCCCTAAAGGTGGAGAGGGGTGAAATGAAAAGACTCGCCTCTTCTTCCCCACATTTGTTGAGAATCTGGTCACAGTGGCATTGTCGAGGGTATTGAAGGTGAACAAAGGAGATGTGGTCCCTGCCCTCAGGGAATGCCTAGTCTAATGGTGGAGGCAGAGCTGTAAGCTAACAAGGTAACCCAGACAAAGTGGGCATCAGTCATGTGTTCTACAAATATGTACTGAGGACACACTCTGTGCCAGGTACTGGAAATACAGCAGTGAGCGACACAAAAGCCATGGTGCTTCCACTCTTCCAGGGGAGTTGGACAAATAAAATACTTAGTATGCCAAATGGTGATCAGTAAGTACCGTGAGAAATGTAAAGCTGGGAAGCAGAGGAGCGTTTAAGTGGGGTGGAATATTAAACAGAATGGTCAGAGAAGGCCTTTTCAAGAAGGTGAGCAAAAACTGAAAGGAAGTTACAGGATGAGCCGCATGTATAGTTAGGAGAAGCAGAGAGAGCAAGTGCAAGGGCAGTGAGGTCGCGGTATGGTTGGCACGTTCAAAGAAATAGCAAGGAGGGCAGTGCAGCCAGAGGAGGGAGTTAGTGGGGGAATATTAGAAGGTGAAGTCAGCTGAGGGGCGTGGGGAGCCTAGCAGGCTATTGTGAGAACTTTGGCTTTTCTCCTGAATGAAATGGGAGCCATCAGGGCATTTCGACAGGGTAGTGACATCTTACTGAAGCTTAATAAGCATCACCAGGACATCGCGGGAGCCCAGCAAACGCGCTTCCCTGCCACTGGGTTAGGGAAGGCTTGCCGGAAGGACGATTTCGGAGGACAGCAGGTGTTAGCCAGGCAGCGGAGCGAGCGCCAACAGGCGCACTGGGGCGGAGAGACGCCGTGAGCAAGGTGAGGCAGAGGGCACGCGCGGCGCCACCCGCCACAGGCTAGGACGCACGGCTGCCAGAGAGGACGCCTTAGGGGCCCGCGAGCAGGCTCGGGAATAAAACAGGGCTGGCAGGGCGAGGTGGAGAGACTCGAGAAGGACCGGCCAGATGTCGAAGTTCCTAGAGAGGAGGGCGCCCAAGCCTCCGCCGAGACGCGTGACTACAACTACCACAATCCCCAGCGCCTGCGGTTCCAGCGTCGCCTTGCTCTAGACGGGCGGCGGCGCTGCGCGGGGAACCGGCGTGGGGTCACGTGGTACCGGCGCATCACGTGGGCGAGTTAGGTGACGCTGCGGGGCGGGCGGACAGACTGCGGGACGGACGGTGGACGCTGGGACGCGTTTGTAGCTCCGGCCCCGCCGTTCCGACCCCCGCCGCCGTCGCCGCCATGACGGGGCTAGCACTGCTCTACTCCGGGGTCTTCGTGGCCTTCTGGGCCTGCGCGCTGGCCGTGGGTGAGGCCGGGTCCTGGCGGGCGGGAGCAGCATCGCGGCCGAGCTGGCCGGGTCGGAACTCGGCGGGGAAGTGGCCTGCGGGGAATACTGGCCCCCCGCGCGCTCTGCACCCGAGGCTCTGGGGACTTGCGCCTGCGAGGGCCTCTGACTCCGACAAAGGAGACCCGGATTTCCAGCTGCTTGAGGAGGGGTGCGGGCGGGTAGGGGCCGCGAGGGCAGCACTCCCCCGTCCTGCCACTATCGCTGTCTCCCCTCGCTCCCACGTCTCACTGCTGTCCCCCCTTTCTTGCTCCTGACCGGCCCGCTCGGTCACAAGCCGGCTGCTCCGGTTCCTCTTTTCCCAGTCGCTTTGCCCTCCCCCACCCACAGCTTGTTGGGTAAACAGCGGAACGGACTGGGCCGGCGGGATCTGGCTGGAGCGCTTGCTCCCTCGGTCCCGCCTCGGATTCGGGCTTGCGGGTGGCGACCCTGCCTGCGCAGGTGCTTGGTCTGGGAGGTGGTTTTAGCGAGGGAATGGCAGAAAATGGAGGCCTAAGCAGAGGAATCTGTCTACACAGCTGTACTGTCACCTGGGGGCAGCCTGAGGACGCCCCTTCAGGGAGGTGGCCCTTCAGCTCGGCAGCTACTTTAGGTTGAAGAACTTCTCTCTACCGAGCAGCCCGTAACCCCCTTTTTCTCCCTCACTGCTGCAGGAGTCTGCTACACCATTTTTGATTTGGGCTTCCGCTTTGATGTGGCATGGTAAGGGAGGGCAGGGGGAGGATTCCCCTTGAAGCTTCTTCCCTGCAGCCTCTCTTCTTTTCTCTGGTCTGAGTCCCTCCCCCACACCACTGCCTGCCTGGGACATGGACCTTTGGGAAATACGCGGTCAGTTGTTGCCTGTAGAACTGGTGGTGGGGTTGAAGGGGGTTTGAGGGGTTAAGATTTTGTGCTCCGCTTCCCTGCTAGAGCTGAACTGCTTTCTTCTCTGCTTCCACAACAGGTTCCTGACGGAGACTTCGCCCTTCATGTGGTCCAACCTGGGCATTGGCCTAGCTATCTCCCTGTCTGTGGTTGGGGCAGCCTGGTGAGTATTGGGGTGGTGGGACTGGGGGCAGGGGCTGAGTCATGGCAGGTGGTGTCACTGGGGTCTTAGGCATGCTGAGGGCAGTGACAGCTTGGGCTCTGCTCATCAGTTTTTTATCCTTCCACCAGGGGCATCTATATTACCGGCTCCTCCATCATTGGTGGAGGAGTGAAGGCCCCCAGGATCAAGACCAAGAACCTGGTCAGGTAAGTGTCAGGGTCCTTGGACTTTTGTCAGAACCAGCTGTGTTGGCGCTGCCTGTGTGTTTGATCTGACATACTGTTTCTGACAAGCCACCTTGTGGGATGGGATGTTATAGGGGAAAGATTGCTGGGGACTTACTGGGCAGGAAGGACGGTTTCTTTCTCATTTCTTTCTCCTTTCCACTCCTTACCCCTAATCTCTACCACTACCAGCATCATCTTCTGTGAGGCTGTGGCCATCTACGGCATCATCATGGCAATTGTCATTAGCAACATGGCTGAGGTATGGAAGGCCAGGGTGGTGGCGGGAATCCATTCCAGTGTGTTCTACACATTCCTTAGAGATTGGATGGGGTGCATCAGGATGGTTTCTGATTACTTTTCTTCTTCCCTCAGCCTTTCAGTGCCACAGACCCCAAGGCCATCGGCCATCGGAACTACCATGCAGGTGGGTGGATGGGCGTATGAATGCAAAATGCTGGGACTTCATGCCTGCTTCCACTCTCCCCCATCCCAGCTTGGGCCATCATTTTGATATTCTCTCACCTACTTTTTCTGCTTTGCAGAGTGGGGATGGTGATTGGCCCCATTAGCCCATATCTCCCCCATTCCTGGCTTAGCCTCACTGCACCCCTCTCTATCCTCCCAGGCTACTCCATGTTTGGGGCTGGCCTCACCGTAGGCCTGTCTAACCTCTTCTGTGGAGTCTGCGTGGGCATCGTGGGCAGTGGGGCTGCCCTGGCCGATGCTCAGAACCCCAGCCTCTTTGTAAAGATTCTCATCGTGGAGATCTTTGGCAGCGCCATTGGCCTCTTTGGGGTCATCGTCGCAATTCTTCAGGTGATGAATCCCCTTGGGAAGCCTCTGTGTCCTTGTCCCCAACCTAGCCTTACCCTCCTTCTGGAGAAGCTGAAGTGCTCTCCTTCTCTACCTATAACTATAGATTCCCCCAAACAGCTTCCACCTCCTCATTTCCATCTTCTGGTTTTCTCCTACAGGGGCTCTCTATTTTTGTCTCTGATTTGGTGTCACTGACAACAGCCCTGTTCTTTTTCCCCCCTTTCTAATGCGTTGTATCTGTATAGCACTTAGTCCTCCCTCTTTCTGTTCTCTCATTTTATCTGCCATGCTTTTCATGTCTCCAGTCTGTATTTGTGATCTAGACTAGAATGGAATTTTGTCTGTCTATATCAGTCTGTCATGGTGTGTTTGACTGTCTCTCGGAGCTATGTGTATCTCCCTCTCACATGCCTGTCAGTAGGACACCATTGTCTAAATTGTGTGTGTCTAGTCTGTCTGACAGTGTGTGAGTTTGTGACTAAGGATCAGCCTGAGGGTCTGAGTGTGACTGTGGGTGCTTGACTGAGTTGATTCTTAGTGACTAGCTTTATCCATATGCCACTTCTCTCCGTCTGTCCCACAGCGTAACTCTGTGGTTGTCTGTCCCTGTCTGCCTTGTCTGTCACAGTGTGTCCATCCTGGTTAGTCATATATCTCTTGTGGTCTGTCCATCCAACCATGTGCTAGATGTCATCTTCTATCATTTGTCACTGCCTTACCTATTCCTCTGTCCCTGCCTGATTTCTCCTGTTCTTTTTTTGCAGACCTCCAGAGTGAAGATGGGTGACTAGATGATATGTGTGGGTGGGGCCGTGCCTCACTTTTATTTATTGCTGGTTTTCCTGGGACAGCTGGAGCTGTGTCCCTTAGCCTTTCAGAGGCTTGGTGTTCAGGGCCCTCCCTGCACTCCCCTCTTGCTGCGTGTTGATTTGGAGGCACTGCAGTCCAGGCCGAGTCCTCAGTGCGGGGAGCAGGCTGCTGCTGCTGACTCTGTGCAGCTGCGCACCTGTGTCCCCCACCTCCACCCTCAACCCATCTTCCTAGTGTTTGTGAAATAAACTTGGTATTTGTCTGGGTCAGTGCAGCTTCTGTTGCCCTCTTGCGTCACCGTTCACAGAGGAAGGGTAAAGAGGCCTGTACGCCTCAGCCTCATGCCAATCCCTTGTCAGCTTTCTGACTGCACACTTCTGATCTGCACAGAGCTTGCTCCTAGGTGGGGAGGCACGGGTGCTGGGTGGACTCTAACCCCCAAACAGACTTGTTTGGGGATGAGGGAGTGTGCAGATAGGGGCCCCTGGGTGTGTTTGTGCCTGTAGTCCTTCTAGGCCCGTTTGCTCAGGGCTCTGACTGACCACCATGCCCGAATTGTCTGACAGCATCTACTTACCTGGTTGTACAGTCGGGCACCATCATCTCCGTCCTTGTGAGGCCTGGAGCCTAGGCAGTGGTCTCTGCCTCCAGTGATGGTCCTGTCCTTCTAGCAGCAGCCCCTCCCAGAAACCTCTACTCTGATCCTTGTTCCCAGGGCCCAGGGCAGCTCCTCCCACCCCATCCAATCTCGTTTTCTCCTTCCCTGACCCTGTTTCCTGTTACCCCAGAAGCCCCAGCCACCTCCAGCCCACGCCTTTAAGGGTCCTGCCCCCTCTCTGCTGGCCGACCTTGAATCTTGGTCCAATTAAAGAGTTGACAAATCCCTAGCCCCGCAGCCTGAGTCCGCCCAACCTCCAGGTCCCCTTCCTGGGGAGTTCGCGCTCCAATGCAATCCCCACTCCCCGCTAAGGGACTCCACGGTCTGCACCCGCTCGCCGGTCCGACCTCTAAGCCCACCCTTTGGACGAGCCTGACCCATTTCCTCCCGCGCTCCCAGGTCCGTGCCTCCTGGGTGCCCGGGTTCGGCCGCCGGCAGGGCGGGCTCGCAGCGGCGCGCGGCGGGTGCGGGCGTGCTGGAGGCGGGGGCCGCGGGGGCGCGCGCGCGGGCGCGCGGGCCGGGCCTGCCCCTCCGAGGCGCCGTAGCGCGGGAGGGAGGCGGCGGCGCTGTGGTCCGTGGGTCCGCCGGTCCGTGGGTCTGCCCGGCCGCCCGGCCCCGCCCTGCCCCCCGGGGCGGCTCGGCTCCATGGCCCGCGGCGGCGGCGGCGGCGGCGGCGGCGGGAGGCGACCCGGGGGCCGCGGTGGCCGCTGACCGGGCGGCGGGAGGCGGCGGGGCCGGGCCATGGGGGACGGAACCGTCCGCAGCCGCCGGAGCCGGGAGCCCTGCCCAAGTCGGAGCGGCGTCCCCTGCTGAGCCCCGAGCGCCGGGTGAGAGGAGGGCGCGCGCGGCCCCCACCCAGGGCCCCGAGATTCCAGACCCAGCCCCGCGAGGGGCACCCCGAGCGCGGCCCCGAGATCCCAACCCAGGAGCCGGTGAGAGAGGCGCCGGCGGCCAGACCCCGGCCTGGCTGCCCCCACCCCGCCCCCACTCCGGCGCCCCTCCTGGGCTTCTCCGCCCGCGTCCAGCCGGCCTCCCTCATTGTCCTCGCTCGCCCCGGCCTCGTGGCGCGGGGAGGCGTTCCATACACGTTTCCCCTTGGCCTTTGCCTCATCCGCTGCCCTCCACCCACTCCCCCTGCCCCCAGGCTCCACACCCACCCGGTCTGTGCGGCCTGCCCGTCCGCGGGTGCCACGTGTTCAGCCTGCCAGCCCCGCCCAAACGCACCCCTCAGCCTGGCCGCCAGCCTGACCCAGAACCCCTGCGCCGGAGGGAGGGTGGGAATGTCTGCACGTGGGTCTGGGTGTGAGCTGTCTGAGAGTCTGGATGTATGGCTGTGGAAGTCCAGGAGCAGTGGCCTTGTTTGTGAGTGTGGGACTTAGTGTGTTACTGTCACCCGGGTGTGTCTGTGACTGTAGTTCTCTGTGTGTCTGAGTGTGGGTGACCAGCTGGGACCAGGGTGTCCCTGTGATTCTGTGTGCCTGTGAGACTCACCCTGCTCCCTGAAGCACTGCCAGAAGTGGCTGCCGCTCTCTTGGAACCACAGCTGGAGCCATCGCCCAGGCAAGACCCCCTTCCTGCCATGCCCAGTGCTGTGCCCATCTCCAGGCCCAAGCATCCCGTTCCGGGAATCAGAACCAGCTGTGCTGGGCAGGACCCAGAGTCTTGGTCCCAGTCCCAAGGGGCTGGCTTTGAGGTCTTAAGTGAGGGGTGTCCCCTGCCTTGCCCCGTATTTTGACGTTTTGCTCCAGTGGGAAGGGATTCTGTAAACATCCAGTCTGTATTTGGGCCCCCCGGATGCTGAGGGCAACTTCCCAGCCTGGTCCCAGTTGGCCTGGCCTGCTTGTCGCTGGGATCTGAATGACCAAACCACTTCCCACCATGGCTCCTGGAAGGACTAAATGAAGTCATGAGTATAAAGTGCTCCTGCATGGTAGGTGCACAGTATTCCGTCTCTTCCCTCTTCCCCAAGCCATGAGTTCTGGGTTAAGGATGCTGCCATGTGAGGTGTCTGTTCTCAGGGGCACAGGGGCACATGGGGGTCTATAGGTAAACATGTCTCCATGCTTAGGTACAAACCAGTGTGGTTAGAGTTCACGTGTCTGTGTTCCTGGGAATGCGTGAGTGTGTGTGTAGAGTTGTGCAATAAGGGTGAGTGCCTGAGTGTGTGTGTCAGTGAGGTGGAGGAAGGTAAATGTATGTGGCTTAGTAGTGGGGTGTGCTTGAGGATGTGAGTACTGAGTTGCCGGGAACTGTGCCTGGGTGTCTGTTTGGAGGTAAATTCTTGAGTCTGTGAGTGTGAAAGGGTATGAGCAGGTCAGTGTGAGGTGTGGCCCACGAGTGTGAGCAGCTGAGTGGGAGGTAGGTGGGCAGCCTTGCCTGTCCTGCCCTGACCTGCTGGATCTGTTTCCCTCCCACCCTGCTCAGGCCAGCAGCCGGATGCCCGGGCCCACTGGGCGGGCCAGTGGCCGCCTGCGGGATGAGCAGACTGCTGGGGGGGACGCTGGAGCGCGTCTGCAAGGCTGTGCTCCTTCTCTGCCTGCTGCACTTCCTCGTGGCCGTCATCCTCTACTTTGACGTCTACGCCCAGCACCTGGCCTTCTTCAGCCGCTTCAGTGCCCGAGGCCCTGCCCATGCCCTCCACCCAGCTGCTAGCAGCAGCAGCAGCAGCAGCAACTGCTCCCGGCCCAACGCCACCGCCTCTAGCTCCGGGCTCCCTGAGGTCCCCAGTGCCCTGCCCGGTCCCACGGCTCCCACGCTGCCACCCTGTCCTGACTCGCCACCTGGTCTTGGTGAGCCTGGAGGGTAGGGCCTGCCTGTGGGGAAACAGGGTTTTATTGGTTTGACTAGAGAAATGGCATCTGGACCCAGGGGTGTGCCAGGGGTCCAGGTCTGTTGTAAGAGGGCTATTCTTGGGGTTCCCTAGCCCACCCCCAGGCTGAGGGTGGGGGCTGGTATCTGTGGATTCTGGCCAATGCCCTGATTCCTGACACTGTCCTGTCTGCAGTGGGCAGACTGCTGATCGAGTTCACCTCACCCATGCCCCTGGAGCGGGTGCAGAGGGAGAACCCAGGCGTGCTCATGGGCGGCCGATACACACCGCCCGACTGCACCCCAGCCCAGACGGTGGCGGTCATCATCCCCTTTAGACACCGGGAACACCACCTGCGCTACTGGCTCCACTATCTACACCCCATCTTGAGGCGGCAGCGGCTGCGCTACGGCGTCTATGTCATCAACCAGGTGCCCATGCGGGGGTCCATGTGCCTGTTGGTGTATATATGTGGGTTGGGGGCGTTTGTGGGTCCTTGTCTGCCCGTGTGGATATGTGGATGGACCTGGGCGTGGGTAGTCGGTGTTTGTCAGTGTGCACAGGAATGTGTACGCACAGTGTGTGCATGTGAATGTTGGCATGCACACTGGCAGGTGTGTGCATGGTCTCAGAAGGGGTTGAGCCCCACTCTCTACCCTTGGCAGGCCTCACCCCATGGTGGTGCAGGCCTTGGGTATGCTGTAGGAGGAGATGTTGAGGGCCCTGAGGAGAGGGAGTTAGACCCTGAAAGAAGGATGAAGCCTGTAGAACCCTTTGGGGTAGGTGCCAGCCACAGCTGAGGCCAGGGCACTCAGCTCAGCATCTTAAGGCCTTTGGTGGACCTGGCTAGGGCTGGCCACTAGGTCCCAGAAGGGACCTCTGATGCAGGCCCCCCCGCCCCCGCCGACCACAGAGACCTCCTAGACTTGGACATGGGTCCCTCCCGTATGATGGGACACAAGTGGAGGTGGAGCAGGGGGCCGTGGGAGCACAGAGGGCCCCAGTCCAGCCCTGGGGTTGGGAAGCAGTTGCTGAGATGGGTCTTGCGGGATGAGCAGGCATCAGGGGCTGCAGAAGCCAGCATTCTAGGCAGAGGGACCTGGAGGATGCAGGGCCAGCAAGATAACTGGCCTCGTGTTCACGAACTATTGGCTGAGGTGTGGTGTCCAGCATGTGGACTGGGTAGCAAAGATGAGGCTGGAGGAGTTGGAAGTCAAACTGAGAAATGTCTTGGGAGGCATGCTGGCAGTAAGTCCAGCGCAAAAGTGACAGGGCACCATGTAAGGTTGTAAGGAGAGAGTGACTTGCGTGTTTGCTTTGTAGAAAGGTCACTCTGGTTGCATATGGAGCATGGATGGAGAGGGGAGATTAGAGACAGCGTGGCCCGTTTGGAAGAGAGGACGATGCCCAGGAAAGAGGCGGTGACCCTGCGGATGTGTGGGGCGGGAGTCGCGGGGAAGAAGTGGGGTTGTTACGCAAGTAGTGGAGAGTGAGAAAAGAGCGACGTCAGGACAGCGCAAGGGTTTCCGCCTTGGCTGTTGGCTGTGGGGATGGCTGTGTCTGAGTGAGATGGGGACACAGGAGCTGGGCCAGCTCTGGGGGAGTGTGACTCTGAATCCTTTCTTGCGTGTGATGAGTTTGAGCGCCTGTGGGAAGTACATGTTTAGCAGGCAGTTAGACAAATGAGTCTGGACCCAGAAGGGAGGTCTGCAGTGGAGAGAGGGATCTGGGAGCACCAGGATGAAGACGGTCTGGTCCCTAAAACCAACAACGTCTGACCTGCCAGGGAGCAAGGGGCATGAGAGGAGGAAGCCAGCACTTCAGGGATGGAGGGAGAAAGAGGCCGCTACAGAGGCCGAGAGGCTTGGCCAGAAGGGCTGGAGGAGACCCAGGGGAGTGTGGGATCCCGGAAACCCGGCAGTCAGTGTCAGGAAGGAGACATGGCAGCTGCATGGGCACTGTGGGGGTGTGAGGAGGGATGTGGACCAAGACTCGTCCAGTGGATTTAGCAACAAGGTGGGCCCAGCGAGAGCCATTTCAGGGGCATGGTGGGGGCGGAAGCAGATTGCAGTGGGTTGAAGAAGGAATCGGATTTGACGAAATGGAAATAACCAATTAGAGACAACTCTTTAAAAAAAAATCCCTGCTGAGAAGGGAAGGCAAAAGGTAGGGTGGTGGCTGGAGGGAGGTTTGTTTTTTCAGTTGGGAGAGGATTGAGCATGTTTATGAGCCATGTGGGAGAGACACAGGGCTCCTGGCTGGTGAGAGGTCAGAAGGAGTGCTGCTGAGCTGGGAGGAAAGCGATGGTCTCTCCAAGGGCTGGGGGAAGAGGAGGTGCAGGAGAGGGAGAGAAGAGAGCTGGCAGGGCTGGGCAGGTCAGGGTTCCCGAGGGGAGCAGCTCCCACCTCTTCTGGCAGTGGCTTTGCTGGTGGAGAAGAGGGCCTTTCTCTCCGCTCATTCCAGAAAGGCCACTCACCGATCCCCTCTCCAGGAACCTTTCTGGTTCTAGCCTGGAGACTGCAGGTTGGGGCAGGGGCTCAGGGGTCAGCGCCTCCCACTGAATGCTCCCTGCTAGTCCTAGTCCAGAGTCTGGTGCTTAGGCCTACATGGCCAGGACCCCTGCAGCCCCAATTCTCAGGGGACCCCAGGCTTGCTGGGCTGTGACTGCCTATAGACCCTATGCTTGTCATTTTGTTGGAGAGACAAGTGAATCTAGCCCAGACCTGTCCTGGTCTCAGAGGCTGCCCAGGCAGCCGGATGCAGCTCCAGGGAGCCTGAGGCTCCTGCATCTTAGACACTGGTCATTTGGGGCATTCGTTGTTTGTCTCACTGCATGACTCTATACACAGCAGGGAGGGGACCAGGGCTGGCCATCTCCAGAATCCCCGCTAGCACAAAGGAGAGAGCGCCACAGGGCATGTTTGAATGAGTGAATGAGATGAGAACTCCACCTGACGTTGTCAATGGGTATTGGCATAAAGGAAGCCCATGGGAAGGAAGGAATAAGCGTACTGGGGTGGGGAAGTGTGGTCAGGGGAGCCGCTCCAGCCCTGAGTGTGACAAGCACAGGTACTGCTAACCCCAAGGCCTGGAGGCAAGGAAGAGTCTGGCATATTCCGGGGCTGCTGAGGGATGTTGTGTGGCTGGGCCTCGGGACCTGAGGGCAGTGGCCAGAGAGGAGGCTGGAGCCACATATGAAAGGCCTTTGTAGGCCAGATCCCGGTCGAGAAGCTGGACTAGATCCTGAGAGCCTGGAGGAGCCATGCAGCGAGGGGGCTGGTAGATCCCCAGAGACTGCTCTGGAGAGTGGCAAAAGGGCAGGTGCTTGTTGGTCACAGGCCCAGGGTTGACCTGCTCCTCCCCCTACCCAGCATGGTGAGGACACCTTCAACCGGGCCAAGCTGCTTAACGTGGGCTTCCTAGAGGCGCTGAAGGAGGATGCCGCCTATGACTGCTTCATCTTCAGCGATGTGGACCTGGTCCCCATGGATGACCGCAACCTATACCGCTGCGGCGACCAACCCCGCCACTTTGCCATTGCCATGGACAAGTTTGGCTTCCGGTGAGGGCTCTCTTCTCAGCTGGACCCAGCCCTCCTGCCCCCACCAGACGCAGGCCCACTTCCAGCCCCCGAGCCCCGCTTGCTCCTGGCTGTGGCCCAGACCCCACTGGCGAGGCTGGATCCTCCCTGGACCCCATTGGACATTCCCCCCGACCTGGTCTCTGGTCCTTCCCCTGGAGTCCCCTTGGGACCCTTACTGACACCTGCCTTCCCATGCCACAGGCTTCCCTATGCTGGCTACTTTGGAGGTGTGTCAGGCCTGAGTAAGGCTCAGTTTCTGAGAATCAATGGCTTCCCCAATGAGTACTGGGGCTGGGGTGGCGAGGATGATGACATCTTCAACCGGTGAGTAAGCACGCGGTGGGGAATAGGCTGGGTGGGGGGGGGAGGGGGGGTGCAGACTGGGTGGGGTTCTTTGCCCTTCCTGGAGCCTGTTCCAGTCTGTCCGTCCCCATCCTCAGGATCTCCCTGACTGGGATGAAGATCTCACGCCCAGACATCCGAATCGGCCGCTACCGCATGATCAAGCACGACCGCGACAAGCATAACGAACCTAACCCTCAGAGGTGACCCCAGCACCCTCACCCCTTACTCCCCAGAGGCAACTTCCCAATATCCCCAACTCTTGACCCCAAGTGGCCCAATCCCTGATCCCCCAGTGGGGGACCTCCAAGCATCCTTGACTCCAAAAAGGTGACTCCCAGTGCCACTGATTCCCTGATGTGATCCAAGGCCCCTCAGGACTGCTGGCACCCCTGATCGTTGTCCCCCAACCCCCAGCCCAGCCTCAGCCCAATATCTCTGACCTCTGGCCTGATTCCTAGAGGTGACCAGAATTTAATGTCAGGGCCTAAATAGTCATTGAGTAGATTGCATTCCTATTGGTGCCCTCGAAGACCTCACTTGTGCACCTGTGGGACCCCTGCCGGGGCAGATAGGACACGAGCTAATGGGTGCTGGGCACAGCTCCTGTGGACCTGACAAAGGGGACCTGAGCAGTATGGGAAGGGGGTGTGGAAAGACAGTGCCCACCCCTCTGAAATTGAAGGAGGTGGATGTATCTCTTAGGAGGTAGCCACATTTGGTATCAGGCTGGCTGGGAGAAGGGCCTAAAGGGTGTGTGAAATGTAAACAAGGGCTTCCTGACACTGCTCTGACTTGTGCTAAACTTTCTGGGGGTGGGAGACCCAGAGTAGTCACACCCAATCCGTGCTTTCCCTTACGAAGTTCATTCCAGGCAGGGAGATAGTCATGGAAAAAGGCAGTTATAGCACAAGGTCATCAAGGCAAGGTGTTGTCTTGGCAGAAGAGGGACTGGTGATGGAAGCCTTCCTGGAGGAGGTGATGGTAACCTGGAGTTTGAAATAGTTACTCATTTAACAAATATTTGCCTCACACCTACCTTGGGCACAGTGCTACATTCCCCAGGCTAATAGAGGAAGCCAGCCTGGATAAGGAGAATCATATCTGGAAGATTCTGGAATGTGAACATGTATGATACATACCGAGAGTCTGAAACTATTTGGTTTTAAGATCTCTGAAGGCTGATAGTGACAGTGGGGCGGGGGAAAGTCACGTCTGGATGTTAGGGGTTTTTCTTCTGTTGCCCTTTCACCATGTACATGTCAGGGGTCTTGAATACCTGATGGGAGGTTAACTTTTGTCCCAGAGGACTGGGGAGTCATGGAAGAACCTGAAGAAGGGAGAGGCGGGGTGGGGTTTGTGTTTAGAAGGCACACTGTTTGAGCTTCAGGAAGGCGAAAGCCTGGCATAGCCGCTGGGTGGAGCAGGAGAGAAAGTCAGCCCGGCCTGAAGGAATCGATGGAGTCCAAGGGAGCATAGTGGTACAGGGCCTGGGGATGGAGGTGCTGTGTCCCCAGCTTGAGCAGGAGGGTTTTTCTACTCTGAACACGGGGTAGGAGTGGGGGAGGTGGTTTGTAGCCCTGGTGTGGGGTTGGTGCCTGGGAGAAGCATGAGGCACTGGGGAGGCACAGGGAGCTGATGAAAAAGTGGTTCTGATGAAAACTATGGTCAGCAGGAAACAGGTAAGAGACCAAGAGGAGAGGGGCTTCAGGGCATCTGGGGAGGAGTGGAGCTCCACAGTACACGCCAGGAGCCTTGGTCCTGTTTCAGGAGTAGCCTGCCTGAGTGCCACCATCAATTACACATGTCTGGCTTGGTTGTAGATGTGGCAAGATAGCAAGAAGTTTCTGGCTTAAAGAACTCTGTGAATGTTGGATTCATGGATTGGGTATGACTACTCTGGGTCTGCCACCCCCAGAAAGTTTAGCACAAGTCACAGAGCAGCGTCAGGAAGCCCTTGTTTACATTTCACACACCCTTTAGGCCCTTCTCCCAGCCAGCCTGATACCAGATTCACAGAGTTCACAAACTGTGAACTCTCTCTACCTAGTTGCTGTTGCCTAAAATCTGGGAGTTCTGGATTCTTCTTTTCCTCACCCTACATATCCAAACCCATCAGCGAGTAATATCACTGCCACCCCTAAAACATATTTGAGTCCATTTGCTTTCCCCCTTTACTACCTTTACCTTAGTCCAACCTCTGGGATCCTGCCTGGACTACTGCAGTGGCCTCCAACTGGTTTCCCTGTTTATGGCTTGGCCCCCAACTGGGTTAAACATTTCTCAGAGCCTTTACACATTTCATTCTGTGAGAATGAAAACATGAGCTGCTCGCTCTGACTTAGAGCCCTGCCCTTGCACGGTGTACTTGAACCTCCAAGCTAATATTCTGCTTTTCCACGTGCCCCATTCAGGTTTAGCCACTCAGCTGTGCAAAATCTTATTCCCAATTTAGGGTCACCATGTGCTCTGACCTCTACCTGGAGTGCTTTGCCCCTGCCCTTAGCTCAGTGTCACATATGCCCTCTTGTCTCTCTTAGCACTCCGATGTTTTCTCTGTTACCTGCCTCCCCTAGAGAAGCCAACTTGCCCTGAGATGAAGGACCCCACCTGTCATGGCCATGGCAGTAGCCTTGGTGCTTAGAGCACAGCCTGGCACATGGTGGTGCTCAATAAATAGCTGGCAAGAGAGTCACTAAAGAACGAGGAACAGAGAAAATGGCACAGGCGTGGGGAGTAAAAATGATGCATCTGATTGCGCTTGAAGTGCCTGTGGGATGCCTGGTCTCAGGCTTAGAAAGGTCTGAGCTGACCTCACACCGTGGCTCATGTCTGTAATCCCAGCACTTTGGGAGACTGAGGCAGGCAGATCACTTGAGGTTAGGAGCTCGAGACCAGCCTGGCCGACATAGTGAAACCTTGTCTCTACCAAAAATACAAAAAAAAAAAAAAAAAAAGACGGGGCACGGTGGCTCATGCCTGTAATCCCTGCACTTTGGGAGGCCAATGTGGGCAGATCACCTGAGGTCAGTAGTTCGAGACCAGCCTGGCCAAAATGGTGAACCCCATCTCTACTAAAAATACCAAAAAAATTAGCTGGGTGTGGTGGTGGGCGCCTGTAATCCCACCTACTCGGGAGGCTGAGGCAGGAGGTTGGGAGGCAACCTCTTGAACCCAGGAGGCAGAGGTTGCAGTGAGCTGAGACTGCACTACTGTACTCCATCCTGGGCAACAGAGCAAGACTCTCAAAAAAGAGAGCGTCTCAAAAAACCAAAACAAAAAGCCGGACGTGGTGGTGTGCACCTGTAGTCTCAGCTACTCAGGAGGCTAAGGCAGGAGAATCGCTTGAACCCAGGAGGCAGAGGTTGCAGTGAGCCGAGACCGCGCCACTATATTCCAGCCTAGGCAACAGAGCAAGACTCTGTCTCAAAAAAAAAAAAAAAAAAAAAGTCTGAGCTGAGAGATTTGTGAGGGTGTCAGACGTCTGTTTTCTGACTGGAGCAGCTGACATCTCTGTTTTGAGGGCCAATGCAGGAGCAGAAGGGCTCCTGCCAAATCAACCCTGGAAGGAGCCAGATTGGCTTAAGCCTAGGCCCCAGAGATCCCATATTGGGTTTGGTGGTGTTAACTTAAAAATCACTAGATCAGCTGGATGAGGTGGCTCATGCCTATAATCCCAGCACTTTGGGTAGTCAAGGCGGGTGGATCACCTGAGGTTAGGAGTTCGAGACCAGCCTGACCAACATGGTGAAACCCCATCTCTACTAAAAATACAAAAATCAGCTGGCGCAGTGGCAGGCATCTGTAATCCCAGCTACTCAGAAGGCTGAGGCAGGAGAATCGCTTGAACCTGGGAAGTGGAGGGTGCAGTGAGCCGAGGTGGTGCCATTGTACTCTGTCTCAAAAAAAAAAAAAAAAAAATCACTAGATCAATAAATTTGAAAAGGAGACTTTATTTCTCTTTTATAAAGGGTTACAACCTGCAGGCTGGCCATCCCACTGGCTAGGAAGCAGAGCCTCCAGCCAAAGCCTTAACAGGCACTTTGAGGGAGGGAGGAGTGAGATAGGAATTTTAGTTGAATGGATTGGTCAACAGGTTACTGGAGGAGCTATGAATATTTACGGAGGGGGTCCTGACATATGCATATCGAACAAACATGCATGTTATATACCATCCATGTTCACCTTGGGGTGGAGACTTAATATTTAAATATATCGCAGTTAGGCCCCATACGTCAAAAAGACAAAAGCACTCAAGTGCGCAGCCTCTGTAAGCTGGCTAGAACCAGTCCATGGCCGATGGTCTTATCAGGAGAAAGTTACTGAGATCAGTCTCTTGTCCCACCAAAGCTATAATTATGGCTTGTGGAACAGGGGCGTAGGGGTCAGCATCTGGCAGTGGGTGAGCTGCAAATTTTTTTCTATTATTTATATTACCACATTATACAAATTGTTTTAATATTGGTTATCTCAAGTCCTGTACTTGTTTAGCTGCTACAGAAAAAGAAAATCCTCGCGGCAGTTAGAGCATAGTCTCTTCTTTAAGTGCAGAGGTGCAAGACTTAACCCTTGCCTGGCATGGCCTTAGATCCTATTTATAATTAGGTATCTTATTGACACAAACAATGCATTCTGTCAGTCTTGTGATCTCTGCTTTGACGTTAATGCTGGTCATTTGTTGTGTCTAAGCTGCAAAAGGGCGTGGGCATAACATGGCATGTTTGACGTCCCTTCCCATCATAGCTGGAAACCCTGTTTTTAAGGTTCCCTGGGGTCCCCTTGGCCAAAAGGGGGTCCATTTAGTTGGTTGGGGGGTGTAGGATTTTATTTTTAGTTTACAGTTGTTAGCCCTGATGTGGACCATTTCCATCCTATCTAGGTTTACCAAGATTCAAAACACGAAGCTGACCATGAAGCGGGACGGCATTGGGTCAGTGCGGTACCAGGTCTTGGAGGTGTCTCGGCAACCACTCTTCACCAATATCACAGTGGACATTGGGCGGCCTCCGTCGTGGCCCCCTCGGGGCTGACACTAATGGACAGAGGCTCTCGGTGCCGAAGATTGCCTGCCAGAGGACTGACCACAGCCTGGCTGGCAGCTGCTCTGTGGAGGACCTCCAGGACTGAGACTGGGCTCTGTTTTCCAAGGGTCTTCACTAGGCCCCCTAGCTACACCTGGAAGTTTCAGAACCCACTTTGGGGGGCCTCCTGCCTGGGCAGGCTCTTCAAGTGTGGCCCTCTTTGGAGTCAACCCTCCTTCCCGACCCCCTCCCCCTAGCCCAGCCCCAGTCACTGTCAGGGTCGGGCCAGCCCCTGCACTGCCTCGCAGAGTGGCCTGGGCTAGGTCACTCCACCTCTCTGTGCCTCAGTTTCCCCCCCTTGAGTCCCCTAGGGCCTGGAAGGGTGGGAGGTATGTCTAGGGGGCAGTGTCTCTTCCAGGGGGAATTCTCAGCTCTTGGGAACCCCCTTGCTCCCAGGGGAGGGGAAACCTTTTTCATTCAACATTGTAGGGGGCAAGCTTTGGTGCGCCCCCTGCTGAGGAGCAGCCCCAGGAGGGGACCAGAGGGGATGCTGTGTCGCTGCCTGGGATCTTGGGGTTGGCCTTTGCATGGGAGGCAGGTGGGGCTTGGATCAGTAAGTCTGGTTCCCGCCTCCCTGTCTGAGAGAGGAGGCAGGAGCCCCAGGGCCGGCTTGTGTTTGTACATTGCACAGAAACTTGTGTGGGTGCTTTAGTAAAAAACGTGAATGGAGCAGCTCCCTTGTCTGTTTGGGGGTGGGGGTCGGGTCCCTGAACGTGGTTACCCTGAGTGTGTTGTGGTGGAAGGGCACTTGGGGAACCTGGCCCAACAAGTAAACCTGACCCGGGCCATCCTGGTTCTCCAAGCGCTGCCACTCCCTAGGCTTTCACTGGCCTTAAGGGGAAGTTTGTCCTTGCACTGCTTCCGGGACAGTGGAGGCGACGAAGTAATAAACCCGTGGACCCAGATTTCTCAGGTCTTAACACGTTCCCTGAGGCCTAAAGGTGCCCAGGGCCGAGCCCAAAGTGCTTGGGTCAGGGCTCGGTGGAGCGCCGAGGTGAGTCTGAACTCCCAGCCGGCACGCGCCGCCCGCCGGACCAAACACGGGAGGGGGCGGGGCCCTAGAGTCGCGGCGTGGTTTCCCGGGTGATGGCCACGCGGAAGAGGTGGGGCTAGGGCCCTGGTTCCCACTGCCTGGTTTCTGGGCCCCCGGCATCCGAGTCGGCCAAAAGCCGGGCAGAAGAGAGCGCCAAGGACTGGCAGTTCCGGAACGGGCAATCCCAGCCGAGGGGACCAGCGGCAGAGCACGGGTGGGGCTTGGGAGAGGGCGGGGCCCATAGAGGGGCGGGGTTTGGTGAGCGTTGCCGGCGGGCCCGCGGTACCTCCCGCACTCTGACCTGCGGCCCGTAGGTCCGAGCCGGGGACGGCGGCGTCGGTGGGTCATGCTCCGGCACTCCCCCTCGCTGTGGGAGCTGGTGGAGGAGCACGTTCCGCTCCGGGAGCGACGCGAAGTGAAGAGGATTCTGGGGGAGGCGGCGGTGGACCTGAGCCTGGAGCTGCGGGCGGAGGTGGGGAGAGGGAAGGTGGGCCACGCCCCTGGCCTGCCCCACGACTCGGGTGATTTCCCACCTCTGCGGGTCCCTGGCCCTGCCGGGTAACTCCCGAGATCCTATCCTGGTCTCCCCTTTGACTCCGCCCTCTCCCTCACTCCCCCAGCCCCCACCATTCCGGACACTCCCCTCCCCAGTCGCAAGGTATCCCAGCTCTCCTTGCAGGTGGCGATGTTACGGGCACTGCTCCAAGAGGCTCGATCCTCTCAAGCCCCCAGCTCCCGCCCCATCTCTGACCCCTCTTCTCTTCTGGCACCACCGCCTCTCCTAAAGGACCTCTTGCGCCAGGAGCTCCGGCAGTTGCTCCAGGGTCTCCGCCACAAAGCCATCTGTGAGGGCAGGTGGGAGCCTCAGGCCTGGGCCCTTTCCCTAGATACCAGGTGGGCTAGCGCTGCCCCTAACAAGGAGCCAGGGTTGCCTTTTCTGTGGTTTCCAGAAAGGAGCCTCTCAGCTTCCTTCCTGTGCACCTTCTGCAGGGACCAGGCCCAAGCTTGGGTCCAGTATAGCCCCAGGGTCCTGCACTTTGCCTTGGAGGAGCCCAGGTGTGATTTGCCAGAACAGGAGATATTCCAGATGAGAGGTGGTGGGCCCAGGTAAGGTGATGGTAGGAGAGAGGGATCTGTCCCTGCTTGGCAGAGGGCCCTAGCCCACTGGTGGGTTGCACCTGGCTCCATGCAGGAGATTCCAGTCACGGGCTGGGCACTTCCACCGCCACTTGTGATAGAGATTATCAGCCCATGAGGGCTACTGAAACCCAGAGGAAACACCTGCCTAGCCTGGGGACAGGCAAAGCTTCCTGGAGAAAGTGGTTTGATCTGCGTGTTGTAGTATGAGGAGCAGTTTTCAGGGAGATGAAAGAGAAGAGCTTTGTAGGAAGAGGGAAGAAAGGAAGCCATGTCCAGCAGGCGGTTGTTCCTCTGGCCTAGAGAACAGGAGTGAGGGCTGGGCTAGGGAGGCAGGGAGAGCTGAAGAGGATGGTCACAAATGGTATTTACAGCTGGGACTGAATGAGATAAAATATTCATAAGTGGATGGCAGCAACTTCTTATTCTAATCCTCACACAGCCTGAGGAGGTGGGCAAAATCTCCATTTTGCACAAGAGGAAATTAAAGGCCGGGCATAGTGGCTCATGCCTGTAATCCCAGCACTTTGGGAGGCTGAGGCGGGAGGATGGCTTGAGGCCAGGAGTTTGAGATCAGCCTGGGCAATACAGGGAGACCCCATCTTTACAAAAAGTGAAAAAAAAAATAGTCAGGTGAGGTGGCGCATGCCTGTATTCCCAGCTACTTGGGAGGCTGAGGTGGGATAATTGCTTGAGCTCAGGAATTCGGGGCTGCAGTGAGCTATGATTGCACCTGTGCACTCCAACCTGGGTGACAAAGACCCTGTCTCTAAGAAAAAAAAAAAAGAAGCCTGGGCAACATAGTGAGACCCCATCTGTGCAAAAAAATTGAACAGGCGTGGTGGCACGCACCTGTAGTCCCAGCTACTCAGGAGGCTGATGTGGGAAGAGCACTTGAGCCCGGGATGTCAAGGCTGCAGTGAGCCAAGATGGTGCTACTGCACTCCAGCCTGGGCAACAGAGCACAATCTTGTCTCAAAAAAAAAAAAAAAAAAGGAAAAGAAACTAAAGCTCAGAAGCGATAAGTGATTTGCCTGAAGTCACACACAATGAAGGGTGGCAGAGCTCATTTGCAAACCTAGGCTCCCAAACTCTTACTCTTTGCACTATATTATATTGCCTTTGTGAGAAAAGAAACAGTTGCCTAGAAGTGATATTTGGGTCCTGAAGGCCTGGGGTGAGCAACATGCGGAGAGTGATAGTGACTTCATTGCCAGCAGCGGTCACAGAGATCTCAGCATCATCAAGGACCAACTGAACGTGTCCAACATTGACCAGGTGGCCAGACACCTGAGGTGAGGCCCAGGGGCACCTGCATGTGTATAGGCAGGGGTGGAGACAAGGATGGATCTTGAGGTGCTGGGATTGTGAGACAGGAGGTGGGTAGTATACTTGGCGGGGAGGCCCATGTGCGTAAGGCTGAGAGGTGGAAAGAGCTGGCTGCTATAGAGCTAGTGAGGTTGCTTTCAGGAAGCAGCCAAGTACAGATGCCACGGCCGAGCATGATGGTGCATGCCTATAATCCCAGCAATTTGGGAGGCCGAGGCAAGAGGGTCATTTGGGCCCAGGAATTCGAAACCAGCTTGGCCAACATGGGAAAACCCCATCTCTACCAAAACAAATACAAAAATTAGCTGGGCGTGGTGGTGCACGCCTGTACCAGTTACTTGGGAGGCTGAGGTGAGAAGGGATTGATTGAGCCCTGGAAGGTAAGGCTACAGTGAGTCATGATGGGTGGCAGAGCAAGACCCTGTTTCTTTCTTTCTTTCTTTCTTTTTTTTTTTTTTTTGAGATGGAGTCTTGTTCTGGCGCCCAGGCTGGAGTGCAGTGGCGTGATCTTGGCTCACTGCAAGCTCCACCTCCCGGGTTCACACCATTCTCCTGCCTAAGCCTCCCGAGTAGCTGGGACTACAGATGCCCACCACCATGCCCAGCTAATTTTTTTGTATTTTTAGTAGAGGCGGGGTTTCACTGTGTTAGCCAGGATGGTCTCGATCTCTTGATCTCATGATCCGCCCATCTCAGCCTCCCAAAGTGCTGGGATTACAGGCATGAGCCACCTCGCCTGGCCGACCCTGTTTCAAAAATAAATACCTTGACACAGGGGTAGCCTGTGTCAGAGGATTTTAAGCAGCGGAAGGGCTGTGATGTGGGGGAAGATGGAGGCAAGAAGAATCACAGTGCAGAAGTGTGGGAGAGAGAAGGATGCCTGCCAGGGTGAGGCAGGCGAGGGGAAGATACTTCCTGCCCAGAAAGAGCCTCACAGGGGCCAGACGTCTATGCTGGGTCAGCCCCCAAGCAGCAGAGGGCAGTGTGGGCTGAGGAAGGACAGGTTGGGTGGGGCTCCTGCTGAGGCTGGAGGTTGGGGCCATGTGGTGGACTCAGCTGAGCCCTGGTCCTGTGTCTCGGGTTCTGGCTGCTGCTCCCTCATGTCCCAGGGGCCTTCTGGAGGAGGAGTGTCACACCTTGGAGAGGGAGATCCTCATCCTGCAGGTGAGCCGCAGCCCTGGGCCCTCCCCCGAGCCTCACTGCTGAGCGTAGACTCTCACCTGGGTGAGACCCATGTACCTGTGTGCATACATAGGTGCATGTACAGGCTATGTGAGTCCTGCATCCATTTCTCAGGGGTGCATGCTTGTGTGCACCTGCAAAATCCTGGAGGCCCAGGATTCTAGTTGAGCCCTTAAGGCCAGGGCCAACCGTTTTAGGTCTTTTGCCTCCTTCCTTTACCTAAGTCTGGGTACAGGCCCCACCACTATCTTGCCAAACTCAGCTCTTCCGCAAGGCTGGTATTCCCTGGGGAACGTGGCTGCCCTCACGGTGGATGGGCTGAAGGGGCTGCACGGGCCTGCCCTGGGGATCTTGGCCTCTGTATCCTGCCTTGCCCCACCCCTGCCTTGAGTCTGGGCACTGACGCAGCTCTCCCTGCAGCGCTGCCTGGAAGAGGAGTATTTGAGGCCTTGCCACCCCTCTGAGGCAGCCCTGGAGCCCACCCTGGCAGGTGAGGACACGGAGCAGGGCCCAGAACACCCAGCCTCCTGCTCCCACCCCACACTTGTACACACCCTAGAAGAGCTGGGCACTGTCTCAGCCCAATCTCTCCTTCAGAGCTAAAGGAACAGAAGAAGGCCATGGAGCAGGAGCTGCAGGCATCTGTGGGGCCTTCTTGTGTCTCTCCCAACCACAGGTAAACCACAACAGTAGACACAGGGCAGGGTGGACTGAAGGATCAGACCACCACCCCTCACAGTTACTCTTTCTTGTCCAGGCAGCGGCCCTTGGGGTCCTCCACACAGGGCCTCAGACCCCCGCTTCCCCTCTGCGGGGTTGCACCTCTCCAGTGCTGCCTGCCTGCACCTCCTCTGGAGCCCTACCTTCGACCTCGAGGCCAGTCGGCTACCCACCGCTGGGGACGGCAGCTTCAGTGCAGCCCCAGGGAAGGGCCAGCTTCCACACCCATGTCCAGTGCAGCACCCCAAGCCCCAGCCTGAAGGGCTGGTCACCGAGTAGGCTCTGGCTTCTGCCACAGCGCACCTGTCTGCCGCTGCCGCCTCAGCTGCTTTGGCCCAGCCAGCTTCAGATCTGGTCTTGGCGAGCTCTCGCCAGGACCCCAAGGCTGTTGGTCTGTCTGGCCCTTGCCCCACCCCCTTGCCAGATCCCTGGTGTCTGGAGCTGAGTGGCCGGGCATCGGTCCCAAGCATCAAAGCCTTTGGCCTTTCTCCTCCCAGGCCTCCACAAAGGCCTGGCAGACAGAGGTCTCATTCCAGCCTGACTCTTGTCCCCTGGGGGACCCAGACAAAGCACAGCAGCCGCTCAGAGACAGGAATAGAAATTTCATTAAAATCTATGGACTTTAAAATCCTAGTGGTGCACAATGGGCAGGGATGGGCGGCGCACCGTTATTGCTACAGAGGATTAGAGGTGGCTTGGCCGGGGCTGTCACTGCACAGAGGACGGACAAATGAACACTTCAGGGATTCAGACACTTCAGAAGGGGCTCCCACTCCAGAGAGGGGAGGGGCATGTGGGCTGGGGCCATTTGGCACATGAACGAGGGCAGCACATTTGGGAAGACTGGGCCTTTAGCCTCATGGAGGGAGGGCAAGGGGGTGTCGTGCAGGGTCCCCTTCCCCAGGGTGCTGGGCTCAAACCTCCTGTGGAGCAGCCCCCACCCCATCCCCCAGAAACAAATGCTTTGGGCAGGCTGCTGGGTCACGGGCCCCTGCTGGCTGGGCCTGACAGCCAGGCCTGGAATGAGGGGCAGAGACCCCGGAGCAGCCCAGTGAGGTGCAAGCAGGCCTGGAAGACAGACTGAACCCGAGGCTGGGGGCGAGGAGGTGGCGACCACAGAGAATACAATGTTTACAAAAATAATTACACAGATAAACAGGGCTGGGCAGCACAGCCTGACAAGTAACACTGGGCAGTCCCCCAGCCCTTCATCCTGCCCCTAGGGAGGAATAGCCAAATGTGCCTGGCAGAGGCTGGGGTCGGCTCTGAGGGCAGGAGCACTAGTCATGGGGCTGGAGGCCCACCCAGAACCTCAGCTCAGGGCAGGGTATAAGGGTATCGGAGGCCACGTAAAGCCATCCAGGCTGCTGGGGACCTGGCCCGAGACCCCTCCAAAGTGCTTTGGACCTCCCAGCAACCCTCCACTCCCACCCCTCCCCCCAGCTGCTATCTTGGCATCCAAAGGACATGTAAACACTGGGGACATGAGCATGAATGACTGCACTAGCAGTGGTGACCAAGGTGACAGCAGCCGTCCTGGCCAGGGCGTGGCAGGGGGCAGGCAGAGACACCTGGCCTCTGCCTCACCAGTCTCTGCGGTGGGAGCACGGGGTGGGGGTGGGGCCACTCCCCTGGCAGCTGTGCTCATATCCGGGAGTCCTGGAGGCGGCTGGAGCCATTACTGCCCACAATGGGGATCTGCGCCTTGTCCGGGTGCAGTGGCTGGACCTCGAAGCCGTCCTCAGGAGAGGGGGCTATGGTGGGGGCGTAGCGCCCTGTCCGGTGCTCCAGGAGGGCAGGGCCCCAGTCTCTGCTTGGCTTTGTGGCATTTTTCAAACGCTGCATGAGGTAGGCATGGGGCACAGGGGCAGGGCACGTCAGGAGGGAGCCCTTAAGCCCCTTCCAGCTGGCCCCTCCCATTTTGCCTGGCTACCCAGCCTGTCCCTGCCCTCACCTGGAGGAGGGTGTCCCCGTCTGTGCGGCAGAGCCGGAACATGGCGTAGAGGGGGATGCAGAGGACGGAGGACAGAGCCATGAGGAAGCCAATGGCCACGGCCCAGCCTGGGTACTGGTAGTGGTTGTAGGTGATCGGCTGGTACTGGATCACAGTGAAAACTAGAATAAACTGCACGGGGCAGGTGTGGGAGTGGGCGTGAGGCCGACCCAGAGCCCAGACCCCAGGCCATCCCTCTACCAGCACCCTTTCCTCTCTGGTTTCCCAAACTAGAAAAGGGCATTTGGGGCAGAACAGGGACAGCTGTCAACATCTGGGCCGTGGAAGAAGCAGGCAGGGCCGGGGGCCGGAGCGCGGTGAGTGGGAAGGCTCTGCGGAAGGGAGAAGTCTGTCTTTGCCACAGTCCTGAACTGGCCAAGCACAGTAGAGCTGCTGCCGCCTTTGGAATCAGTCAGTTCTGCTCGCTATGGCTCCCCATGGCTAACTGAAGTAAGGCCACATCCTGGGCCTTTAGGCTGTCACCTGGCAGTGTGACCTCAAATTGTCTTGCCGGCCACACTACTCCGCCCTCAGTGTTTCAGTCACACCCAGTGTTTCCCACCCACTCTTCATTTATTCTGGGGAATCATCCTCTGCATCTTCCTCTGTCAAACCCTATGTCAGTGCCCTCTCCTTCAAAAAGCCATCCCAGATTTCCTCCATTTCCTTCTGCAGGGCCTCCCCACGGCGTTTTCCACCTGCTTCCCTTAGAGTGACTTGGTTTAACGTTCCCATAGACCTGAGAGCTCCTGGAATTGCATCAACTCTGGGGGTGCAGTGCCCAGTACAGTGCCTGCCACAGTCTCTTGTGTTGATTTGAACTGATTTGTGCAGAGAGGCAGAGGAGGATGGAAAGAGGGTAGGGCAAAGCCCTGCCTGTCTATGGCCGTGGAGACAGGGACATTCAGCCTGGGGAAGCTCCATGGGCTAGAAATGGTGAGTGTCAGGCTGCGGTGCTCTAGGGAACCTCCTTGGAAAGAGATGAGTGAGATTGGAAATAAAACTTGTGGCTGCAGTAACAAAAGGAGTGAAAGGAGGCAGAAACACAGGCAGTGGCTGGCGGGCCACCCAGAGGGCCTGGCGGGGGAAGGGGGGGGGCAGTCCCAGCACCCTCCTCCTGAGCCTCCAGCCACATCCTGGAGCACAGGGCCATATTCTAGAATGCAAGACCCACATCCAAATTGGGGGACCCTCCGGAGACACTGCACACGATGGGAGCTTATAACAGGTTTCCTGAATGGAACAGATCCTGACCTACGTGTGGACAAATCCCTCATTTGAGCTGACAGAAGGGTGGAGTTTGTCAAAAAGAGCTTTTCAGAAATATGAAAAAGGAAAGCCCCCAGAGAAAACACAACAGCCCAGAAAGCCAGGCTGGAGTTACCCCAAGGAGAGGACTCTAGGCTCCCCTAAAGGTAACTCCAGCCTGGCTTCCTGGGCACAGGAAGAGCCCCGCCCGCTGTGCCTCAATCTTGTGGAGACACCAGATCCCAGCCAAGGTTGCCCCTACAGATCCTTCTTGTGCTTGTCTCCTTCCTCCCCACTGCCCTTGGCAGGTGCCCCCTGGTCTCTCCCCAGGACATCAATCTAGTCTGAATGCTGGGAGACCCTCTGAGCCGCAGAGGCTGAGCTCCCCTTGGGCCATAGCCCCAGAAGGCATGGCACTCTGGGGTGGTGGTGCCTGCCCTCCCCTGCCTCCCACCACTGAGACTTCCGTTCCTCCTGTTTCAAAGCTGGGCCAGTGGCCAGAGCGGGGAGCCTGTGCCAGGCTCGGGAACATCCCACAACCTACCGGGTAGAGGCCTCAGCCCTCCACGGGCCTTTATTCAGAAACATGAGCCACAGGGGAAGTCTGGTGCTGAGCCCCCTGTGCCACCGAGGCATTAAACATGACAAGAGTGTGGCTCTGAACACTGGCCGGGCCACTGGGCCAGCCCTCTGACTATCACTCAGAGGTGGCCTTGCCTGTCCTCTGTGGAGTGACCATTACACTGTCAATACCTGCCTTCCCCGAATCCCACCCCAAACAGGAAGGAGCCAAGTCATACGGTTTTGGCCCCTGGACCATTCCTCCCTCCTGCAGAGGTGTTTCTAGTGTGGCGCTGGCCCAGGCTTGGAATTGGACAACCTGATTTGAATTGTGGCTCTGCCTCTTATTAGCTGTGTGACCATGGGCCAATTACTTAACATCCCCATGCCTCAGTTTCCTCATCTGTAAAGTGGGGACAACAATGACACCTTGGAGAGCTCTATCACGGGTTACATGGGAATGGTGTGTGGAAAGTGCCTGCTTCCTTGCCATGGTGGATTCCTTCCACCAATTCAGCTCCCTGATGGGAATTTCTCAGCTGTTGAATATTCATAAAACCTGGAACTCCCCTTCCCAAGCCACCCACCTCACTGCCTGGAAGGCTTGCAAAGTTGCCCCCATGCAGAGCTGACCTCTGACTCCACAGTCTGGTCTACCAGCCTTGGGCTGCTGCTGGAACACTGGTTCCCACCACATAGCCAAGGCCCTGGAACACCCTCCCTGGAGGGATGGGAGATAAGGCCAGCAGGCAGAGGCTGACACGCTATCGATATTGACTCCTGAGTCCCCGGGGGTGCCAGGCAGGAATGCCTGAGCAACGTCTGCAGTCAAATAAAGGCTGTGGCACTCCCCTCCTAACCTGAGGCCAGGGCCCAGGCAGCTCTGAGTCGCCACACGCCTCTCTGACTCTCTCCAACCTCCCTCAGCCTCCCAAAGGCCAGAGTCATGGGTATGGAGCTCCGGCCAGGTGCGGGAGCTCCCACTGTCCCTCCGCTGGGTCCCAAGAGATGGACACATGGCCAAGGGGCAGCGGGGGAAGGGAGGGGCCGGCCAGGGAACTCACGAAGATGATGGCGGGAGAGACGAAGCGCCAGCAGATCTGAAAGAAGAGGGGTGGTGGGAATCCCAGCATCATCTGGATGTCCTGGAAGTAGTTCCGGTGCCCTGGAGAGATGGGGGGTCAGCAGACCCGCAGGACAGAGTGGGCGGGCCAAGGGCCGGGTCGCGGGAGGCCGGAGGCTCGAGTGCTCACCGTAGATGTACATGATGGCCACACACATGATGCAGGAGATGACCACCAAGGAGAAGCTGGCCGCATAGTTGTCCATCAGCAGCAGCCAATAGATGCCTGCCTGGGGAACAGCGGGCAGCTGTGGGAGGCGCCTGCAGCCCGGGCTCCCCAACCCTTCCCTGCACGTCCTGGCAACTCTGGGCCAGCCCTTCCCTTACGCAGCTCTTACCTGGCTGGTGAGGGGGATGCCCAGCAGGAAGCCAGCCACAGCCACGCCCAAGGTCACATAGGTCTTTTTCTGCAGGATCCACTCATTCCCCACCTCATCCACAATGGCTGTGACCAGCGTCTCCAGGAGGCAGAACTGCAGGATGTGGCTGTCAGATCGGAGACCTGCCCCTTGTTCCTGTCCCCTCCCTTCCCCAAGCCTCCGGTCCACGTCCTGCACCTCGTACCTGAGTGCCCAGCCCCAGCAGGATAAGCATGAAGAAGAAGAGCAGAGACCACAGCGGGGAGATGGGAAGTAGTGTGAGGGCCTCGGGGTAAGCCACGAAGGCCAGGCCAGGGCCGTGGTCTGCCACACGGGACACATCCACGCCCAGGTGATTGGCCATGAAGCCGAGGATGGAGAAGATGACGAAGCCAGCATAGACGCTGGTGGCACAGTTGGTGATGCTGATGATGACACTGTCCCTGATGGGGAGGAAAACAGAGTTCAGCTTCCCTCTCCCCAATTTGGGCCAAGAGGAGACATGGAGACACGGAAAGTTCTAGGTACAAAGGCACCCCCAACTCTTTTTTTTTGGAGTGGGAGACAGGGTCTCACTCTGTTGTCCAGGATGGAGTGCAATGGCGCTATCACAGCTAACTGTAGCCTTGACCTCTTGGTCTCAAGCAATCCTCCCACCTCAGCCTCCTAAGTAGCTGGGACTACAGGTGTGTGCCACCACACCCAGCTAATTTTCTTTTTTATGTTTTATAAAGAAAGATGGGGTCTCACTATGCTGCCCAGGCTTGTCTTGAATTCCTGGGCTCAAGTGATCCTCCCGCCTTGGCCTCTCAAAGTGCTGGGATTACGGCGTGAAGCACTGAGCCTGGCCCCCAACTCCTTTTCTGGTCTGTTCTGGGCATTTTTAAGGAGCCTGAGCTGCCTGAGTCCTCACAGACCCCTGGGACATCACTGTCCCTATCTCTCTTCTCTCTCCTGCCTAAACCTCTCTCCTCATTCTCCAACAACTTTATCCAGAACCAGTATTCCCAGAACCTCAAGATCATGAGGGGAAAGGAGGCCTCGTGGGCCCATGGCTGCACTGGAGCTGAGATCAGGCTGCAGAGAGTGCAGGAAGGGGGCAGCCTCAGCCCAGCAGGGAGCACTCACCGGTAACAGTTATTGTGGAACTTGTTGTAGGAAGCCATGGTGATGAGGCCTCCCCACGCGCAGCCCAGTGAGTAGAAGATCTGGGAGGCAGCATCACCCCACACCTGCAGGGAAGGACCGGTGGGTGAGGAGCTGTGGGCAGAGGCAGGCACCTCCCTGGCCCCTCCCCAGCCCCCTTCCGGTTTCCCTCACTTCCCACCTTGGCCTCCAGGATCTTGTCCCACTGCGGGGTTAGGTAGTACATGATGCCGTCAAAGGCTCCCTCCAGGGTCACTCCGCGGACAAACAGAATGGTCAGCACCACGTAGGGGAACGTGGCCGTGAAGTACACCACCTGGCACAAGAGGGCTCCATGGACTCTTCTGGGCTCTCCCCTCCCCTGGGCACCACCACCCTGGCTCCCTAATCACCACCAGCCCCCTGGTCCCTCTCCGGCTCCGGAGTCCCTTCAGCATCCCCTCCCTGCAATACACACATAACCCAGGTAGGGGGCAGGGTCTTTCTGGGTGGGCACAGACCCTGCTGGGGAGGGGTACTTGCTTTCCCTGAAGACTTGACCCCTCGGATGAGGCAGAGGAAGACGACCAACCAGGAGACACCGAGGCAGCCAAGGAGGGGCAGCCGCACCTCCCCAAAGTTCCCAATGTCATCTGACAGCTTCAGCACGTACAGCCTGGGAAGGGGAGACTCTGTCACTGAGGGCCAGCCGCCGCTGCCCAGCAACAAATTCCCAAGGCCCAGGGCCCACCCGGGCTGTACCCTCCTTTGTCATGAGGTCCCAGCAGCCACCTTGTGTGACATGGGAGCTACTTCAGGGGCCCAGCCCTGGCCGGCCCAGTCCCCTCCACCTGCTGCAGCCCCTGGGGAGCCCAACACAGTCCACTGCTCTGCAGCCTTTCCCAGGCCCTTCAAGGGCTCCTGGAGGCCACACCCCAGGCTTGGGTGGTCTTCCTAGTTCCTGGGCGAGGAGATCTCCTTGTCCCCAGTTGGGCTCAGCCCAGGTCCTTGTTTGCACACTTCTCCCTTCAGGAATGCCTTTTCCTCATTCTGTCAGGTGTCACCTCCTCCAGGAAGCCACCAGTGAGCATTTCACGTGCACCAATTAGCTCTATCTCTGATAAATTGAGGGAAGCAGTGGAATGCTCAGTAAAGATTGGACCCTGGCTGGGTGTGGTGGCTCACACCTGTAATCCCAGCACTTTGGGAGGCCGTGGTGGGTGGATCACCTGAAGTCAGGAGTTCAAGACCAGCCTGGCCAATATGGTGAAACCCCGTCTCTACAAAAATTAGCCGGCCATGATGGCGGGTGCCTGTAATCCCAGCTACTCGGGAGGCTGAGGCAGGAGAACTGCTTGAACCCAGGAGGTGGAGGTTGCAGGGAGTGGAGATTGTGCCACTGCACTCTAGCCTGGGCAACAAAGCAAAAGTCCAATCTCAAAAAAAAAAAAAAAAAAAAAAAAGATTGGACCCAAATTTCTCCCCTCTGGGTGGCTCCATCTGGCACCCTATGTCATACCAGCTGTGATCTTTTGATCAATCAGACATTTACGTGCCCGGGCCTGTGCTAAGTGCTGGGCATACAGGCCTGCAGGGGCATCTCCCCAGCCCTCAGGGAAGAGGGCAAAGAACAACTGCTCTACCTCCAGCACCAGCATTCAAAGTAAAGAAACCATTTCTTGTTTGAAGGATTTTTTTTTTTTTTGACACAGTCTTGCTCTGTCACCCAGGCTGGAGTGCATTCGTGCGATCTGGGCTCACTGCAACCTCCGTCTCCCAGGTTCAAGCGATTCTCCTGCCTCAGCCTCCCGAGTAGCTGGGATTACAGGTATGCACCAATACGCTGGGCTAATTTTTGTATTTTTAGGAGAGATGGGGATTTCACCATGTTGGCCAGGCTGGTCTCAAACTCCTGACCTCAGGTGACCCACCTGCCTCAGCCTCCCAAAGTGCTGGGATTACAGGCGTGAGCCACCACGCCTGGCCTGAAGGATTTTTTAATACTTTGTCTAACCATATATGCTAAACAGGTAGTGTTTTATATTATTATTATTGAGACAGGGTCTTGCTCTATAGCCCAGGCTGGAGTGCAATGGCACAATCATGGCTCACTGCAGCCTCGACCTCCCAGTCTCAATCGATCCTCCCACCTCAGCCTCCCGAGTAGATGGGACTACATGTGTGCACCACCATGCCCAACTAATTTTTGTATTTTTTGTAGAGATATGGTATCGCCATATTGCCCAGGCTGGTCTCGAATGCCTGGGCTCAAGCAATCCTCCTGCCTCAGCCTCCCAAAGTGCTGGGATTACAGGCATGAGCCACCGCACCTGGCCTATATTATTTTTGACTGCAAGAATATAGCGTTACAGTGTTAGGGACTGAAGAGTTTAAAAGGCTAGCCTGGAAACCAAATGATGAATTCTAGCTTTATTTTTAGGGCATCATATTCTGTTTTTTGTTTGGTTTTGGTTTTGGACCACATGCTTTTGAGATCAAACAGCCTAAGGACATTTGGAACCCAACGTATTTACAAGTGACCTCTTGACACATGACATCTCCAGAATTACTCTGCGTTGCTTTAAAAATGTCTCCACATGACAAATCTTATTTCCCCGGCCAGGTGGTGAGTGCCTTGAGAACAGGACCCTCAGGAACAGGTCCCACAGGGGCTGTGGTTGTGCTGCCTGAGCTCCTATCAGCAGTCTTAGTGATTTAGGCTGCATTATCTCATTTTGTCTTTAAAACCAGGTAGGTATCACGACTGCCCAATTTCATGGACAAATGACTGTGAACGACCTCCCAAGGCCACAGCTAATATGCGACAGAGCCAGGATTTGGGAGGAGTCTGTGTGACTCCAGAGCTGCCATGAAGACCCTGGGGGACAGGAGCTGGGCCCCACAGGGACCGCAGAGGTGAGAAGGCCTGGTCACGAGTTTAGGACCCAGTAGCAGGTATCAGACCAGCACAGGGGACTGGAAGGCAAGATTGTGAAGAGGGTGGCGAGGGAGGGGAGGACCCTGAGTGAGAAGGGTGAGTGGGTGAGAGGCAGACATGGGCTCAGAAATCTGCCGTTTGAGCTTCTCTCGCTTTAGAGTCTCTTCATCTTACTTTTGATTAGCTTCCCTCATTTGTAAAATGGTGATTTTTAAAATCCCTACACAAGCTACCTAACAGGGTTTTTGTGGCACTCCAGTGAGATCGCGCAGCTGTCCAAAGGGTCATTGGAGAGTGTGGACTAAACACCTGCACAGCCACCCCCACCTAATTCACCCCGGCACACCCAGCAACAGCAGCACCAGACGGGCGCAACACACACAGATTCTGATACAGCGACTGCTGCCTAGCTCCTTAACCTCTAAACGGCAGTTTCTGAGTCTGAAAATATGGATACTAATATCTACTTAGATAACATGCCTGGCACCTAGTAGGTGCTCAACAATAAGGGTGCTTCCTTTCCTCCCTTGCTGAAGCCAGCCTGGGTTGCTCTCTTCAGGGCCATTTCCCTGGATCTCCAGGAGAGGGCAGCAGGGAGCCGTGCTGCCGGGAAGGTATCCCGCATGGGACAGTGGCCAGTTAGGCAGGCCTGGCTCCAGCCCGCGCTGGGGAGTAGAGTGCAGCGGCTCCACCAGCCAGATTTCTTTGAAGGCTCTTCCCCTCTGATTTTACTGGATAAAATCTCTAGAGCTTTGCCCTGGGTGGGCCCAGGGCTGGGAATCTCTGGCAGTCAGTCCCTGGGACAACCACCACTGGAGCATCTGGGGGTGGGGTTGCACAAGGCTTTGTGTTTCTGGGAGCTTCCAGAAAGGTTCATCACCCCAGACTAGATCAAGTTGACCAGTCCACATCATGCCTCAAATGTAATAAAACGCCTCACTCAGCAATATCTGCTCGTTCTCCCATCGGACGGCAGCTCCGTGAGGACAATGTCTGCCTCCCTGCCCTCTCTCCCCTCTGAGAACAGTACCTGGTACCTAGTAGGTGCTCAAGAAATCAGCTGGGTGTGGTGGCTCATGCCTGTAACCCCAGCACTTTGGGAGGCCGAGGTGGGTGGATCACCTGAGGTCAGGAGTTCGAGACCAGCCCGGCCAACATGTTGAAACCCTGTCTCTACTAAAAATACAAAAACAAGCCAGGCGTGGTGGCGGGTGCTTGTAATCCCAGCTACTAGGGAGGCTGAGGCAGGAGAATCGCTTACCCCGGGAGGCAGAGGTTGCAGTGAGCTGAGATCGTGCCACTGCACTCCAGCCTGGGCAACAGAGCGAGATTCTGTCTCAAAAAAAAAAAAAAAAAAAAAAAAGAAATCATCTGTCCATTCAGTTCCAGGTGTATTTTTTAAAAAGAAAATAAATGTTAGGATGTTAAAAATTAAAAAATGAAAGACAAATGAAATGACCTGTCTGGTAACTGAGTGCCTGAGTCTGCCCATGCCCCTCTGGGGGACAGCAACTGTGTTCTCTATGCTCTGGGTCCTTGAGAATAGTGGCCCTGTCTTACCTGTCTTTGAGTGTCTACAGCCCAGCCCAGAGGTTGGCACAGGGAAGCTGAGTCCTTCAGGGTCAGAGTACTTGGACCTGGGTTTAGAGGCCCTGTGGTGACTTGCGGTATCCTCAGACCCTTGTACATTTCAGCCATGGCTTTCCATCACATGTGGAGAAAAGCCTCAAACCCTTAGCCTGGCATGGGAGGCCCTGTGTTATATGATGCCTGCTGGCCTCTTCTGTCTTGTCACTCAGCGTCCCACCTGCTCCCAACCCCAGCTCCAGTTTGCCTCCTTCTGGCCTCTGCTCACCTGCTCATGTGGTTCCCAATCTCTCTACTTTCCTCTCTCCCTTCTCTGGGAAGCTCTGACTGCCTGGTCTTGCCCCATCCCCTTAGCACCAAGCACTACCTCTTTGTGTCTCTGTGACACCCCTGCACATACCTGGACCGAGGCACTTGCCCTACTGTGATTAGCAATCTGTCTCCCCACTGCCCTGTGAGCTCCTCAGGACAGGGGCTCTGGGCTGTTCATACCTACCATGGGGACACAGGGCCTGGCAGAGCAGAGGCGTGAATGTTGTGGAATAAATGGTGGAGGCCTGCCAGCATGCCCCCAAAGCCCTCTGCCCAGGGGTTCCCCAGCAAGACACAGGGAATTTCCAACTGGTGGGTGGAGGGCACAGCAGGATGGCCTGAGACTCTGGTCTCTGTCGCCTCTGAACAAAATGTGCCAGGATGTCTTGATCACGGCACCCCCGGCTCAGAGACCTTCCATGGCGTCTTTTGTTCTGCATCATCAAGTCTAAGCCTAATCCTGGCAAGTTCTTTATGAAGGCAGTGCCACTTCCTAGGCCACCTGAAGCCCATGCATTCTCCCCACACCTGTTACTCTCATCAGAGTAGGCTCCCTTCAGCTTTGGGGCCAGCCTCTGCTCATCTGGGACAGAGCCTTTGCCCACACTCTTCTTCTCCCCAGGATCTGCCCCCCTTTCCCCTGAGTCTCCTCTGAAGGCTGGTTTGCTGGATTTCTGACGGCCTTCCTCACGGCTACTCTGTAAAGATCCTGCAACTCAACATTCCATCTTCCATTGCTTTCTTTCTTTTTTTTTTTTTTTTGAGATGGAGTCTTGCTCTGTCGCCCAGGCTGAAGTGCAGTGGCGCGATCTCAGCTCATTGCAAGCTCTGCCTCCCGGGTTCACGCCATTCTCCTGTGCCTGCCACCACGCCCGGCTAATTCTTTTCTCTTTTTGTATTTTTAGTAGAGACAGGGTTTCACCGTGTTAGCCAGGATGGTCTCGATCTCCTGACCTCGTGATCTGCCCGCCTCGGCCTCCCAAAGTGCTGGGATTACAGGCATGAGCCACCGTGCCCGGCCTCCATCTTCCATTGCTTTCTGTACATCAGGCTCTTCTCCTAAACTCTTCACTCACCTCTACCCTCTCCCAGCCCAGCAGCGGGCTGAACCTGCAGCAGGCACCCTACTTTGTCTTCAGATGGTTGCCCAGTGGGGACAGGGTTGCCACCAGGTTCCCCCCACCCCAGGTCCTGCAGGTGCCTCACCTCCAGTACTCCTCGCTGGGGCTGGTCCTCTGGAGGCTGTGGTTGAGCAGGTGGGAGAGGTTGCTGGGCAAGGCGGCTGGCCGAGAGCCATTGGTGAGGTTGGAGGCGTCCAGTACACCGGCGCAGTCATGCGTGTTCCAGGGGTTATTGCAGTAGGCCCAGGGCAGCACGTGCGTCATGGACGAGAAGAAGTAGTAGAAGGCGATGCAGATGACCACATTGTAGTAGATGCCGATGTAGGTGGACACCACCATCATACCATAGCCCACTCCTGCAGGAGGGGAGGGGTGGGGGGAGGAGCCTCAGCATCCAGCAGGAGGAGGTGAGGTTAATAATTTCTTTTTTTTCTTTTCTTTTCTTTTTTTTTTTTTGAGATGGAGTCTAGCTCTGTTGCCCAGGCTCTGACACCCAGGCTGGAGTGCAGTGGCGGAATCTTGGCTCACTGCAAGCTCCACCTCCTGGGTTCATGCCATTCTCCTGCCTCAACCTACCGAGTAGCTGGGACTACAGGCGCCCACCACCACGCCTGGCTAATTTTTTTGTATTTTTAGTAGAGACGGGGTTTCACTGTGTTAGCCAGGATGGTCTTGATCTCCTGACCTCGTGATCCGCCTGCCTCGGCCTCCCGAAGTGCTGGGATTACAGGCGTGAGCCACCGCGCCCGGCCTTTTTTTTTTTTTTTTTTTTTTTGAGACGGAGTTTTTGCTTTTCTTGCCCAGGCTGGAGTGCAATGGCGCGATCTCGGCTCACTGCAACCTCCGCCTCCCAGGTTCAAGCGATTCTCCTGCCTCAGCCTCCCGAGTAGCTGGGATTAGAGGCATGCGCCACCATATCTGGATAATTTTGTATTTTTAGTAGAGATGGGGTTTCCTTTTTTTTTTTTTTGACATGGAGTCTCCCTCTGTCGCCCAGGCTGGAGTGCTGTGGCATGATCTTGGCTCACTACAAGCTCTGCCTCCCGGGTTCACGCCATTCTCCCGCCTCAGCCCCCAGAGTAGCTAGGACTGCAGGCACCTGCCACCACACCAAGCTAATTTTGTTTTTGTATTTTTAGTAGAGACAGGGTTTCACCGTATTAGCCAGTATGGTCTTGATCTCCTGACCTTGTGATCCGCCTGCCTTGGCCTCCCAAAGTGCTGGGATTACAGGGGTAAGCCACCGCGCCCGGCCAAGATGGGGTTTCTCCATGTTGGTCAGGCTGGTCTCAAACTCCTGACCTCAGGTGATCTGCCTGCCTTGGCCTCCCAAAGTGCTGGGATTACAGGCGTGAGCCACTGTGCCTGGCCCGAGGTTAATAATTTCTAAGGGCCCAAGGGGCAGGCTGAGATGGAGGGCCAAAGGAAGGCCAGGTCAAGGTCTTGGTAGGGGTAAGTTGGCGGGGGGTGGCGCAAAGGAGTTTTGTGTGTACACGTGGTAGGAGGGGAGGGTGGCAGCCAAGTAAACATGGGTCCCAGCATGCATCCATGGCTTAGGCCGTTGATGTGGGGCTTGGGGTCAGCATCAGGGCTCTACAGAGGTCAGCCATGTTTGTACAGATGGGCGAGTTGGCACGGCCCTCAGAGGCCGTTGTGTGTTTGTGTATGTGTGAGCGAGTGCCCCGCCCAGGCCTCACCTTTGAACATGGGGCTGATCCTCCAGACCCCCAGGCACCCCTGGCTTGCAAACTGGCCGAAGGAGAGCTCCATGAAGAAGAGGGGGATCCCGCAGAAGATGAGCATGATGAAGTAGGGGAACATGAAGGCGCCTGGTAGGCAGGGAGAGGTCTGGCTCAGGAGTGGGCTTGGAGGGATCTCACCCTGGGCTTCCTGCTCAGAACTCAACAGCAAAACCTTCGCGATTGGGTAGGACCCAGGGAGGAGTGTGCCAGGCTTGAGCAGGAGCCTGGGCTGAGGCACACCACCCCCAGCCTGTCTTTCAACTTGACAGAGGCTCTCAGGAATTCTGCTTGGAGTGGAATCCAGGTCCCAGAGCCTCCATACTTGGGTGGGATTTGATGGTTTAAACAAGCGATTTCACAAGCATAAGTTGCTGAGATCCTCAACATCCCTGAACCATTTAGGGGGGCTGCTGAACCCCAGGGAATAGAACAGGGAGCCTTGTGGGCGGGGGGGGGGGGGGGTTAGGTCCTTTTCTCACCTCTCCTCACCTCAAAGGGGGCCAACTGGCAGGGCCAGCCCCCAACAACAGACTGCCAGGGTCTGGGGTGGCCTGCCTTAGGCAAAGGGTGCCTAAGCCAGGGATGGGGGCGAAGGAGGCCAGGGCCAGAGGCCAGCCTTTATCTGGAGTGGGTCTGTGCCAGGGAGAGGGTGGCCCAGGCCCTGGTGGGTGGGCTCTACCCAAGTGGGTGGTCCCTGCCCTGTGCCCACTGGGTACCTCCCCCGTTGCGATAGCAGAGGTATGGGAAGCGCCAGACATTGCCCAGGCCCACGGCATAGCCCACGCTCGTCAGTACAAACTCGATCTGGTTGCCCCAGTTGCCCCGTTTGAGGTTCTGGTCCCTCTTGGTGGCCTCGCTGGGCACAGCACCATTCTGTGGGGACAGGAGAGAAGCTACCATCAGCAAGGCATTTGTGCTCCATGCCTGACCCTCTGGGCCTCCCCCAGCAGGGAAACCGTGGCCCCTCCAACACCCCTCCCCGGGCTTCCCCTCTGCTGGCAGGAGCTTCAGGCAGGCCTGGCAAAGGAGGGAAGCAGAGAGTAGTGGCTGCCAGAGGGCGCCAAGCAGAGCTTCCCTCACCAGCCCCACAGCACCCAGTGCCAGGTGCACAGCCCACCTGAGGAGCTGCTACCAGCATCCGGGAGGCGGGACACTGAAGAGGGAGCTAGGGCCAGGAGCCCCCAAGCCCCTCCAAAACCTCCCCTTGCCCCTCTGGGTAAGGATCTGGGAGCAGCTGAGCCTCATACCAAGCAGCCAAGTCAGGCTGGGCACAAAGGGGCCTGTGTCCAGACAGCCCCCCCACCCGTCGCCTACCACATCACCAGGCTGAGCACGCTGCCCCTGGGCAGGCGACTGCGGGGGAGGGGAGGTTAGACCCCTCCCCCAGCTGAAGGCTTCTTCCTGGGGGCACAGAGTGGGCAGGGCTGGGGGGAAATGGGGGAGCAGCTGAGCCGGGACAGACATGGGGAGGGCATTCTGGGACTCTAGGTGGGAGGGTCCGGGGAGCTAGCTACACTGCCCATGGCTGGGGAGGGGCCCTGGGGAGCTGACCTGGGCCATGGCTAGGGAGTGCTGGGCCATGAGTTGGGGAAGGAGACCAGAGTTGTAGGCCCCATGCCAGACTTTGAGGACAGACTCTGCTAGGGAAGTAGAGGGAGTGGCTCCAGAAAAGGGTGGCAGGAAGAAGGATCTCTGAACAGGGAGAAGCGTCACCTGCAGGGGAGGGGGCCGAAGGTCAGGAGAGGCAGATGCGGGGATTTGCCCCAGGGAAGAATGTGGGGCCTGCAGGACTGAGCTGGTGGCCTGGGCCCCACTGAGGACAGCCCCTTGTGGAACCCCAGGCCCAAAAGCTGGAACTGGCTCTGCAAGTCCCTTGGTTAAAGAAGTCCCTTAATAAGTGCCATGCTCCTTCCACCTCCCTCCCACAGTGAGCAGGAAATTAATCAGAGCCCAAGGGCCCCAAGGGGTCTCACTAAGGAGACAGGGGCTCAGTGTCACCAACAGAAACACAGACAGACCTTAGTGCCAGAGACAGCCTCCCAGAGGTGAGCTATTCCCCTGAGAGAAACAGACAGACCTGGCATCAGAGATGGAGCCCCGTAGCCTCAGAGAGATGCCAGTGATGTGACATTCACCCTCCGCTTGAAAGAGACATATTCGACAGCAGTCACTCTGGTCAATAAGCAAGGCAGCCTGGTGCAGGTGAAATGCTATCAGACCCTGATGCTGATGAACAAACACAGACGGAATGAATGGCCTCCCTGGGCCCCAAGCGCCTTGGATAGGCCAGGTGGGAATGTGGGCAAAGGAGGCACCAAGGCCTGATGGGTGGGCACTGCAGCACAGACACCTTTGTGGGGCAGCCACCCTGTGCTCTCAATCCAGCATCGACCCTGCCGAGATGTGATCCTCACACCCTCCACAGAGGGCAGGGGTGCAGTGCCAGGGACCATGGGTTTCCTTCAAGGAGCACCCAGAGCAAATCAGTGGCTGAACAAGCCTTCTTTCATTCATTCATTGATTCATTCATGCAATGGCAGATTTATTGACACTGGCTATGTGCCAGGCACTGTGCCAGGAAGTGGGACTTCAGCAGAGAGCTCCTACCCATTCGGAGCTGGAAATCTAGTGGGGGTGCAATGAAATGTATACACCCATCATCTTTAGATGTGGCTTCAGGGTGACCACAGAGGGGATCATCTCAAAATCACAAGAGTATGGAAGGAGGACAAGGCAGGAAAGCAGGGCTGAGGTCAAGGAAGGTCTCCCTGATGAAGAGGCTTGAAGACATGCTTGGCCCTGGTAGAGGGTGCCCCCCGGCCTGAGTGTGCCCTCTGTGACATGCCCCTACAGAATCCTGTCTGAGCATGTCACCACCTCCTGGGGCCTTCACTGGGGCAGGTGTGGCAAGATCACAGAGTCAAGGGCCCATTTTTTGGAGGGTGTGAGGCCTGCTGGGGGTGGTCTATCTGGTCCCAAACAAATGCCAGCCAAATAGGGCTCCTATATGTTGACCCTACAATACCAGTTTTATTCTGTCCCAGGGTTGTTTACTTAGGGGCACAATGCCTGATTGTGCCAGCAGCACAGTACACGGATGGGGTCACAGAGCAGCAGTTACAGCTGTAAAAGGGACAACTGATGGTCCAGGATGGACCCATGGGCAGGGTAAGGGCAAGGCCCTTTGCAGAGATCCAGGTTCCCAAGGCTTGAAGATCAAGGCCTGTCTCCTGTTCCCAGCAGGATGAGGGACAGATGCCCCATACCCCCTGACCAAGTGGGACCACATTTGGATCCCTGAAGTCTGCTCCTTCCCTGGCAGGGGGAGGTACGGGGAAGGTGGTGATGCTTCCAGCCACGTGCCACAGACAGCCGCCTGCCTGAGCCCTCAAGAGCCAGCCACTGCTCCGTTAATGAGCCGTGTGCTAACCAGCTTAGCCGTGCGGGCTGTAACCCAGGGAGGCCACAGCCCCCGCGACAGGGCTGAACCGGGGTTGGCGACGGGGCTCTGGCAGGAAGTTTCTGACAACACTAAAGGTCTGCTGTATGCAGAGGATCCTTGCAGAAGCAGCACCCACTTCTGCTTGGGCCTGGGTCCCAGCACTGTGGCGCTCGACCACGGGAATCTGGCCCAGGCTTGGCCTCTGTCTTCAACTCCAGGGCTGTCTACGCTCAGGTGGCTTGGCTGGGGAGGGCTGAGCTCTCAGCGGACGACAGAGCAGGCCTACCTTTCTCCAAGCAAACTGGAGGAAAGACTCTCCAAAAAAAAATCCAGGCACTTTCTGGGTGTTCTAGTTCCCTTCCTTGTCCAGATCTCCTCTGGGGACCACCCTCTGACTTCCCTCCTGAGCAGCTAAATCTTTTTCAATACTGTATGGCTTTTTTTCTCCCTCCTTGCATAATCTTTCCTATTCTAAGCCTCTAGTTTTTCTTGATCTGCTGGGTGGACGGCTGTGTCACTGATATGAACTGTCCCTGCAGTGGTCATCAGCTGAGGTACCCACGGAAAAATCCCTTTGTGCTCACGATTTGACTCAGACTGGCTGCCCGTCTGCCTGAGCCAGCTCAGCCCCATGGATGGGCTCTGCTCCAGGCTTCTCCTAACCCCCACCACCATCACCACCATCTGCCCCCCTCTGCTCACCCTCACTCACTTGCTGACATCTCAGTGGGGAATTAAACCATAGCGGCATGGTTCCCTCTGGCTTGGCCCCCTCTTCTGCAGGCTCCCTAGGCAGCCCCTATGTGCCCTGTCACCCTTCCTGGCAGCTCTGAGAGGCCACTGCCAGGACAAAGCAGCCTCCACTTGCCACTGCCATGGGCTCAGCAGGTGGTCTCCAGGACAGGACTACCCTGCCCTGTCCCCAAGCTCTCCCAGCCATGGAAGGAATGGAGGCTTTCCTTCCATGGCGGGGTGGGGTGAGCTGGCTGACACATATACACCCATACACACACACACACACCCCTCAGATGTTCCCTTACCCTTAGAACCAGTCATTGAGACAGGAGTGTCCACCCTGGCACAAGGACTTATGATCTTTCCTGGTTTAACAGCCTCCCACCCCTTCCCTGCCTAGCTGGGAGAGCCACACTGAGCAAAGTCACTTACATAAGTCCTTTACACAGCCCTCTGCTTGGCTTATTTACTGCTCTGGCTGAGCCCCTGGAATTAAGGCTGCTCAGCTCCGAGGGCAGAATCCAGATCTCCCACTCAGCCCTGGGCTTGGCAGAGGCGGGACACCGGTGCAGGTGAGAGCCCTGGTGCTCTAGGGCCCGCTCCTCCAGTAGAGCCCTGGGCAAGCCACTTCCACTCTTGGTATCTCAGCACTGCTGTCTACAAAAGCAGGGGACAGACTAGATAACCTCACTATCAGACAAGATCGGGTGCGTTCAGGATGGTATGGCCATAGACTAGATAACCTCACTTTCAATCGATCTGCCAGATTCCCAGGCTAGATAGCCTCTGTAGCTACTCATATTCCATAGCTCTCCCTCACCTGGAATTTTGCTATTTCTGACTTTCCCCTGTACATTCCATTAGTTCCCACTAGCTTTCTAGATTACTAAAAACAATTTTGCCCTTTTTTTTCCTGATTATAAAAGCATAATAAGCTATCACACACAAAAAAATTAGAAAATACAGAAAAAGGTAAAGAGGAAATGCAGCAACAAAGCCTACTCCCAGAGCGAACCGGGCCAGCCCCAGGATGCACTCCTGCCTTTTGCTGTTGCACAGACTCAGGGAGCCCAGCTCTCCACCCTGGACGGTGACTGTGCTCTGGTGTGACACTCCCGCCTCCTAGATCAGTGGCCAGTGGATATTTTTGTGAATTGTGAGCTTCCCCCTCCTGCTCTGGGTGGACACTGAGGAATCCTGGAGCTGCCCTGGATGGGCGGGCCCCTCTGGGACCCAGCAGGCTTTGTGTTTAGGACTCTCCAGCCCCAGGGTTTGCTCATGGGATGAAGTCCCATCCAAGACAAACTTTATGGAGGAGAATGGGCAAGACCTCACATCCCAGACTGACTTTGAGCCAAATCAGATCACTGGCAACTTTCTCTAAGCCCCAATGGGGAATCTAGACAGAACAGCCATTACAGTAAATTGTGGCTGCCTCAGAAGACCCCACGACCTCCTTCCGGCCAGGCACCCCTCAGTTTTTGTTCTCTCCTATCAGTGCAGGGCCCAGCCTGGCCCACAGGCAGCACCTACCCTGCAATGACAGAATCTTCTGTCCTTCACCTACATGGCACTGAGTAGGGGCAGAGAGACCCAGCTGCAGCTCTGATCTCTGGCCTCAGTTACCTGGATATGGGAGAGTCTGGGGCCGGGGTGGAGGGGCAGAACATGGGAAAATCTCCCCCGGGCCGAGCAGCCCCCAGTGGCCATTCATGCCTCCTGCCTCAAGGCAAACCTCAGAGCCATCTCTGGGCACCTCTCAGGACTCCAGGTGCCTTCAGAGTCCAGGCCTTCATATAGCAGATGAGAGAGGCAAGAATACGCCTTGTGCTTATCCATTGCAGAGCCCTGACTGGCAGCAAGGGACCTGCCAATATTGTGGGCTGCAGACAGATGACTGGCACCCCCAGGCATGCCGGGCTCCACTCCAGGCCCTGGGGTGAGTGATGGAGGACCCTGGGTGGACCCTGGCCAGCTCCTCGCTTCCCACCCCAGACAAGCCCAGGAGGGAAGACTGGAGGCAATGGTCATGTCCTGTGCTGCAGCGGCTGGGGGCGGCGTCTACCCTCACTGGCTAGCAGCAGGCAGGCACTCTGGAAAGTGGCTTTGGTTCTTGACCCTAGCAGTACTGAGGCTTGAGGGCAGCCCTGCGTACTGTTCCTCCCAGACCCATCCCACATCGCCTCAGAGGACATTCCCTCTCTTGCCTTTTGAAGGTCAAGTCAGGATGTCCTACAGGGGAGAAGTGTAGCTTTCGAGTCTCCTCACCCTCGCTGCCATCCGCTGACATCTCCACCCGTCCCCGGCGTCCAGGGATGAGGACACACCGGCTCCCAGCCCATGCGGGCACTTGCCCTGGACCCTGGAAAATGTTCTGTGGGGTCTCTCTCTTCCCAGCTGAGACTCTTGCCCCATCCCCTTCCCCCACCCCTTGCCACTGAAACCATGTACCACGTTCCCCTGCCCCCTCACCCACTCTTCCCATAGGAGTAACTGCCGTGGCACAGACAATGAGGCTGTATTGATTAGTACAATTCCTGGGCACCTCCGGCCCGTCTCCCCGGGAGCTAGGACAATGCAGCTTTGATACACAGAGCAGATTCTCAGCAGGTCCTTGGGCTGGGGGAGCCCTCACACCCCCACTCTCCTCCCCCTCACCCCCACCACACAGCTAACTCTTCCTACACTCCTTTGCACAGTTGCAACTTTCTGGGTCACTTTGGCTGGTGTCTGTCTTGCTTGCTGGCTGTGCCTGCCCCTCCCTGGCACAGACCACTCAGCCCCTCTCCCCATCCGCAGCCCAGCCTCTCAGCCTGCCTGGCACCAAGGAGGGGGCTCAACTTCCTGGAAGGTGACTGACCTGTTCTGGGGAAGAGGGGGCCACAGGTCCATGAGCCGCGGCCATCCTGGGGCGAGCGATCGCAGCCCGCGTGTCTCCGCCGCTCATTCACACCTCTGCCAGCTCCAGCGCGACACTGACGCATCCCCTGCCTCTCCCACTGCCGGGCTGGGCAGCGTCAATTACTTTCACCTCATCTCCTCCCGAAGCTCTGCCTACCCGCTCCCCTGGCCCTGCCCCTCCGGCCAGTCCCCATGCAGCCCAGCACGGGTGCTCCGGAGCTGGAGTGGGGTGTGTGGGGTTTGTTGTGTTTTTCCCTTGTTCCCAGCAAGTAACTGGAACAACACACACACACACACACACACACACACACACACACACACAGACTGGGGCAGAGCAGGCGAGAGGGTGGCTCACTCCCCCCACGGAGCTGACCAGACGCTGTCTGAGCCCACAGGCCTAGCACTGGGTGGGCTCCTGCTAGGGTAGTTGGGTGTCTGATGAGTGACGGGGTCTGCCCCATTGGGCCCTGGATGGTGACCGGCAGGAGGATGGAAGGCACAGTCCACAGGGCACCACCAGAGCAGCTCAGGCTCCACGGAGGGGTGCGGGCTGGGAGAAACCAAGCCCTAGGGCTGTACCTGACACCCCCCACCAACCAGAGATGGGGACTCCCAAACTGCCAGGGTGATGGGGCGTCTTCCTAGGAGAATGCAACTGACCATGCAAGAAAGCCCTGGCCTAGTGAACCACGCTGTCAGCTGTCTGGACAAAGATGGCATTAGCCAAGGGGGCAAGTCATCCCAGAGTCCAGACAAAGGGGGACTGTGGAATAAGAACCCGTGAGGATTTGCACCGTGATGCCCAGAAGCTGAGGTGCTAGTCTGGGAGTGTGCGTGGCGTGGGCTGGTAGGTCCAGTGGTGTCGTCACCATGACTATAGTCACCACTACTGTAGTGGGATGCCACTCAGACCCATCCAGTCCCTTTCTCTGAGGCCACACACACTGGCCAGTCTCCTGCTGACCCCAAGATACCTCAGACCAGTGGCTCGGAAGGTGGGCATATGCATTCCGGTGCCAGGAATGTGTCAGGCCCTTTGGAAACTGGTCAGTCAGCAGAAGGCCTGGCTTACCACAGGACCTCAGGAAATATCAGTCAGATGGACACGTGCATGAATTCTGGTGTAAGAACAGCTTTCCTGTGAGTTTGGTGAGTGTGGCAACCCCGTAGGGAACATAAGGAGTTTTGTCAAGCACAGGATGACATTAAAAATTTAAAAACAGGGCCAGGTACGGTGGCTCACGCCTGTAATCCCAGCACTTTGGGAGGCTGAGGAGGGCAGATCACAAGGTCAGGAGTTTGAGACCAACCTGACCAACATGGTGAGACCAACCCCATCTCTACTAAAAATACAAAATTAGCTGGGCGTGGTGGCACATGCCTGTAATCCCAGCTACTCGGGAGGCTGAGGCGGGAGAATCGCTTGAACCCGGGAGGTGGAGGTTGCAGTGAGCCGAGATCGCGCCATTGCATTCCAGCCTGGGCAGCAAGAGCAAAACTCTCTCTCTAAAATAATAATAATAATAATAATAATAATAATAATAATAATAAATAAAAATAAAAAGACAGGTGGGGCACAGTGGCTTAGGCCTGTAATGCCAGTGCTTTGGGAAGCCAAGGCAGGAGGGTCGCTTGAGGTCAGGAGTTCATGACCAGCCTGGGCAACATAGTGAGACCGTGTCTCTACAAAAAACTGGCAAGGTGTGGTGGTGTGTACCTATAGTCCCAGCTACTCAGGAGACTGAGGAGGGAGTTTTGCTTGAGCCCAGACGTTGGAAGTTGTAGTGAGCTATGATCACACCACTGCACTCCAAACTGGGTGACAAAGTGAGACCTTGTTTCAAAAAATTAATAAAAAATAAATTTTAAAATAAGATAAAAAGTCACAGCCTTTAGAGTTTGACAGTCCTGGGTTCAAACCCTAGCTTTGTCAGTTTCTCACCATATATAACCTTAGGCAAGTCCATTAACATGTCGGATCTCAGTTTCTCCATCTCTAAAACGGGGAAACCACCCACCAATCATTGAATCTAGTGAGCATTAGTAATAATGGTAATAGAAAATACATAGTAAGTGCTTGCTGTGGGCCAGGCACTGTCCTGGCTCAGCATACATGGGACGCTTGCTTCACAGACAGCCCATCACCCTGTGGGCACTCACCTAGTATGGTACAAGTTAACTTCCCATATCTTAACTCATTGGGTCCTCCCAGCTGTCCCATGAGGTAGGTCCATTATTATCTCCATGTTGGTTTGGGGAAGATGGGGACAGGCCTTGGCTCAAGCAAGTGTCCTAAGGATGGCCTCAGATCCTACCGACTCAGCTGCTCACTGAGCCAGCCTCATGCGCCTGGTCCCCAGACACACTCCCCTGACTTCCCATGGGCGCAGACTGAGGGCCAAGGCGCTGGCTGGGCCACTGGCTCCAGGAAGGTCCCGTCACCCATGATGCCCAAATGCTCACTTGCACCGAGGGTGGGCTCTGGGCTCTGGCTGCCCTGGCCTGGGCCGGGTGCCCAGAACAGGCAGCCATGGCTGGACGGCTTTCCCTGGCTCTGGCCATGGGGACAGGAGGCGGCAGCAGCCCAGCTGGGCCCTGGCCGTAATGAGGCCTCATTAGCGAGATCCAGCTGCTCTAGCCCCACTTAGGGATGCTGACTCCCCCAGCTCCCGCCTCTGACTTTGCCTAATAAGAGTGGGCATGCTTCCAGAGGGGCAAGGAGGCTAGGGTCTTTGTTGTCCCCTGTGACTCTGGAGGGAAGGTCCCGCTGAGCTGGGACTGAGAAGTGCCGGGGATGGGGGAGGGCTGCAGGGAGGCTGTGTGGGAGGCCGGGCTACAGGGTTGAGTAGGTGGGCTAGACAGGAAGTGGGGAGGGGGAGGGAGGGCAGGGCCCCCGACCAGAGAGGAAGCTGAGGAAGGCTGGAACTTTTCCTCTGGATCTAGATATTGCCCATTTCACGGAGGATGGGGTAGCTGCTAATCTAGGATCAGCGGAAGGTCATTGCTTAGGCTGTCCTGGCTAGAAGAGCACCTCCACTGTACTAGGCCTTATCTAAGGAGAATGCCCACTGTGTGCCAGGCCCTGAGCCGGGATAGCACTTACTGGATGTCAAATCTTGTGCTGGAAGCACCTGCTGTGTGTGAGAACCTGCATCAGCAGAGTGCCCACCGTGTGCCAAATCCGATGCTGATCAGCAGAGTGCCTCTTGTGTGCCAAGTCCGATGCTGAGACAGCACTCATTGTGTGTCAGCCCCAGGTGGGGAGCCCCTGTGGTGTGCTAGGTCCTGTACTAGGGGAGTACCCCGGGTATGTCGAATTCTGTGCCAGGTAAGGACCCAATGTGCGCCCAGCTCTGAGCTGGGTGAGCACCCACTGTGTACCTGGCAGTGTGCTAGATGAATGCCTACAGGGTGACAGGCTGTCTTCTAAGGGAGTGTTTAATGTGTGCCAAGTCTGCACTAGTTGAGCATTTGCCACACGCTAAGACTTCGGTTAGGTGAGTGCCCAGGCAGGGACAGGCCCTCTACCAAGGGAGTGTCCAAGGTGTGCCAAACCCTGTGCTTGGTGACCTCCCAATAATGCACCAAGCCTGCACTAGTTGAGCTCTTGCTACATGCCAACACTTGGGCTGGGTGAGTCCCCACTATGTGCCAGGTCCTATGACGGATGCTACAGACAGGAGGTGCCCAAACCCTCAGGGAAAAACATATGAGAACGCGTCAGGGTGGGGCAGCCCCTGGCGGCCTGTGGTGCTTGCAAGGCCTCCTTGGATTTGGACACTCTGGCACCCAGAACCCTAATCCAAATGAGTCTGTTCCTGTTCATTGTAAGGCTTCCCAGTGGCAGAAACAATCAGTGTGCTCAGACATGGGAAGAGGTCAACAAAGCTCACCAAGGCCTGAACTGCCCAAGACTCTGCATGAGTGGGCAGTGGCACTAGGGAGGGGACTGAGGTGGCCAGCCTGGGAAATGGTGTGACATTGGTGGGTGGAGGATTAAAACTGAGCTAGTGGGGGCTCTCTTGCCTCCTGTCCTGGGTCCCTCTCCTCCAGCCCCTTGTCCTTTGAGACCTAGGTGGCCCTGCTCCGCACGTGTATGAGGCCCTAGGTCTCCACGGGAGGACCACCCCACCCACCCCCTAGTGCCCCCAAGCATCCCAGCTGCTCCCAGGCTTGGAGGCACCCTGGCCAGCTGGGTTCTCGCACAGCCCTGTCCTAGGAGCTGCTGAGGCGTGAGGGAGGCAGCTGAGCTGGCCTGGCAGAGACCATCTGGGCTGGAGTGAGGGAGGGACACGTGCAGCAGGCATGTGGGCCTGGGCACGTGCTGGTAAGCTGCTTGTTACCCATGGGGCACTGGCTGTAGCATCCAGCAGAAGCTCCAAGGATAACACAGGGTGTCTGCCGACACTGAAGAGACTTGGAGGGCCAGTGTCCTCACACCCAAACCTGGGTAAAGGGGGATAGAAGTGAGGATCCCATGGTAGGGGCCAGTGCCTGCTCCATGCATGCCAGGGCACAAATAGAGCAGCAGAAGCCACGGAGAACTGGGATGGTCCAAGTGCATGGCTCACACACACGCCCCTTAACATCCTCTCTTCTGATCTACCAGGGTATCCAAAGAAGAACCCTGTCAGAATGAAGCTTCCTTAGTTACTAGCCATAGGAAGACACAGAAGACACAAATGTGCTGACTGGGCTGCCTGTGTTAGAAGAGACGGGGCTCAGCAGGGACCAGCTGCCCTATGCACCTCAGAGGCTGTGTCTAGAGACAAGCACTGAATGGAGGTGGCTTCAGTCCCAAACTGGAACCCAAGAATAGAGTGGAGTACTCCAAGGTCATCAGCAGAACTGAAAAGGAAGCAGGAATAGAATCTCCAAGCAACCACTGGGGGTGCCCATGGGACAGATGCTATGGGCCTCAAACGCAGCAACAGTGGGCAAAAGCCAAAGGGCAGAGAGCGGGGAGGAGAGCGAGCCCCAGCTATCTTTAGGCACATCCTGGTGCTGGGAACAGGAGTCCCAAGGCAGCATTCCCATCCATAGACAGGCTGGCCGGGCCGACCGGCAGAGCACAGTCCGGGAAGCTCAGCTCAGGCAGGGACTCTGGGACACTGGGAGCCATGCCCTCTGTGCTGCTCACATCTCTCCTGCCTGCCCTCCTCCCAGTCCTTCCAGGTCACTCCAGAGAAGAAAGAGCAACCAGGGAGGACTCAGAGGTTTCATGGGGCTCAGAATCTCCATGGTAGGAAGGGGCAGGGCCACACCCCGCTTCTTATCACAAGCCCATGGCAATTCCAAGACTTCTCCAGGAAAGGTGGGGCCATGTTTGGGTTCTCAGATGGGATTCACCCCTAGCAAGTGTTCAGGTCATAAGATCTCCATCTGGGCCCATTTCTGAGCACCCAGATTTCAGGAATCTCAGGAATACTTTCAGGAGCTTGGTTCAATCAGACTTGCTCCAATCAGTCAATCAGTAGGGGGCTAGACCAGAGCTGGCCTGAGGGTTGGGGCCAGGGGTTGGATGCTGGAGGTTCAGAACAGGGCCAGATAGAAGATCCTGAGCTTGGAGCAGAACCACCGGTTCTCTCCCACAAACTGCTGTTTTTTAATTTTTCTTTCTTTCTTTCTTTCTTTCTTTTTTTTTTTTTTGAGACAGAGCCCTGCTCTATTGCCCAGGCTGGAGTGCAGTGGCGCTTGCCTCACTGCAACCCGGGTTCAAGTGATTTTCGTGCCACAGCCTCCCAAGTAGCTGGGATTACAGGTGCGCACCACCACATCTGGCTAATTTTTGTATTTTTAGTAGAGACAAGGTTTCACCATGTTGGTCAGGCTGGTCTCAAACTCCTGATCTCAAGTGATCTGCCCTCCTCAGCCTCCCAAAGTGCTGGGATTACAGGCGTGAGCCACCCTGCCCAGCCCAAGTTGTTCTTTTAAACCAGGTACTTTGAGTCCCAGAAATCTTTGGTGAGAGACAGGGCTCGTTTGGGGAGGGCTCAGTAGAGACACCAGGCCAATGACTCTTTCACTAAATGAGAAAAGCAACACAGGGGATTGAAAGGATGGGAGCTGCTGAGGGAGGGACTGTCCATGCTCAGTCCCAGGTCCCCACCCCCGGCAGCCGTCCAGTCTAGCCTGTCCCCAGGGAAGATCTCAAGAGAAGGAAGACAACCATTGCCTCTGGGACAGGATTTGGCATCATTTTCTTGGTTCTTGCTTCTGGTGCTGACCTGGTCCATCCATCAGCGAGTCTTGCTCCTTCAAGAACCTCACCCAGGCCGGGTGCGGTGGCTCACACCTGTAATCTCAGCACTTTGGAAGGCCGAGGCGTGTGGATCACCTAAGGTCAGGAGTTTGAGACCAGCCTGGCCAACATGGTGAAACCCCGTCTCTACTAAAAATACAAAATTAGCTAGGCATGGTGGCTCATGCCTGTAACCCCAGCTATTTGGGAGGCTGAGGCATGAGAATCGCTTGAACCCGGCAGGGGCAGAGGTTGCAGTGAGCTGAGATCACGCCACTGCACTCTAGCCTGGGCAACAGAGTGAGACTTAGTCTCAAAAAAATTAAAAAAAATAAAAAGAATCTCATCCACCCCTCTGTGTCTCGTGGCCTCACCACTACCTCTCCCGTGTCTCGTGGCCTCACCACTACCTCTCCTGTGCTCTAAGGCTGAGGGCAAAGAAGAGCCAGGACTTGGGGAAAGGGTGGAGGGACATTTTCTGGGAGGCCTCAGGAGAGGATTCAAAACAAAATGTTCTTTGTTACTTTTCAGACTGAGAAGGACCCAAAGAAGTGGAGAAAAACCAGGCAGGGTCTGAGGGAGGACCCCTTGATCAGCACAGACTGAAGGCGCCTGCACAGCCCCGCGTCCACTGTCCTCTCAGCATATGAGTGGCCTCCTTCTGTCTGGAGCACCTCTGTGACAAGGATGGGGCCCACACCTCCTGCCTTCTGGCAGGTCTTTGCGGGCTCTGCGGGCTTGGAGCCTGATGCTCTCTGACCTGCTAGATGAGGGGCTACCTGCCCAGGCCGGGGTCAGCTGGGCACTCAGGAGCCCTGGCAGTGCCGGCCTTCCTAAGCCTTCCAAGCAGCTGGCAGGAGGTCCTGGGGGCAGGGCTTGGGACTCCCGTTCCTTCCCGCAGTCTGGCCTCTGTACTCACCAGCATCCCTTTGGCACCTTTTCCTACCATGGCGGCGGTGGGTTGGGGCTCTGGTGACGGGGACCACACTCACAGGCTCTGCTTCCAGCGCCTTTCAGGCCACAGATCTCAAGAGCTGTGGAGAGAGCAGAGGGTGAGGTGAGGACTTGGCCGTGTGGCCCACAGGGCTCTCCAGACAGGTAGTGCCGAGCCACCCACCACCAGCCTGCCCAGGCCCTCTGCCAGGCCATGTCCATATCCTGCTCCTTTCTGGAAGACCCTCAGATCCAGCTCCTTCCCAGTCCCCCCAACCTTTCCCCTGGATCTCTTGATCTCCAGGCTTCCTGTCCCAATGGGCAAAGGTCTATTTTTGACTTTCCAGATGCCCAATCCTATAAAAGATAAAAAATGAATACCAAACTGGGATGGAGTCCAATTCCTTCATGGTCTGTGTGAATGGCTTCAGCCTTTCCCCAGGAGGGGAATCAGCTCAGATCAGCACACTCTCCCCATCCTCACCCCAGCCAGGCAGCCAGGATGGTCCTTTCCTATCTGGGTGGCACTCAGTGTGGGCTCCAGGGCAGCTGGGTTTGTTGTCATGTCATTCACTTGAACCGAGTTCTGGGCCTGCCACACACCCATGTGCAGCCGCACCTCCTTGCACTCCCAGCTGTCCCCTCCACAGCAGTTCACCAGGTGAAATTCTACAAATCTTCGGCACTGCACCGGGCTAAATGTCACCTCTTCTCTGCAGCCTTTTCTGACCCTCTCTCTCAAAAGAATGAAAAAGTTGCTTCCTCCTTTCTGTTTTGTGCAAATCTCTACGAGTACTCTTATTTCATATGACACTTATTTGCTTATAAGTTCGTCAACTATGAGTCAGTGAGTTCCCCGAGGGCTTGGGACTGTGTTTCTTTTACCCTCTGTGCCCAGCATGTAGCACAGCACTGGACTTGCAAGATGTGTTTGTTATTTGAATTGAAATGGAGGGAAATAGCGAAGTCGGGACCTCTGAAATGAGGGGTCCAGGCCAGCCCAGGATCTTGTGGGAAGCATGAGTGGCAAGGTGGGGCTGGCGAGCTGGGGGGCAGCAGCCACGTGGAAGGAACAGTCTCATGGCAATGCTGGTGCACACTGGATTAATGTCAGATGGGACGGAAGAAAGGTTAGTTTTTGACAGGCCTCGGGAGAAATCCATCTTCAGACAGCCTTAAAGAGTTGCCTCATTGCACTCCAGCCTGGGCGACAGAGCAAGGTTCCGTCTCAAAAAAAAAAAAAAAAAAGTTATCTTGGCCAGACGTGGTGGCTCACACCTGTAATCCCAGCACTTTAGGAGGCCAAGGCAGGTGGATTACCTGAGCTCAGGAGTTTGAGACCATCCTGGCCAACATGGTGAAACCCTGTCTCTACTAAAATTACAAAAATTAGCTGGGCATGGTGGCAGGTGCCTGTAATCCCAGCTACTCGGGAGGCTGAGGCAGAAGAATCGCTGGAACCTGGGAGGCAGAGGTTGCAGTGAGCCGAGATTGCGCGACTGCACTCTAGCTTGGGTGACAGAGCAAGACTCCGTCTCAAAAAAAAAAAAAAAGAATTGACTCATGGGAGGAAACCCCAGGAAGGATTCGGCTCTGCCTTTCTGGAGCCTTTCTTGCCTTCCCAGGGAGTCAACTCTGTTCCCAAGGCTACTCTGGGCAACTCTGCCCCACCCACAGCCACCTGTCAAGGGCCCCTTCTCACCTACAAATGCAGGAAGTCTCTGGAAGGCTGGAGGAGAGATGAGGAGGCTGCTCTTTGCCTATGCAAATCAGGCCTTGGCATTTTTAGGCCCTTTGCCCTGGCTGCCTGGTCTCCTGCAGAGCTTCTCTTCAGGGCAGGGTGGGGACAAGATGTGACCCAGGCTGGCCTGTGGCTCAACTTGTCCTCCTAAAGAGGTTCCTGCTCATGGCTTTGGTCTTCTGGGGGCAAGTAGGGGAAGCGCGGGTGTGCTCCCTTAAAAGTAGATCACACCTTGTCCTCTCTCACCCCTGTGCCTCCCTCTCCAGGTGTAAACTCTATATTTGACTTCCTTAAAGCCATCTGTCTGCAGTCAAGGACTAATAATGACAATGATGATAGTAATAACAGCAGATGGCATTAGAAAGAGCCATGTCAGCTGGAAGCAGTGGCTCACGGCTGTAATCCCAGCACTTTGGGAGGCCGAGGCGGGCGGATCACCTGAGGTCAGGAGTTCAAGACCAGCCTGACCAATATGGCGAAATCCCGTCTCTACTAAAAATATAAAAATTAACCAGGTATGGTGGTATGCGCCTGTAGTCCCAGCTACTCGGGAGGCTGAGACAGGAGAATGGCTTGAATCTGGGAGGCAGAGATTGCAGTGAGCCGAGATCACACCACTGTACTCCAGCCTGGGCGACAGAGCAAGACATTGTCTAAAAAAAAAAAAAGAGCCACAAAAAAGCCACGTCACAGGTTGGAAATTATTAAGCCCGCTGGTCAGGTAAGTAAACTGAGGACACTGTGTCTCAGAACTTAGGCTGCAGAGGGCCCTCACCCAGGTTATCCTGGAATTCCTCCAATTCCTCCTATTACCATCAGAGAGACAGACTCGGAGAGGTCACATGCCTTCCTTGTAAGTGCTCGAGTGAGGACTTGAACTAGGTTTTCAGACCCTACATCTCTGACTCTGACATTTCTGACTGCAAATGCAGTCCCTGCCCTCAGGTAGTTCGTGGACTGGAGGGAAAAGACTGCTTCATGGCGGCTTCCAGGAGAATGAGCTGGGTGTAAAGCTTTGCTGCTTCTCCTGCCTTTGACATTCCTGTTACATGGTCCCATCCGTCCATTCAGAAAACACCAACTGATTGCCCGTGGCGTCCAGTCTCTTCTACGTGTGGAAGATCCACAACACCAGGCCCCACACATGCCCCTGAAGCACTTGTGGGCCACTGTTGACAAGCAGTAGTGGGTCACAGAGGCAGTTTAGCACATGATAAAGAGCTCAGGCTCTGGGATCTGGTAGGCCTGGGCTGGATTTCTGGCTCAGCTACTCACCAGGTATGTGATTTCGAGTAAGTTACTTAACCTCTTTGAGCCTTAGTTTTCTCAGTCTGGAAGATGGGGCTAACAGTAGTTTCCTCGTAAGTTCTGAAGTTTCTGCCTAATTTTTATCCTTTCCACAAGCCCTCCACATGTTCCTCCCCTCCAATCTGTTAATCTTCCCAAAGCCCTAAATCCCTGATTCTCTCCAACAGTTTTCCACAGCCAACAGGATATGGCCTAAATTGCTTAGCAGGCGTTTAAGGCTGGCCACAGCTGGACTCATTTATTCCACAATATTGATTGCAGGTCTGCTCTGGACCAGACCTGTGCTAGGCACCAAGAACTCAAAGGTATCTGCACTCCTGCAGCTTACAGACTAAGGGGCAAGAGTTAAACCAATGACTAAAATTTAAAGAATTACAAACTGAGACCAGGAGTGGTGGCTCACGCCTGTAATCCTAGCACTTTGGGAGGCCAAGGCAGGCAAATCACCTGAGGTCAGGAGTTCGAGACCAGCCTGGCTAACATGGTGAAGGCCCGTCTCTACTAAAAACACAAAATTAGCTGGGCGTGGTGGTAGGCGCCTGTAATCCCAACTACTTGGGAGGCTGAGGCAGGAGAATCACTTGAATCCAGGAGGCAGAGGTTGCAGTGAGCCGAGGTCACGCCATTGCACCCCAGCCTGGGCAAAAAGAGTGAAACTCTTATCTCAAAAAATAAAAAATAAAGAACTGCCTACTGAGATAAAGGGTGTAAAAGACAAAGATTGTGTTATGAGACTCTACAATAGGGGGGCCTGGCCTTGTGTAAGACTAGGGGAGGGCTTCCCTGATGAAGTGATGTTTAAGGGTCTAAAGAAGTTAATTAGGCAAAGTGGCAATAATGAGGAAGAGAAGAGGAAGAGAGAGTCAAGCAAATGGAACAATATGTGGAAAGGCTCTGAGGCTGGAGCTCAGACAGTCAGGGGGAAATGGTCAAAGATTAAAGTGGACAGAGAGGCCTGGCCAGGGCCTTTGGGGTCTGGATTTTGGTCTTCATCTTGAGGGCAAGGGTGCCTATTGAAAGCTTTTAAGCAGAAGATCAACTTCAAGGAGGAGCCATTGGTGGAATGTGCATCTTGAAACCATCCCCCTAGATACAGTGTGGAGAAAGGACTGGAGGGAGGCTGAAGTTGAAGAGAGGAAGTCAATTAGAAATGGGCCAGGCCAGGCTGGGCGCGGTGGCTCACACCTGTAATCCCAGCACTTTGGGAGGCCGAGGTGGGTGGATCACCTGAGGTCAGGAGTCCGAGACCAGCCTGACCGACATGGAGAAACCCTGTCTCTACTAAAAATACGAAATTAGCTGGGCGTGGTGGCAGGCACCTGTAATCCCAGCTGCTCAGGAGGCTGAGTCATGAGAATTGCTTGAACTTGGGAGACAGAGGTTGCAGTGAGTCAAGATTGTGCCATTGCACTATTGCCTGGGCAACAAGAGCAAAACTCCGTCAAAAGAAAAAGAAAAAGAAAAAAGAAAGAGAGAGAGAGAAAGAAAGAAAGGAAGGAAGGAAAGAAGGAAGGAAGGAAGGAAGGAGCCAGGCCAAAAATGAAGGGGCTCAGGTTAGGAAGGTGACAATAGGGTGAGGAGAGGTGCACAGATTTCAGAGAAATATAAAAGGCAACATGGCGAGACTTGGTGATGAATCGGACTGGGTAGGGGGAGGGATAAGAAGGAGTCTCTGGTTTCTGCTGGTGCAGTGGGAGGAAACCGGTGCCCGACCCAGAGGACGAATGCTGGTGAGGCTGCAGGTTTGGTGCGGGGACAGGAGGGCTGGCTTGGACAAGCTGGTCTGAGCTGCTTGTGAGCCAGATGTTGAGACATCAGCCACAGAACCCTGGCCCACCTTGACAGTCTCACCGCTGAGTATCAGACAGGACTGTCAGGTCAATCAGTTTTAACGGTCCATCTTGGCCAAGCCCTGGAGTCCTCACGGGGGATGGAAAGGTGACAGGCTCTTTTCCTAGCTTGAAGGACCGCACAGTTTAGTAGACAGAGGAAGAAGCATAATTTCCATTCACTGTGTTGGAGGAAGTGGAGGAGCTGTGGGAGCAGGAAACAGCCCTTAGTTCTACCTGGGAGCCCAGGTCAGCAGCCTGCGGCCATCTGCCGCCACGTGAGACTACCCAGCACTTGCAGAGGGCTCCTGCTTCATGCCTTTGCCCCGGCACCCGTTCCATGTTTTTTGAGCACCCTTGTCTCCACTTCCACCTGTATGTATCCTACCCATCCTCAAAACCTATCCCAATGCTATTATCTTCATGAAGCCTTCCTAGGTCCTCCCCGTTGCTGTCAGCCTTCCTACTGTACCCCCACGCTTGCCACACGTAGCAATTGAGGCATGCTTCCTTGTGCCCAAGTCTGGCTCCCCACTAGATGGAGAGTTCTACCAGGGCAGAGGCGTGATTCTTCTGTGTCCCCAGAGCCGGGAACTGAGCAGGTACAGCCGCAGTCGCCGCATAGGCCAAGTAAAGGGGGCGTTTTCTCTGCGGTCCTTGGAAACACTTGGGCATGCTCAGTGTCGCCCATTAGTCCCTAGAACCAGTCCCCTCACCCACTACTCTCCAACCTTCTGATGCTCCCTCACTTTGGCAGTCTTTAACCTTTCAGGTTTTTCTCTTTCCCCACTCCTCGCCCTGCAGCCTTTATTTCCCAACGGCCGCACCCTCACGCTCCTTTCAGCGGAGAAATAGACCGCGCTTTGTGCGGAAGCTGTCAGCGAGCAAGCGTCCCGTCTCCTTTAAGAGTGATCCGCGAGGGGGTGTGGCTTGCGGAGAGCAGGCCCGAAAGGGGGTGCGGCTCCTTTAAGTATCCGCCGGCCCGAGGCGCGGAGGCCTCCGGCCGGCGGGCAGGGGCGCGGTCGGTCTGGGAGCAGCGGCACCGCCCGCAGCGTCCCGGTTCCTCGAAGTGGGGCGCGTCCGCTTTAATCGGGGAGAGAGATGTGGGGGCACGGGCGTTACATCAGCCGCCACGTGTGGGCCTAAGCTGGCGTGGAGGCGGCGGCCCCGCCCCCGGCCCCTGCGGTGGAAAAGTACCGGGGCGCCGAGGTCCCCGCCCCACGGCCCCGCCCCCGGGCCGGCACCGGCCCCTCCCGGCCCTCCGGGCAAGCCCCACTCTCCCGCCCGGCCCGGCCCCGCCGCCTGCTCGAGATCTGCAGTGGCTGCCGGGTGCGGAGCGCCGGCCGGGGGTGGGCTCTCCAGGGCTGCTAGGCCCCTGCCCTCACCTGCGGCCGCCCGGCCCCGCCCTAGGTGTGCCGGTAATGAGGGTTGGGGTGGGGAGGGCACGGATTCTTCCCAGGGTAGCAACCCCCAGAGAACTCCCGGCTCGCTCGCAGTCCCTTCCCAAAGCCGCGGCCAGAGCGCGGACAAAGAGAGGCTGAGTGCGCCAGGACTCTCCCGCGCGGCTTCCCGGGTCCCGCGGGCGCACGGGCACTGGAACCGGCACCGGGAGGGCAGATAGGGAGGCAGGCCGGCTGGAGGGGCCAGATAGGCAGCCAGGCTGGCGGGCGCTGAGAGGCGATGGAGCGAGCGGGAGCCCGCACGCTGGGTGCAGGCACGGCCGACTGTCGACCCCTGCAGGCCCCCAGAGCGCAGAACCACTGGCTCCTCGGACGGACAGTGCCACGCTCTGGCTCCGGCGCTACCCGCACAGCCTGCGCCCGCCGCCCCCGATCGAACCGGCGTCTGGCGCCCCCCCGCCACCCCACGCAGGAGCTCCCCCCACTTCCCTCTCCCTCCCGCTTCAGCTCCTTGGTGACAGCGGTGACACCCAGACGCGCGCACCTACCCCGATCTTTGCGGCGAGACAGACATCCCGGTGCGTGCACCCACACTCTTACCCACAGATGCCCGCATACATGCGCGATCACACACACACACACACACACACACACACACGCACACGCTGGTCCTGGGGCTCAGCCCCGCGGAGCCGCCGAACACTCAGACCGACGGCAGGACAGACGGAGGCGCGGGCCCCAGCGTCCCTTCCCCCAGCCCCCTTACCATGCTGCAGCCCCCGGCCCAGGCGTGCTGGGTCCGCACCGCGGTGCGCCCAGGTGGCTTTCTTAAAGGGAAAGTTGCATCAGCCTCCCGAGGCTCTGTGCCGCGCCGAGTTCGCCCGCCCCGCCGCGCCGCTCGCAGCTCTTCCACAGCCTGTTGTGTTTTGGTTTCGGGGAGGCGGGGGCTAAGAGTTTGGTGAAAGTTTGAAGAGTGGAGAAGGCTTGGGAGATCTAGCCAAGTCCCTCCCCTACCCGAACGGCTCCCCTGGCCGTCCTCCCCTCTCCATCCCATCCCCTCCTCCCGTGCCGACTTCTCAGGCTCCTCCTCCCAGGGAATAAAATTACAAGTCTCTCCAGCTTTCAGATGATTGATCCCCACGAACCCCTGGGAGTGAGCGCCACAAAGGAGTCCCCTTCTCCGCCCCTGCCTCGCTGCCCTCCAGCTGGGGCCCTTGAGCAAGCAGATGTGGGCCCCTTCGGGCTAGGCTGGAATGAAGCCAGAAGGCCTGGGGCACTATGGGGGGCTGAGGCTGGAGTTAGCCCTCCAGGCCCCTGGCCTTCTGCGCCTGCGTTTCCCCTAGAGAGAAGTCAGAGCAAATTCCATTCCCTTTGGAGCAGAGCCGCTAGAGACTGTGGGCATTGCTGGGTAAGGCCTAGGTCCTACTCCTTGGAACTGGAGGGCTCGGGGTAGCCCTTTCTCAAATTTCCCTCCTGGACCACCGGCTTGGTCAGCTCTACTTTTGAGGTGGTGTTACAGGGGCTGCAGACACCAACCTGGGATCCCTCCTCCTTCCATGGTGAGACAGACCTGGGTTACAATCTCAGCTAAAAAAGAGTCTTTGCCAAAAGGAGCATGGTGAGCCTCGGTTTCCTCCTCTGTGAAACAGAGAGAAGGGGCTAAGGAAATGCATGTGTGTGTATATAAAGCCCATTGCTCCAGGCTGCCTCTGGGGAGTGGTGGCTGGCATTTGGAATGAGCCTCCCACATTTGCATACCTTGTGAGAGCCACCACCTTTCATGGAGAGTGGCCAGTTAGTTCTGTCAGAGGAACTGGTTTTTGCCCCAACCTGAGTAGGGCATCTGCTCAGGGAAGGGGCCCAGCCCACAGAGGCAATTTCTACTTTGGACCCTGAGTCCTCACCATTTTCTGGCCAGGAAACAGTTTAATTTTTTTCCTTGGGACAGTCAGCCTCCAAGAAGCGAGTGCACACATGCCAAACTCACGTGAAACCAATTGTTGAGTGAGATTCCAGTTTATTAATTTATCAGAGGCACTGAACAAGATAACAGGCATCAAGCCCAGGCATTCCCTGAAATGCGAGCTCTCTCAGGCCACACGCGGTCCATTCCACAAACCTTCCTCAGAGCCAAAGTACAAAGACAGCTCTCTGTTGTCTCCTATTCACATTGGACTCCTGATCAGATCTGGGAAGACACCTTAGTCTTATCAGCGAGATTATTTTCACTTTTACTTTGTCCCCAAACCTAGTAGGTATAGCATGTTTGGGATTTTTAGTCTCCTACAAGCCAAGTGCAGGTGTTTCTTGCGTGAGTTGTGTGCACACACACCTGGATCTAGGCAACCTGTTGTGTCTGTGCCCCCAGACACCTGAGCCCCGATTGTGTATTTGTGTAGGTACATCTGTGGAAGACTGATTGTGTGCACTGCAGCAGGTCTGTGTAGTTATGTGTGTGCTCAATTCCTGGGACTGGGCAGATGGGGTCCAAGCCCTCTATATCTCTCCTGCCAGGACGTAACTTCCTCCATAAGTTTTTTTTAGGATCTTCCTCCTTGCCTCCTCGCTGGGGCTCATCAAAAGGGATACCACCCCAGGGAAGGCAGATGGAGGATGTCGAAGAGGCCCCCAAGTAGAGGAAGGCGGACAAGGAAGAGTATGAAGGGGAAAAGGCCTCCCTCCTTCTCCCTTCCAGCAGTAGGCTGGGGTGGGGACAGGCCTAGAAGAGGGCACTGAGCGCTAAGAACACTCAGTGAAGATTCCGAGAGTTTTCATGGCTCAGGGAATCCATATGAAGGGAGGCAGGTGTAGGGTGCTGCAAGCCAGACTTCCAGGATGCCCTCAGGCCTAGGGGCTTGGGGCCTGGGCTGTTAGAAGAGAGGAGGATGGGTGCTCAGGGGCCAGCCCTCTGAGGCTCCGTCAGAAAGAGGAAGGCTTGGGGACTAACCTAGGGACAGGGACGTGGGGTGAAGAGAAAATTTTCCTTGGAGTGTTTAGGGAGATTGGGGATGTTGGCCAGAGGGCTTTATTAGACTAACACTGGCATAGCTCAAAGTCTATTTGTATACATAGAAACAGATTCATGGATATGTGTGTTTTACCCACCTTGAACCAGAAAGAGCTTCAGGAAACCACACAGCTGTGTCCTGAGGAGACACTTGTGAGAAAGATTCTGGTTTGAAAAGTCATCTTCCTGAGACAGGGACTAGAGAGGCTGTTTTTTTCCAATCAGAATGAGGCCCAAAGGAGGCAGGTTTGGGCCCAGCCCGGGTGGGAGCTGGGATAGCCTCCGTCCCTGGCTGTGAGCCCCTGGCTCTGAGCAGCTGGCCTGCAGGGTGGGAAGGGCATGGCCAGCCTGGGCCACTGTGGGGCGGGCAGGGGGATCAGGACTGAGGACAGACTGGGGCAGGGGAGGGGATGGGGGACGGACGGGGTCAGACATTTTGACGGGCCTGCTTCTTCCTGGGGCAGGGCAGCAGTTGGGCTGGGGCCCACCCACCACCCACTGCAGGCTGAAATGTGGCTCAGGAGCCTCCAGTTACTGCAGCCAGTGGAGCTATTTCCTGGGAGGGCTGCATCCAGCGTCAGAGCCCCCAGGGCTGGCTGGTTTCCTCGAGTGGTGTCATCAGCCTGCAGGATCAAGGCCTCTGTTTCGAGATGCACATAGTCAGCTTAGGTGTGTGTCTAGTAGGAATATGAATAATGCCAGACTTGGGCCACTTCTGGTGGTCACTGCAGGAGCTGGCAGCACTGGGCACCTTGATGGAGTGGTGCTGGGGGCCTGCTGAGAAGGTGGGGGAGGGTGGACATTGCCTGTAGTTGAAGCCAGGCCTGGCCAGGGGTCTCCACCTCCTTAGAACCCCAGCCTCAGTAGCCAGGAAGCATTACTGGGAGGTGCCTGCCTGGGCTCTGCTCTCAGATTCTTCCTTTCTTGAACCTGGAGCCCAGTGGTCAGTGCCTGGCACCTCCACTGCCCTGTCCCAATGCAGAGGAGCAGGTTAGATTGGTTTCAGACCTGAGAGCTGTCTCTGGGGCTCCAGGTACCCCTTAGGCCATCCTGTTGTGGTTTCTCTACCCCTGAAACCCCGCCACCCCAGCCCTGCCACCCCAGCCTTGGGGCAGCATAAGCCAATCATGGGGTTCAGAACAGGGGTTCCGGGCTGGACCTCAGTGGCTCCAGGTAAAATCAGGCATATAGACAGGAAGTATTGACTTTGGCGTTGTCCAAGGGGCAGCCCCAATCTCCAGAGCTTTCAACACCCAGACTCCTCAATCGCTTTGAGCTCCCAAAGTCCTGAATTCCCAATGTCAAGGGTGCCAGAGCACCCAACACTGTAGAGGACCCAAAACCCAGAGCCCCCAGTGCCAAATTCCAGGGGGCCTGGGGTACCCAACATCCAGAGCACCCAATGTTCATAACATTCCATTTTCAGAGTGCCAGTGTTCCAATTCACTGCACCTGGAGGGAGGGAGTGGGGTCCCTGCATAACCAGGGTCCCTACATAACCGAGGTCCCTTCAGTGACCTATTATCTGAGGAGTGGCCATGACTGAAGTTGGGGCTGGGGTGGTGCTGGCAGTTGTAGTTCTTCCTCGATGCTCCCATCCTGGGTCTGGAGAGGTCGAGCAGGCTTGCAGGTGGGATGGCGTTCCCTCTGGCCTCAGCCCAGCCTGGTCACAGGCCCTGTGGCACTGAATGTCCATTTATTCACTCACCAAATATTAGTGCGCATCTGCCATGTGCTGGGAATTGAGCTCCTCTCTGGGAGTACAACCGTGAGAGAGAAGGGGTTCCTGTTCTCCCAGATGGGACAGGTGACATTGTGCCTGTGCTGGTATGTCCGTGTGGTTCAGCCATCTGTGGCCCACGTGTAGCTGTGGGCATGGCTATGAGAATGAATGGCTGTGAGTGTGATGGTGTTGGCGTGAGGCTGTGCCTGCAGCCCACATCAGCAAGTTAATGTGTGTGACTATTATGGTGGGTCTGGCTGTGTCCGTCTGTCTGGCCATCCTAATAATCTCTCTTTGCCTCACTGCTATTTCAAGGATTGGAAGTAAGGCCCCCCTTCCCCTCAGACCCGAGGTACTGAGGGTCAGGCCTCACTGTAGGGAGGAACAGGCTGGTTCCTGAGCTAGAGACTGACCCCAGAGCTGCCCTGCTGCAGGGCTAAAGATTTCTCCTACTGCTCCTGCCCCTGCTGGACCCAGAGCCTCTTTGGATTGGGAAGACAGGAAGAGGGGTGGCTATAAGCCGAGCAGTCGACACCAAAAATAGCCATCTGCCCTGGGGAGGATCCTCTGGCACCACTCTCTCCTCCAGTCCAGCCCAACCCGGCCCACTGACTTGGAGCCTCAGTAGGGCTCCTGTCTGACTCCACTTCCCCAACTCTTATCTGAGTAACCCTCTCAGACTCAAAGGAGGGACACAGCAATGATGTCACTACAAATTATGGCATCATAAAGAGCTCTGGCAGCATCACAAGGAGTGACCCCAGACCGCGGGCGGGGCTCCATCTGCTGGTAGCTCCCCAGCAGGGATGGCAGGGCTGGATAAGCCCTGCGTGGGGCCCTGCCTTATCTGTCCCCCACACATATGTGATAAGCCTCTTACCATGGGCTGGCCCAGGGAGCAGGTGGGGAGCAGGCCGGAAGAGGGGAAAGGCCAGCTGGGGCTGGCTGAACTCCAGGGAAGAAAGCCAGGGTCAGGGAGTCCTGGCAGAACCCCAGCAAGGGGAGATGCAGGGTCACTGTTGGGGGCAGTGTGGAGCTGTGGTTAGGGCCATGGATTCTGAAGCCAGGCTGCCTGCATTTGTATTCCAGGTCTCCACTTAATGGCTATGTAAGCAGACCTCAGCTTCCTCAATATTCCTCACCAGGAATACTATTAATATTAGCAGTGACTATCAACCACGGTATTGTTGTGGGGATTAAAGGATTTAATGTGTGTGAAATCGGCACAGAAGAGGGCCTGGCTCACAGAAAGCCCTCATCCATCCTCCTTCCTAGATCTGATCTTCCCTGGGAGCTGCCCACCATACCCAACAGCCCACTTGTGTGGCCGGGGCCTAGGTGGGGTTCCCAAAAGCTGCCCAGCCCCACACACATCCCACACCTACCCTGTCTGTAATCACCCTGAAACTCCCCAGGAATCCTGGCCTTTTCAGCATATTTTCTTCCAGCAATCTCCCCAGACACATTGTGGCCCTGGTGCCCTCTGGTGACAAAAGCCATACATGGCAGTTACAGCTGCATCCCCAGCACACATTGGGCCAGACAAGGTGCTGCCCCTTGTCTGATTATTTTGTGTCATCACATCAAGTTTTCAAAGTAGGAATTTTCTGTGTTTTCTAGAATGAGAGCTCAGGCAGGTTAACTAATTTGCTGCAGGTTATAGAACTAATAAGTGGTAGAACGTGAACTTGGATTCAGGTTGGCCTGTGTCCAAAACGTGAACTTGAATTCAGGTTGGCCTGTGTCCAAAAGCTATTATTTCACCCCATGCACAATATACTAGGGGGGATGTGCTGGCATGGCCACGGGGCCCAGTAGATGTTTTACATTATGAGCCATTCTCCTAGTTTGAGTATATCTATAGTTGAGTGTATGGCCATTGAGATTCTCCATCTGTGAATATAGAGCAGTGTGACCTGGTTTTGAGCACAATAAGGTTGGGTGTTGGCTTTTTTGTGGCTCTGTTGTGGCTGTATGATTGGATTGTGTGAGTGCAACCATGGCTGGGCTTGTTGTGAGAGATTAGCCATGGTGTGTGGGGCTGGCCTGACTCTGTGTGTGTGTGTGTGTGTGTGTGTGTGTGTGTCGGTATGACTGTATTGTGGAGGGGTGTATAGCCAGTGGGATTGTGTGGGGAAAGGTGACGAAGGGCCCTGAGTTCCCAGCGCCACTTGCCTTTTTGGTCCCAGGCCTGCATCTGCTCACCATGACTGCATGATGGATGGCTTCACATGCCAAACACGCTCCCAGGGGCCTACTCGGGTTCTCCTTCCCCCAACCCCCCTTTTATTTTTCGAGGAAGTAAAGCAAATAGTACCACAGATGGAGTTGGTCTTCCTTTTTTCCATGGGATATTTGTGAAAGCATTTTACATGCCTTTGAGTGATATCGAAAAAGAAGTGTCATTTTTAAAAAGTCAATGTGACTATTCTAATTAATTTGAACATCAGTTCTCAGGGTGTTGATTGCAGATCCCTGGGAATCTTTAAGACTCTTACAGGGAATACACAAGGCAAAAGCTATTTTCCTAACAATACTAAATTGTTATTTGCCACTTTCAATTTATCGATATTTGCACATGATGTAAGAGCAACGGTGGGTGAAACTGTTGGCACCTAAGCATGAATCAAGGCATGGCACCCAACTGTACCAGTAATCTTTGTATTCTTCTCCACCATGGTGCATGACTAGTAACAATAGGAGGGAAAAAAGGGCCAGTTTTGCCTTATTTATTTATTTATTTATTTTTATTTTTGGGATGGAGTCTCACTTCATCACCCAGGCTTGAGTGCAGTGACACGATCTAAGCTCACTGCAACCTCCACTTCCCGGGTTCATGTGATTCTCCTGCCTCAGCCTCCCAAGTAGCTGAGATTACAGGGGCACACCACCACGCCTGGCTAATTTTTGTATTTTTAGTAGAGACAGGATTTCACTCTGTTGGCCAGGCTGGTCTTGAACTCCTGACTTCAAGTGATCCACCCACCTGGAACTCCCAAAGTGCTGGGATTACAGGAGTGAGCTACCATGCCCAGCCTCAATTTTGCTTTAAAAGTCCTTGGTGAAGCAGTACAATTATTATTATTATTATTTTTTTAAAGGCATCTGTTTTTTGTTTGTTTGTTTTATACTTTAAGTTCTAGGGTACATGTGCACAACATGCAGGTTTGTTACATAGGTATACATGTACCATGTTTGTTTGCTGCACCCATTAACTCGTCATTTACATTGAGTATTTCTTCTAATGCAATCCCTCCTCCAGTTTCCCACCCCACGACAGGCCCCAGTGTGTGATGTTCCCCTCCCTGTGTCCAAGTGTTCTCATTGTTCAGTTCCCACCTATGAGTGAGAACATGCAGTGTTTGGTTTTCTGTCCTTGTGAAGCAGTAAAATTATTGTTTTGTGGTTTCATGTATCAGTAGTTATTTTATTTTTATTATGGATTGGTATTTCATCATACAGATAGATAATTTGCTTAAATATTTACATGTTGATGGACATTTAGGCTGTTTTCCGTTTCTTGGTATTATGAATAAAATTGGTATGCACATTCATGTGCAGATCTCTGTGTGGACGCATATTGTCATCTCTCTTGAATTAATACTTTGGAGTGGGATTGTTGGAGCATATGACAGGTACTTTTATAAGAAATTTCCAGTTTCCCAAAGTGGCTGTACTATTTTGCATTCTGATCAGCAATTTTGAGACTTCTAGTTGCTCTACATTCTCACCAACATTTGGCATTATCAACCTTTTAAACTTTAGCAATGGTAATAAGTGTACTGTGGTATCTTATTGTGGTTTTAATATGCAATTTCCTGATGATTAATGATTTGAGCATCTTTTCATGGACTTTTTGCCATTCATGTATCTTCCCTAGTGAAGTATTCATTCAAATCTTTTGACTGTTTTTTTTTTTAATTAAAATTCTTTTTGAGACAGGGTCTCACTCTGTCCTTTAGGATGGAGTGCAGTGGCATGAGGCTCACTGCAGCCTTGACCTCCTGGGTTCAAGCCATCCTCCCACCTTAGCCTCCTGAGTAGTTGGGACTACAGGCCTACACCACCATGCCTGGCTAATTTGTTTATTTTTTATAGAGACAAGGTCTCACTATGTTATCCAGGCAGGTCTTGAACTCCTGGGCTCAAGCGATCCTCCCACCTCCCAAAGTGCTGGGATTGTAGGCATGAATCACCACGACTGGCCTTTTTGACCATTTTAAAAATGAGTTTGCATTATTGTCACTGAGTTGTAAGAGCACAAATATTTTCACAGTCTGTTTCTTATCTTTTCATTTTCTTAACAGTGCCTTTCAAAGAATAGAAGTTTTTCATTTTGATGAAAATCAATTATTTTTTCTTTTATAGTTTGTACATTTTGAGTCCTATCTAAGAAAATATTTACCCAACTCAGGGCCCTCAAAGATTCACTCTATGTTTTTGTCTAGAAGTTTTATAACTGTAGCTATTACTTTAGTTCTATGATCCATTTTGCTTTATTAAATTGTGCAAAGGAAGGAGTTGAGCTTTGTTTGTCTTTGTGTCTGTTTTGATTATGGATTTCCAATTGTTCCAGCACTATTTGTTGAAAATACTGTCCTTTTTCTATTGAATTAACTTGCGATCTTTGTCAACAGTCAATGGATCATGAAGATGGAGGTGGTGGCTCATGCCTGTTAATCCCCACACTATGAGAGGCTGAGGCAGGAGGATCACTTGGGGCCAGTAGTTTGAGACCAGCCTGGGCAACATGGCAAGACTCCATCTCTACAAAAAAATGCAAAAAGAAATCAGTGGACCATGTATGTACACATCTATTTTGGATTCATGCCTGTAAGATACTGAGCGTCGACCAGGCGCAGTGGCTCACAACTGTAATCCCAGCACTTTGGGAGGCTGAGATGGGTGGATCACCTGAGCTCGGGAGTTCGAGACCAGCCTGAACAACATGGAGAAACCCCATCTCTACTAAAAATACAAAATTAGCTGGGCATGGTGGCGCATGCCTGTAATCCCAGCTACTCGGGAGGCTGAGGCAGGAGAATCGCTTGAACCTGGGAGGCAGGAATTGCAGTGAGCTGAGATTGAGCCATTGCACTCCAACCTGGACAACAAGAGTGAAACTCCGTCTCAAAAAAAATAAAATAAATAAAAGATACTGAGCATCTTTTGATCTATATGTCTTTATGCCAATACTACACTGTACTGATTATTTTATATTGTCTAAAAGAAGCAGTAACATTATTAACTTTATTGTCTTAACCCTTGAATATATGTCTTTGAAATATTTTGTGTGACAAAATGGGAAGTATGCTTATCTCAAGGAAAAGCACTTACGCAATTGAATTGTGAACTGAATGCACCAAACACCAGTTTTACTTAAAAGAACAAATGACAAACTATAGTTATCAGACTTGGGTCTTTGGCATACTTTTTCTCAAAGGTGAATCAAGTGAGCCTATCAATTCAAGGGAAAAAAAATTAGTGTTTGTTGCCAGTGAAAAAATTAGCGTCTTCAAGTGAAAATTAGGATTTGAAAAACTTATATCTACTTACAGTGAGTTTGAAAGCTTTCAATTCTAATGAGACCAGTGATAGCATTAATGAGTGTGCTCTTTAAAAAATATTGTATAATGAAATGTGTCAACATTTGGGAGATCTGCATAACTCAGTGAACCAATATTTTCCAAATGACCAATACATGATGTTACAAAATCATGCATGAGTAAAAGAGCTATTCAAAGTGCAAGACAGACCAGTGGAGTGTAACGTTAACAGAGTATGAAACGTTCACGTAGTAACTAACTTTTAAGAAACTACCACCTCGAGTTTTGGTATGGAAGAAAGAAGAATTTACTGAAAAGGCTATTAAAATACTTCTCTCTTTCCCAACTACATACTTTATGAAGCTCAGTTTTCATCACATATTTTAACCAAAGCAACCCATTGCAACAGATTGAATGCAGAAGCAGCTGAGAATCTAGCTGTCTTCTACAAGCCAGACAGTAAAGAGATTTGCAAAAGTGTAAAACGATGCCACTGTTCTCACTAACATTTTTGTTTTAGAAAATATACAGCTCTCTGGCTGGGCGTAGTGTCTCACGCCTGTAATCCCAGCACTTTGGGAGGTAGAGACGGGTGGATCACCTGAGATCAGGAGTTCTAGACCAGCCTGGCCAACATGGTGAAACCCCGTCTCTACTAAAAATGCAAAAATTAGCCAGGCATGGTGGCGGGCACCTGTCATCCCAGCTACTCAGGAGGCTGAGACAGGAGAATCACTTGAACCCAGGAGGTGGAAGTTGCAGTGAGCCGAGATCATGCCATTGCACTCCAGCCTGGGTGACAAGAGCAAAACTGGGTCTCAAAAAAAAGAAAATATACAGCTGTCTTTCATAGATATAAGTATATTTTCAGTGAAAATATAACAAAAGTATTGTTATTTTGAATTAATATATGTTTTAACTTTCAGTTTTAATTTTGAATACATTGAAGATCATGAGATAAAACCACTTAAAAACTCTTTAGGTTCTTAATTTTTTAATTAAGAACCCAATTTTTTAAATTAAGAACCTCAATTTTTTTGAGACTCTGTCTCAAAAAAAAAAAAAAAACCTGAAATTTTTTGCCCTAAACCTTTGTTCATATGAATGTACTATTAAAGAATAAGTTTATTTTACCGCTACATTCTAGTGCATATGAGCTACTGATTTTTAGCATGTTCCCAACGTGGTTGGCAGCATCTCTCTCCCTCGTGGAAGGTGCGTGTTGTCACCTTCTGCCCACACGGCCCCTGGTTTTCTCCCTCGATGGGGGAGAAAAATGGATCCCTTCGTAGTTACTGCCTCCAGGACGTGTGACACCAGCTGGCCCGCCATGGGTTTGAAGCAATTTCTGGTGATCTTGCTTAATTCTCTCTCTTCCATTTCCAAGCACACTATTTATTTATTTATTTATTTAGAGATGGTCTCGCTCTGTCACCCAGGCTGGAGTGCAGTGGTGTGATCACAGCTCACTGCTGCCTCGACCACCCAGACTCAAGTGATCCTCCCACCTCAGCCTCCTGAGTAGCACGTGCCACCATGACTGGCAGGTGCTAAAAACGAACTGTTTTTTGTTTTATTTTGGAGAGACAGGGGTCTCACTGTGTTGCCCAGGCTGGTCTCGAACTCCTAGACTCAAGTGATCCACCCACCTTGGCCTCCCAAAGTACTGGGATTATAGGTGTGAGCCACTGTGCCTGGTCCTCTAAGAACATTTGTAAAAATGCTATTATTTTTGCACACTTTCTGTGTTAAGAACTTTACATTCATTTTCTCATTTAATCCTCACAATGACCCTGTGAGCTAGATACTGTTATTATTCCCATTTTATAGATAAGAAAACCCAACCTCAGAGAGATTAGGGGAAACCTGTGGGAATGTAACCGATTTTAAATCCTCTTTAATGTATAGATAAAAATTAAAGGTGAGCTTAAATCCCTTTAAATTTATACATTTAAAAAATTGTTCATCTAAAGTTTAGTACTTTAACAATTGTTCTTAGTAACAAATTACCACTAAAGGGTTAGTAACAAATTACCACACCAGCACAGATCCCCCACCCTTAAAACTGAGCCCCAGCTGAGCCCTCACATTGGGCCCTTACCCTTGAGTCCCCTGAGGCCCCGTGCTGTGTTCAGGGCATGTGTGCCCCAAACGTGAACCCTTACACTGGTGTCTTGCCTGATTTTTTTCCAGAACCTTAATACTGAGTCTTCATACCCATTTTCCTCACTGGAACCTCCCTGAGCCCTTACTTGAGGCAACATGTGTGAGCTCTTCACCTGTCTACATGTCTGACCTGCTGGTCAGCCCTGACACCAGAACCCCACGCTTGAGTCACTTAACTAGCAGCAGAGTCAGACTCTGAGACCATCCCTTTAGAGGGAGCAGCAGAGGAAATGGGAGCTGGAGGGGAAGGGAGTGGTGGAGATGGGGGTGTGAACTGGGAGAAGCAGGCATGGGGGAAAACTCTGGGCTGTCAGCCCCTAGCTATGGTCGGGAATGTTCCCAGGCAGCACTGACCTTTCACCCCCACCCGCCTCGGTGCGATGATTGGCTGTCTCTGCCATCCCCGCTTCCGGGACCAGAAGCCACCTCTGGAGCAACTGGGGCATCCCCATGGCAACCATGCCAGGCCAGGTTGGGAGAGGTGTGGGGCTCCTTCACAGCCTTTTATTGCCCCAAAACAGGTTGACACTCTCGTCCTGGTAACCCTCAGGGCCCTGCAGATCACAGTGTCCAGAGAGGAGGGGCTGTTGCTCCTAGCAGGTCTCTTGATTCAGGAAAAAGCGTTTCTCTGGTCTCAGCCAGATCCTTCCTGGGCTGATCTGTTGGGAAACCCAAGCTCTCTGTCCTTGGGCCCCTAGCCCCTACCAACACCCTCCTAGCGCATTCTAGCAGGAGAGCGAGAGGGAGTGGAGACAGTCTGAACTCTTCCCTCTGCCCACCTGGGTGTGGGCTTGGTGAGATACTGAGGCTGGGGTGTCCACCTGAGTCCGTGGAGGGAGGAGCGACTACGGTGCGGTGGGGGCGAGGCCACTCAGGGCTTTGTGACCTAGACAGAGGATTTATGTGGGTGATTAGCTGTCACGTTGGGTCTAAGCTCCTTACCCTCAGAACCTAGCTTTCCTGCCTGCCCCCAGGGCTAATCCAGAGGTGGGGGAGGGGCTAAAGACACTGGGCTCTGCCAGGGGCCTTGGTAGGTGCCAGTGACCCATTCTGTGTAACCAGCTGTGGCCTGTTCTCTGTGTATTTCTGCTTTTGTGGGTTTCTCTGGCTCTTCCTGCCTTTGAATATGTGCACCTGGGTTTCCTTCTATCCCTCTCTCCATGTATGCCTTCTGTGCTGTGAACAGCTCTGTGACCCTGACTCTGGGAAGCTGTGGTTGTTGGCAGAAGGCAGGGACACCACTGGGTAATGGGTCACACAAGTCTCAATGACCGGACTGTGGTTGACAGAAAGTCTTGGGGACACAGATTTGTAGCTGGCGTGGGGTTTTCGATAACACAGGGTCCAGGTGGCAATGTATTGGGGGTGACTCAGGGTTTGAGGGACATGGGGTTATTTGTAGTTGACACACAGATTAGGTGAGCCTGAACTGTGGCAAATGCAGAGTCATCTGGGTGACTCAGTGACAGCAATTCGAAAAGAACCGGAAGGCAGCAGAACAGTAGCAGTGGCTGTCCACCCACCCTGGAATGTGTGGCTGTGTCTGGAGGCATTTTTACTTGTAACACCTGAAGACAGGGGTGCCAACAGCATCTAGGGGGGCAGAGGTCAGGGATGCTGTTCACTATCCCGCAATGCACTGGAAACTCCCCAAGAAGAAAGAACCATCTGGCCTAATGAACTGTGGACTCTGAAGCCAACTACCTAGGGTGAAATCTCAGCTCTTGCACTCTGCAGCCATGGGCAAATTTCCTCATCTCTAACATGGGGTACCTGGGTAATACCCATCTAAGGTTGTTGGGAATACTGAGCCGATACTTGTAAAGTGTTCAAAATGCCAGTGCTGTTTATTGGTTCAGAGCTGGAGAAAACAAGAGTAGACCCAGATGGAGGGACACATCCAGGTTTTCCTTTCTCATTTCGGCTTCTACTTCAGACAGGCTTTTTCCATTGCCAAAGGCCACTTCAGTCTGATGTCATGTCAGTTTAATGGTATCAGAGGAAAAGAGAGCAGTGTTTCCCTGTTTCGGTGGAGCACTGCACTTATAAATCCTGAAGAATGGCTCTGCCTTGGCTGAGCTTGGCCATGATCACCCGTAGTTTCTCGAGGTGCCATGATTGAGATTGGAGCCACCTGCCTGGAGGAAGGACAGGCTGTTTTCCACAGGGGCGGGATGTTCTTACCAGAAGGACAGAAGGCAGTTGAGTGACCAGGATGACAGATGCTGCCATGCAAGGGTTGTGGGTGCACCTGGGTTGGCACCGTGTCTGATCCGGGAGGATTACAGGTGACCTCGTGCTGCGGGACTGCCCTGGGAGCTAATCTACCAATCTCTCAGAAACGTTCAACTTTCTTGACACTTCCTCCTCCGCCTGAAACCCTCTTCCCTGGCACTTTGGACAGCACACTCTGCTGATTCTCCTCTTCCTCCTCTGGCAGCACCTTCTGTCTCCTTTGCTGACTTCTCTTCTGCCAAGCCTGGAAATGTTGGAGTGTTCAAAACTCAATTCCAGACTCTCTTCTCCTTTTTCTTTGAACCTTCTTAGGTGGCTCATCATGACATCATGTTTGGGGCTTGACATCACCATGATGGGACTATTTACACCCTGGAATTTGGAAACGTTGCAAATCAATGTCTTGTTTTTCTTGAAGAGGCAATAGTTAAACAGTTGCCAGCACCCACTGCCCAACACCATTGTCACAAAAACTTTGTTTTATCCAGGCCTGGTCTTACCCACAACACTATTTCACTCAAATGCTTTCTCAACATACTTTCACACACAACCCAGTGTTATCCCCAAACTATTTGACCCCAGTTTAGCCCTGAGCCCATTTTCATCCAGAATGTGTCCCTCCCACAGTCATTTGCATCCAATGTTCTCTAGACACCACCATCAGCAACACAGAATCACACATATCACACATAACTAAGCTGCACATAACTCAATGTTGTCACTAGGTAGTGTGTCAGATCTGTGCCCTCCAGACCCTCCTAACACAATCATTGTCACCCAGTCTTGGTGTATGTAGACGTTTTCTTAATATTTCTTAATATTCTATTTAGGATGAGCTTATCATGGAACATAAGAAAAATAAAACAGATGTCAGCCTGTGTATGAAGAATTCATCCACAAGATTTGGTAAAGGATAATAATAATAATAATAATAATAATAATAATAATAGCTATCATACATTCATTGGGTACTTACTAGTACCAGGCCAGTTCTAAGCACTTTTTTTTTTTTTTTGAGACAGAGTCTCATTATTCTGTCCCCCAGGCTGGAGTGTTGTGGGGGCAATCACGGCTCACTGCAGCCTTGACCTCCTGGACTCAAGTGATTCTCCTGCCTCAGCCTTGCAAGTAGCTGGGACTACAGGTGCATGCCACTACGCCTGGCTAATTTTTTAAAATTTTATTTGTAGAGACGGGGTCTGCTGGAGTTGCCTAGGCTAGTCGTGAACTCCTGGGCTCAAGCAGTCCTCTTCCTTGGCCTCCCAAAGTACTGCAATTACAGGCATGGTCTGCCACGCCCAACCTAAGCACTACACACACACTCACACACACACACACACACACACACACACTCATCTAATCTTCACAACAATCCTATGAAGTAGATACTATATGTTCTTCATTTTAACAGCTCAGGAAATGGATGTGCAGAGGTTAAGTAACTGGTTCAAGTCCATGTGGCTAGTAAATAGCAAATCTAGAATCTGATCTGAGGCAGTCTGGCTTAAAAATATGCATTCTTAGCTGGGTACAGTGGCTCACGCCTGTAATCCCAGCACATTGGGAGGCCGAGAGGCAGCTGCATCACTTGAGGTCAGGAGTTCAAGACCAGCCTGGGCAATATGGTGAAACCTGGTCTCTACTAAAAATACAAAAATTAGCTAGGTGTGATGGTGTGCACCTGTAATCCCAGCTACTCAGGAGGCTGAGGCAGGAGAATCGCTTGAACCAGGGAGGCGGAGGCTGCAGTGAGCCGAGCGAGATCGTGCCACTGCACTCCAGCCTAGACAACAGAGCAAGACTCAGTCTCAAAAAAAAAAAAAAAAAAAAAAGCATTCTCTGTACTAGGCTACAGACATGTCCTTGAAAGTATTTATGCTTACTTTGTTGTTGTTGCCTCCTGTGATTAGAAAATATTATGTTTAGATATGCTTGTTTTTATTTTAAAATGTACAAGAAGAAGTAATGTTGTATTAGTCAGTAAGCTTTGGTCATAGAAATGTTTTCTTTGCAAAGGGTTGCCCATTTTTGTTTTCCTAAGATGGAGCAATTGTACTCATAGCATTGAGCCACCCATTCCTCTGAGTGGGCTAATGAGAGGTTGGTCATGAATTTTGATCTGATGACTTTGAGGAGAGAGAACCGTAAGCACTGGTCCTGGGGTAAAGGGTGGTGTGGTAGGGAGGGAGGAGGAGGACAGATGGTGGGAACCAGAAGAACCAGGTCCAGACAGGCTCCAGCCTGGTCATGAGATGGGGCTGCCATGGTTGATAAATGCTTGAGGTTTGGTTGATGATCTGAGGCCCAGTTCAACTCTTGGCTTCCCCTGGAGCATTGCTGGGGACCCGGCACAGTGACATCAACATCACTAGTAGCCCATCTGCCATCAGTCACATCCATCTTGAGGGAAAGAATGCTTAGATCGTGAGAGCATCCTGCCCTGGGACCAAGGATTTGAGAATGAGGGCACGAGTCGGGGTGCTACTTCCTTCCTTGTTCATATCACCTATTTCCTTCTTAGGTGCCTGGTACAAGGAATAATTAGATAGAAACACATGGGTAGCTTAGATAGGGAAGAGGAAGAATCCCTTAGGAGTCTACAGACGCCATACTGCAACACATTGGCATTAGAAGTAGGATTGTAGTGTCCTCTAGTGGACACTTTGTGAATTTACATAGTATTATTTACTGGATGTGGCCAATAAAGGTGGGCTGAATCCAGAAAAGGGAAGATTGGCATCCAGAGTGTTTGGAGAGTGGGCCCATAAGAGAACATTGTGTGTGTATGTGTGTGTGTGTGTGTGTGTGTGTGTGTGTGTGTGTGCACGTGCACGCACGTATGTGTTGGGGGCTGTGTAGCTTCTCCTAACTTCACCATGCAGAAGTCAAGGAAACGGTTACAGAGGCAAAATGTGGGAGTAGCTAATGGCAATGGCCCAGAGAGATGAAAAAATGTGAGAAAACCAAAGCTTGGAGGTAGGAACTTTCCGATTCTTTTGGAGTAGACTAAGGTGACTTAAGTAGGAAAAGAACGCATAGCCAGTAACTCTCCCAACAGAACTGGATTCGTGCCTGGGGTGATTCAGGATGTCCAGTTAAGCTGGGAAATACTGATTCCACTGATCCCCTTCATTCACTCAGAGCAGACCGAAGACTGTGAGACTTCCTCCCCACAGTGAGCTAAAAGGACGCTTTTGTCAGAGTGGGGAAATAAAAGGGCTTTATGGGAAGGAAGATAAGAACAGATGAGTCAGAGGTTTCTGCTTAATGGTGAGTATTTTTGTCTTAAAATGTGTGTTTTTCTTCTTTGGAGAAGGTACTGCACTCTTTTTGTGTTTTGAGCTGGAGACTTTCTTTGATATGACTGGGTTTTAAGCTAGTTGGTTACAAATGAATATTTGGGGCTTTAGAAAATATTCTTTATGTTTGGATGGGATCTCCTAAGTACATAAATAAATTGTTTTATTATTAACCTAAGTTTCTCTTGGTGAAATTTTCTGTGTGTTTGACTGGCCACAGTGTAATTTGCTTAATTTTTGAACACAGTAAGATTTATCTACAAATTAGAGGTGTTGCAAAGTTGATTTAGTTTGATAATGATTAGTTTTCTTTGTTTTTATGTGTGTACACAGTGCATTGGGTTTAATAAGCTTTTTATTGGAGTAAATCATTCGTGCAGAAAAATGCATTAATCATAAGCATATAGCTTAATGCGTCACCACAACTTGAACACATTTGTGTAAACATAACTGTCTTAGTCTGCTGGGGCTGCTATAGCAAAATGCCACAGACTGGGTGGCTTAAACAACAGACATTTATTTCTCACAATTCTGGAGCCTGGGAAGTCCAAGATCAAGGTGCTGGCGGGGTTGGGTTCTGGTGAGGGCTCTCTTCCTGGCTTGTAGATGACTGCCTTCTCACTGTGTCTTCACAGTGTAGAGAGAGCATGAGCAAGCTCTCTGGTCTCTTCTTATAAGGGCACTAATCCCATCATGAGGACCCTACCCTCATCACCGCATCTAAACCTAATTTCTTCCCAACGACCCCGTCTCCTAATCCCACCACATTTGGGATTAGGGACTCAGTGCATGAATTTGGGGGGCACACAACATTTAGTTCATAATAATAACCATCCAGTAAAGATGCCTCTCTTGTGCTACCTCCCAATCCCAGCCCTCTGCCCTCCCCAAGGTGACCACTAGCTTAACTTCTAACCACATAGAGTTTTGCCTGTTTTTGAATTTCATATAGTTAGAATTATACAGTATATATTCTTTTCTTTTTGAGAGAAGGTCTCACTCTGTCACCCAGGCTGGAGTGCAGTAGCACGATCTCAGTTCACTGCAACCTCTGCTTCCCAGGGTCAAGCAATCCTCTGAGCTCAGCCTCCTGAATAGCTGGGACTACAGGCATGTGCCACCATGCCTGGCTAATTTTTGTATTGTTTGTAGGGATGGGGTTTCACCAGGTGGTCCAGGCTGGTCTTTAACTCCTGGACTCAGAAAATCCACCCACCTTGGCCTCCCAAAGGGTTGGAATTACCAGCGTGAGCCGCCGTACCCGGCCTATGTATTGTTTTCAATCTATAAGGTTTATCTGTGCTGTTATGTATAGTAGCATGTTCATTTCCATTGTGGTATACTATTCCATTGCATGAATATATAATAATTTATCCATTTTAGCTTTTCAGTTTCAAATAATGTGTATCTTTTGGAGTAGACTAAGGTGACTTAAGTAGGAAAAGAATGCATAGCCAGTAACTCTCCCAACAGAATTGGATTCATGCCTGGGGTGATTCAGGATGTCCGGTTAAGTTGAGAAATACTGTACATCTTGGAGTACAGTTACTGTCTCCTGGCATATGCATATCTTCACCTTTAGTAGATAGCATCGCATGGTTTTATAAAGTGGTTTTACCAATTTATGCTGCCACCAGCAATGTGTGAGTTCAGCAATGATAAAAGTTATTTACACCACAGAAATTGGCAACTTTTACAAATCAGAGTTTCTTTCTTAACCAGTTGTAAAATAATTACCAGCACACCACTGCCAATGAGGTAGGAGGCAGGACTTGGACTCCGGACCAGATTGAGACTAGCTGAAAGGGGAAGAGGCAAAAGCACCTCTCCAAAAGACATGCTGACCAGTGCCATGTCAGTTTACTATTGCCATGGCAACAACTGGATACCACCCCTTTCTATGGCAGTGACCCAACAACTGGGAAGTTACCACCCTTGTTCTAGAAATTTTTGCATAATCCACCCCTAATTTGCATGTACTTAAAAGTGGGCATAAACATGACTGCCGAGCTGCCCTGAGCTGCTACTCTCTACACACTGCCTATGGGGTAGCCCTGCTGTGCAGGAGCAGTCACAGATCCCTAACACTACACTGCCTCCTCAATAAAGCTGTTTTCTTGGCCGGCCACAGTGGCTCACACCTATAATCCCACCACTTTGGGAAGCCAAGGTGGGCAGATCACTTGAGGTCAGGAGTTTGAGACCAGCCTGGCTAATATGGTGAAACTCTGTCTCTACTAAAAATACAAAAATTAGCCAGGCGTGGTGGTGTGCACCTGTAATCCCAGCTACTCAGCAGGCTGAGGCATGAGGATTGCTTGAACCTGGGAGGCGGAGGTTGCAGTGAGCTGAGATCGCACCATTACACCCCAGCCTGGGCGACAGAGCGAGACTCCGTCTTAAAAAAAAAAATCCTGTTTTCTTCTACCACCAGCTCACTCTTCAATTCTTTCCCGAGCAAAACCAAGAATCTTCTTGGGCTAAGCCCCAATTTGGGGTTCACCTGCCTTGCAGCAACATGGCACCAAACATGCGGCAGAAGAGAGAAAACGACAGCATGAGAGACGGAGAAAGAAATGGCCAGTTGGCAAGGTGGTAATGAGAGACAGCAGTTGGCAAGACAGTGAGAGACAGCAAGAGATGGCAAGTGACAGTTATTGTTAAGATGACAAATGGAGAGATGGCAAGAAATAGAGAAGCAGTCAGTGATGGAGGCTGCAAGAGTTGTAACACTAACCAAAGGCTCTTTTTAGAATCATCGTTTTCCCTGGCAGGTGGTACAGCCAAGCAGACAGGCAAGTAAGTGGCCATACTGCTACTGCCTCATGTAGGATCCGGCAGGCTGGTGGGTTATCAGTCCTCACGTGGGACCCTCCCACCATGGCAGCTGAGCACATCCAAGCTGGGGGATCCTGAAGAGACCTTCACCTGGGTGCCACGTGGAAGATTGGCCAGCACCATTTTGACTCCTGTGGATGGGTGAGTGTTTTGCCCACCCCCACCCCAATAACATCAGGTAAGCTCAGGAATTAAAGCCTTTGGCTAAGAGGTCAGTTAAAAGTCCCTCATCATTTGGATACCCTTAAACACTTCCTTGTCCTTGTCACCCTTTTCCCTGATTGTTTCCCCTCTGACTCCATTGTATTGCTCCACCAGTCGTTTTATTTTCAGTCCTAAGATGTATGTTTTGTTGGCAGTCTTTGTTTTCATTTTGATTTTCTGTTGACTAAATTTGGGGAATGATTTAAGGCAGGACACTTGGCCATGCAAGGCCTCCTGTTGTGTTGTTCTGTGACCTCCAACTTGGCCTGAGGTTTGCTGTTGGCCAACCCCCTGGTGCCCTGGGGTTTTCAGCATTTGGTGAGGGGACCCTTGTTGGCTGAAACTCAGGTACTCCAGGTTTTTCAGCATTGGTATTGCTGAAAATGCTCTGGGGTTTTCGGCATTGACATTCCCTCTTTCATTGAGTGGATAGAGGCTTTCCCCACAGGAACAGAAAAAGGCATTAGAAGTGTCCAAATTCTTACTTAAAGAGATCATTGCAAGGTTTGGGTTACCTAGAAGTCTGCTCAGTGATAACAGAACCTCCTTCACAGCTAAAGTGACCCAGCAGGCTTCCTGAGCCTTAGGCATTACCTGTCATCTTCACTCTTGGAGACCTCAATCCTCAGGTAAGGTAGAAAAAGCTATTTCTCCCCTAGGGGAATCTTGGTCTTGCCTTTTTCTGCTCTGAAGTTAGAAGTTATTATTTTCCTAATAGCCAGTTGCAGACCTCTTCCTGTGTGCTGTCTTACAACTGCATAACTGTCTTGCTTAAGCCCTCTTGGTTGAAGGGGACTGGGAGTTCCCAGGCCCCTGATGGACAGCCACCAACAGCAGTAGAAAAGTGGCCACCTGAACGTTGTTTTTGGTGTCTCTCCTACTGGGTAGGTTCTCTGGCAGTGAGGGCCCCTGAGGTCTCCCCTTGGGCAATGCTATTTACCCCTGCCCTTCTTCCCTTCCACTGTCACCATTTGTTTAGTCTCTCTCTGCCTAACCCTCACTCTCTGTGGAATTTAGGCCAACATTCTGTTTCCCATTTGCAGCTTATAATCCACTTTTATAACACCTTGCTGTCTATATTTACACCTTCTTTGTACAAAGTGGGAATTTAAAAGGGAAAAGTAACTAGGCATTTGCTAAGCTTAGGTCACTAAAACCCCCATAGAGAGCCTTACTAGACATGGGGCAGCAGAGAGCATCCTGAAGGACTTGACGTGAGGGTGTCTTTTAGGCAATTGGAGTAAATTCAAATTAGACAAATTGAAAAAGAAAAAATTTATTTTCTGTTGCAACAATGTTTAGGTTCTATATAAATTGGCAAGCCAACAGATGTGGCCTAGGCAGGATTTTTTTTTTTTTTTTTGAGACAGTCTTACTCTGTTGCACAGGCTGGAGTGCAGCGGCAAGATCTCGACTTGCCACAACCTCTGCCTCCTGGTTCAAGCGATTCTCCTGCCTCAGCCTCCCAAGTAGCTGGGATTACAGGCGCAGGCTACCATGACCAACTAATTTTTTGTATTTTTAGTAGAGATGGGGTTTCACCATGTTGGCCAGGCTGGTCTCGAACTCCTAACCTCAAGTGATCTGCCTGCCTTGGCCTCTCAAAGTGCTAGGATTACAGATGTGAGCCACTGCACCCGGCCTCATGATTCTTTATGTTATAATGATATTGTACAATTAGAATTTGTTTTGTAAAAAGGAAGGAAAATGGGAAGAAGTCCCTTATGTGCAGGCTTTTCTGGCCATCTACCAGGATCTTAAGGGCTAGCTGTAGAACATGTCTGGCTTATGATACTCCCAGCCACCCAGAAGCACATCAGGTATTGTAGATGACCTTCTCTTAGCTGTTCCCCCATGAGGCCTGTGTCCCCACTTTGAAGCCTCTCCAGTCCCCTAGTTCTGGGGGGGGAGGACACCACTTCTCTAGTGCAGAATTCCACCTCAAAGTCAGCAGGCATCCCTCCCCTTTATCCAACAGGTCCTGGCCCATATCCCCTACTGCCGGAGGAAGTAAACCCAACCAGTACTACCAGGAGTTGGGCCCCATATCAGCTGCCAAAATTAGACCTGTGTCCATTGTGAGAGGTAGCTGACAGGCATGGAGGAACAACCACAAGATATGTGCCTTTTTCATGTTTGATTTGGCTTTATGCAAGGAAAAATTTGGTTGTGTTTTAGAGGATCCTGGGAAGTTTACAGAGGAGTTTGTTAAGTTGAGCGTATTCTTTGATTTAACTTGGCATGACATGCAAATATTACTATCCACTTGTTGTACTGTAGAGGAAAAACAAAGAATTCTAGATACTGTCCGTGAACATGCAGATGGAGTAGCCACCCAACCCAGGCCATGCCATATCGTGTGGGAGGAGATGCAATTCCAGATCTAGGCTCTCAATTGGATTACTAGACAGGTTCTCAAGATCTTAAATGCAGAAATCACAGGCTAATTTGTTTAACATGAAAAAGTGTGTGCTTAAGCCAGTCAGTTATGACAAGGTGAGAGAAATAACTCAGGACAAAGATGAAAACCCTGCTCTATTTCAGGGCCGTTTTCTTGGGGCACTCAGGAAATATGCTAATGCAGACCCAGACTCCCCAGAAGGGTGGGTTCTCCTGGGTGTGCATTTTATCACTCAATCTGCCCCTGACATCAGGAGGAAGCTACAAAAGGTAGCAATGGGGCCCCCATGAGCCAACCCTTAGACGTTGCTTTTAGGGTTTACAACAACAGGGACAAGGCAGAGGAAGAGGCAAAAGCCAAAAAGTTGGCCAAAAAATCACAATTGTTAGTGGCTGCTTTAGGCCCTCTGCTGCTTCAGGGTTACCCACCCCAGGAAAATATGGGAAGATCAGTGTCTGGGATGCTTAGATGAGAGTCCCACCACTTGCTGGACTCTAGGCAAAAATCAAATCAGTGTGCCTTTTTTTTTTTTTTTTTTTTGAGACAGAGTCTTGCTCTGTCGCCCGGGCTGGAGTGCAGTGGTGTGATCTCAGCTCACTGCAAGCTCCACCTCCCGGGTTCATGCCATTCTCCTGCCGCAGCCTCCCAAGTAGCTGGGACTACAGGCGCTCACCACCATGACCGGCTAATTTTTTTGTATTTTTAATAGAGACGGGGTTTCACCGTGTTAGCCAGGATGGTCTCAGTCTCCTGACCTCATGATCCACCCGCCTTGGCCTCCCAGAGTGCTGGGATTACAAGCGTGAGCCACCGTGCCCAGCTTTTTTTTTTTTTTTTTTGAGACGGAGTCTTACTCTGTCACCCAGGCTGGAATGCAGTGGCCTGATCTTGGCTTACTGCAACCTCTGCCTCCTGGGTTCAAGCAATTCTCCTGCCTCAGCCTCCCAAGTAGCTGGGACTACAGGTGTGTGCCACCACACCTGGCTAATTTTTTGTATTTTTAGTAGAGACAGGGTTTCACTGTGTTAGCCAGGATGGTCTTGATCTCCTGACCTCGTGATCCACCCGCCTCAGCCTCCCAAAGTGCTGGGATTACAGGTATAAGCCACCATGCCTGGCCCAGTGTGCCTTCTGTAAACAAGAAGGCTACTGGAAGAAGGACTGTCCCAGGCTTAAAGGGGAGTCTGAGACACCCAGATCCATAATGGCCAAGAAAGCATAGGACTGATGGGGCCTGCGGTCCTCTACAACTCCTACTGGACACCTTACCATCTCCATAGAGGAGTCTTTGGTAACCCTGGACACGGCAGGCAAAAATACTGGGTTCTTAATGGACATGGGAGCAGCCTACTCAGTTGTAACCCATTTCTCAGGGCCTCTGTCTTCCTGCTCTTGTACAGTAACAGGGATTGATGGCCAGCCAAAAATTAGGAGATTTATCCACCCCCTTGGTTGCACCCTGGAAGACCATACATTTTCCCACGGGTTTTTACTTATGCCTAAGTGTCCTATCCCTCTACTGGGGAGAGAATTACTTTCCCAGTTACAGGCCACAGTTCAATTTCAAGTGCCTCATAAGAAGGCAACAGGCTGGGAATGGACACTTCTAGCTCTAAGTGCTTACCTCAACACAGATAAGGAGATGCTCTTCCCGCCACATATTGCTTCTCAGGTAGACCCCTCTGTTTGGGTCATGGAAGTTCCTGCTAGAGCTGTTAGTGTACCCCCATTCCAGGTTATTTTAAAACCCAATGTTAATTACATGTGGAAGACACAATATCCTTTGAGACCCAAGGCTCAGAAGAATATCCAGCCCCTAATAACAAAGTTCCTAAAGTCTGGATTCCTACAATCCTGTGCCAGTCCCCATGTAACACCCTTATTTTACCTGTAAAGAAGCCAAATGGAGAATATAGATTTGTTCAGGATCAGAGGGCAGTTAATGAGATAGTAGTCCCAGTCCACCCAATAGTTCGCAATCCTTACGAATATTTACCCATGTCTCTGAAGATGCTCATTGGTTCATAGTAAGGATGCTTTCTTTTATATAACTTTATACCCAGACTCTCAGTACATTTTTGCTTTTAAATGGACTGATCTAGACTCTCATGCCGCATCTCAGCTTACCTGGACAGTCCTTCCCTCAAGGTTTTAGAGACAGTCTCCATCTCTTCTGCAATGCATTAGCCAAGGAGTTAAGGGAACTACAGTTAACTAATGGATCCCTCTTGCAATATGGAGATGACCTATTACTCTCCAGCCTCACTAGGGAAGACGGACAGGAACACAATCCAGCTCCTTAATTTTCTGGGAAAGCGAGGATAGTGGGTTTCCCCCAGCAAGGCCCAGATCTCTGTGCAAAAGGCTAAATATTGGGGGTATGTGCTCACTCCTGGAACAAGGACTTTTGCCCAAAAGCAAAAAGAGACCATCCTGGCACTCCAGTCCCTCAGACTAAGAAGCAAGTAATAGCCTTTTTGGGAATCCTGATCTGGATTCCTGGGTTTGAGCTTAGAGCAAGCCACTCCGTGAAGCTCTAAAGGGGAGTGATCATGAGCCTTTGAATTGGGATGGAACCTGCTAACAGGCATTCTTAACACTAAAAGAAAAGCTGGGAACAGCTCCTGCTTTGGGACTCCCTAATTTAGAAAAAAACTTTCACCCTTTATGTGGCTGAAAAACAAGGGATGGCTTTGGGCATCCTAACTCAAAGGCCCGGGAATAGTCCCAGGCCAGTGGCTTACTTTTCTAACAGCTAGACCAGGTGGCAGCCACATGGCCAGGATGCTTGCAAGCTGTGGCCACCACTGCTCTATTGGTAGAAGAAGCCAGTAAGTTTACCTTGGGACAACAATTAGATGTCATGACCCACCACCAAGTATAGGGAATCTTAGAGACAAAAGGACACCAATGGCTAACAGGAGGTCACTTACTTAAATATCAGGCCCTTCTGCTTGACATCCAGCTGTTACTTTTAAAGTATATCAAGTTTTAAACCCTGCTACCCTGTTGATGGGCTTCATGTCCCAAGAAACAGATCCCCAACTCATTCATTCCTGCGTGGAAACCATAGAACAGACCTACTCTAGCAGGCCTGATCTCAAAGATGAGCCCCTGCCTAACCCTGGTGTTTGGTGGTTTACAGATGGGAGTAGCTTTATGCATGAGGGGTAAGGAAGACAGGTTATACAGTGGCTAGCCAACAAGAGATCATTGAGACAAAAGCTTTGCCTCCCTAGACTTCCATTCAAAAACTGGAATTAATTGCTTTAATTAGGGCCCTCCAATTGGGAAAAGACTTAACAGTCAATATACTTACTAATTCCAAATATGGGTTCCTGGTGCTCCATGCTTATGCTGCCACATGAAAAGAAAGGAGAACGTTAACAGCTAAGGGATCCCCCATACAACATCACTCAGAGATCCTGGAACTTTTAGATGCTGTCCTTTTCCTTTGGGAAAAGGAGGTAGCAGTTAGTCACTGCAGGGGACACCAAAAGGGATACACCTCCCTTATTTGAGGAAGTGCTCCACCAGACAGAGCAGCTAAAGCCACAGCTAAGGAAACACCAGTATTCCCATTCACTGCATTTATGCCAGCTACTCCACCTGTGTCAGCAGCACCATACTATATCTCTGAGGAAATTAAATGGGCAGAATAGAAAAGCTTACAAAAGGATCCCTCAGGATGGTTGCTAGAAAACAACAAACTCTTTCTCCCTGAGGCTGAGCAATGGAAAATAATTAAGTATTCCCATGACTCCTTACATTTGGGACAGGACTCCCTATTCAAATTAGTTTCTCAAATCTTCCTGGGAAAGAAATTATTCCAGACTGTAAAGTGGGTCACCAGGGCCCATGAACTTTATGCCGGTAATGACCCAGGGAGCTGCCCATACCCTCATCCCTACTCACTCCTGTACAACATCAAGGAACATACCATGGGGAAGACTGGCAAATAGATTTTACTCAGATGCCACCATACAGGGGACTGAAATATTTGCTAGTATTTATAGACACTTTCACCGAGTGGATAGAGGATTTCACCACAAGAACAGAAAACGCATTAGAAGTGCCAATTCCTACTTAAAGAGATCATCCCAAGATTTGGATTACCTAAAAGTCAGCAGAGTGATAATGGACCCTCCTACAGCTAAAGTGACCCAGCAGGCGTCCTGAGCCTTAGGCATTACGTATCATCTTCACCCCTCCTGGAGACCTCAATCCTTGGGGAAGGTAGAAAAAGCTAATGTTTTTGAAAGGACATTAGCAGAGCTCTGTTAGGAGACCTCAGAGGCCTGGGTTTCTCTCCTCACCATCGCCTTTTTTTTGTTTTTGTTTTTGTTTTTGAGACGGAGTCTTGCTGTGTTGCCCAAGCTGATCGTGCAGTGGCACGATCTCGGCTCACTGAAACCTCCACCTCCCAGGTTCAAGCGATTCTCCTGCCTCAGGCTCCCGAGTAGCTGGGACTACAGGCAGGCATCACCAAGCCCGGCTAATTTTTGTATTTTTAGTAGAGATGGGCTTTCACCATGTTGGTCAGGCTGGTCTCGAACTCCTAACCTTGTGATCCACCCACCTTGGCCTCTCAAAGTGCTGGGATTACAGGCGTGAGCCACCGTGCCCAGCCTCCCATCGCCCTTTTATATGTAAGGATGACTCCAAAGGAACAGTAAAACAGTCCATTTGAAATGACTTATGGGAGGCCCTTTTTTTTTTTTTTTTTTTTTTTTTTTTTTTTTTTTTCCCGAGACGGAGTCTCGCTCAGTCACAGGCTGGAGTGCAGTGGCGCTGTCTCGGCTCACTGCAAGCTCCAGGGAGGCCCTTTTTAACTTCAGATCTCCTGTTTGATGAAGAGACACGTAGAATGCTCACCCATATTATCAACTTAGGCTGGGTTCAAAAGGCCCTCCAAGCCTTTTGGAGGCTCCCTTCAACAAAATATCGCTCCCTTCAACAAAGGAAATAGTTAACCTCCACAATCAACCAGGAGACTTAGTCTTAGTAAAAACTTGGAAAGAAGAATCCGCCAATGATCAATTACACATGAATGGAAGGGGCCGTATCAGGTGTTGTTGAGTACACCTACGGCTGTTAAACTTCAGGGAGTAACTAGTTTGGTACCCCTGTCCAGGTTAAACCTGTTTCTTATGAGTTGCAGCACAAAAGGAGGCCCCTGTGACCTGCATCTGTGAGCCTTTGGAGGACCTCTGCTGCCTATTTAAAAGAATCAACACTCAGCCAGAGGTGGTAATGTGATGCTGTGGGTGGGAATAGGAACAGTAATTTTTCTCTTCTTCCTGATTGTAATCCTTCTTTTCTGTTGCTTTAGCCAACCTCTTGGGAAACACCTCTTTTGTCCTTGTTGGGTATAGAGGCCACTCTAAGGCCCACTGGACACCATGTTGTCACTATTAATCCTGTTTGATTTCCTCATTACCCTGATCCAGTGCAGGTGGGAACATAACCCTATCGTAAATATTTCAAATATTATAGCCTCAGGGAATCATCTTCATGGTTGCTGGATTTGTCATCAATATTCCCAGGGTGCACAGTTCTACCTTCTGGCCTACCCAGAAAATTTCACAGCCATCTCTCCAGACCTCCTAACTAACCATAGTGATCCCCAAATACCCAAATCCCTATTTGTTAAGTGAAACTCTCCTCCTGATTCCCCTCCGATTCCATCTGAATACCACCCCCCAACTCCTGCCACTATTACCTTGAGCTGGGAAGTTGGGTATCTATATCTCCAATGCACTAATGATTCTATCTTTTGCATCCACTGTTGTGTTAATGACACAAAAGCAGACGTTTCCCTGTGATACTCTGATCCAAATCTAGTTGCCAAGTTTCCCAGGCTGCAATGAGGTAAATGGGATTCCACTTGTCAGTGAGGAGACCATATATGGTGCCTTCTCCTGGATCAGAACATACAAGGGAAAAACAACTGCCTAATCTGGGAAGGTGGGAGCACTGTTCCTTCTGGAAAACAAGACTGTTTGACCACTCCCATTAGAACAGGGGGAAAATATCTCCTCTAGAGACCCAACTTGGCAGCCAAGGATAAACATCACACCCCGTAGGGCCTCTGTTTGTGTACCCCCCCAGGCTCATTTTGTTTGTGGCCATGAGTGGGAAGAAGTCACACCCCATAACCACTCCTGACTCTCCAGGAAGCCACCTGTTCCTTTAGGAGCAGCCTTCTGTATATAAAAAACTTGGAATAGGCTGGGTGTGGTGACTCACACTTGTAATCCCAGCACTTTAGGAGGCCAAGCCAGGGGGATCACTTGAGGTCAGGAGTTAGAGACCAGCCTGGCCAACATGGTGAAACCCCATCTACTAAAAATACAAAAATTACCCGGGCGTGGTGGCGAGTACCTGTAATCCCAGCTACTCAGGAGGCTGAGGCAGGTGAATCTCTTGAACCTGGGAGGCAGAGGTTGCAGTGAGCTGAGATCACGCCATTGCACTCCAGCCTGGGTGACAGAGTAAGACTCTGTCTCAAAAAAAGAATGAAACTTGGAATAGAGATGAACATATGTTGGCCACCCTTGCCCCTCCAGGGGTCATGGTCTGTAACCCCATAAGACCCAGGAACACCAGAAGTAAGTGAGCAATTGGATTAATTCAATCGGAAGGAATTTGGGCAGCAATAGGACTAGCAGCACCCTAGGGTGGCTTTGCTTACCTACTCAACCCTAGTCAACCCTAAAGAACCCTAAAGAATGTGAACCCTAAAGAACCCTAAAGAACTTGACTCAAACCCTAGAATCTTTAGCCACCAATAGCGGTCAGGCATTAAAGGGGATTCAAGAGTCCCTAGACTTTTTGGCAAATGTAGTTCTCAATAACAGACTAGCATTGGATTATCTACTAGCTGAACAAGGTAGAGTCTGTGCAGTTATTAATGAAACCTGTTGCACATACATCAACAACTCTGGGCAGTTGAAGTTAACATTCAAAAGATCTGTGAGCAAGCTACCTGGTTACGTAACTATAATCAGGGCATTAATCCCAGCTGTATCTGGCTAGCTATCAAAAGTGCCTTCCCAAGCTTCACCTGGCTTTTACCTCTCCTAGGACCTTTGATAGCTGTCTTGTTATTACTAATCTTTGGCCCTTGCTTGTTTAACCTCTTAGTAAAGTTTGTCTTCTATATTACAACAGTTCCAGGTAAAGACAATCCTTGCACAAGGCTTCCAACTCGACCCGCCTACTGACCTGGAGAATGAAAGTGTCCTGCCTCGGGGCCCCTCAGATCAGGTATCCAGAGATTTCTGTTTCTCCAGGGCTAGACAGGACCAACATCCATAAACTCAGCAGGAAACAGTTACAGGAGGTAGACCTCCAACCTTCTGTAGTCCCTTTAAGATTAAAGAGGAGTATCTAATTTCTGAGGGGGGAATGAGGTAGGAGGCAGGACTCAACTCTGGAGGTGAGACTCAGACTCTGGACCAGATTGAGGACTAGCTGAAACAGGGAAGAGGCAAAATCACCTCTCCCTAAGACATGCCCACCAGTGCCATGTCAGTTTACCATTGCCATGGCAATGCCCTGAAGTTACCACCTCTTTCCTTGGCAATGACCTGACAACCTGAAAGTTATCACCTTTTTTCTAGAAATTTCTGTATAATCTGCCCCTTAATTTGCATGTAATTAAAAATGGGTATAGGCTGGGCACAGTGGCTCATGCCTGTAATTCCAGCGCTTTGGGATTTCCAGGTGGGCGGATCACTTGAGGTAAGGAGTTCGAGACCAGCCTGGCCAACGTGGTGAAATCCCATCGCTACCAAAAATACAAAAATTAGCCAGGTGTGGTGGCAGGTGCCTGTAATCCCAGCTACTTGGGAGGCTGAGGCAGGAGAATCACTTGAACCTGGGAGGCGGAGGTTGCAGTGAGCTGAGATCGCACCACAGCACTCTAGCCTGGGTGACAGAGCAAACTCTGTCTCAAAAAAAAGGGTATAAATATAACTGCAGAACTGCCCTGAGCTGCTACTGTGTATACACTGCCCATGGGGTAGCCCTGCTCTGCAGGAGCTGTCACAGAGGTGTACCACCACACTGCCACCTCAGTAAAGCTGTTTTCTTCTACCACTGGCTTGCTCTTGAATTCTTTCCTGAGTGAAGCCAAGAATCTTCCTGGGATAAGCCCCAATTTGGGATTTGCCTGCACTGTGTCACCAACACCCATTATCTCAAGAAGTTCCACATGCTTTCCAAGCACTTGATGTTGTCAGTCTTTCTTTCCCCAAGAGAAATGATCAAAATTGTAATCGAATGTATTTTTAACTCTAAAACAGAATTTAGATTATTTTATTAAGATCAAATATATAAGTAGTCAGGCATCTCTTATTTTATATTATGCCTATATCTGTATCTATATCTATATCTGTCTACACAAACCCTTCAAATTTAAAAATCAGAGCATTATTTCTCAGTCCTTTAAAAATCATATTGCTGAGTGCCATGGCTCATGCTGTAGTCCCAACACTTTGGGAGGCCAAGGAGGGAGGATCGTTTGGAGCCAGGAGTTCCAGATCAGCCTGGGGAACAAAACAAGACCCTATCTTTACAAAAATAAATAAATTAATTAATTAAAAAAAAAAAGCCACGTGTAGTGGTGCATGCCTATAGTCCCAGCTACTCAGGAGGCTGAGGTGATACGAGGAGGCCAGGAGTTCGAGGCCGCAGTGATCCATGATCACGCCACTGTACTCCAGCCTGAGTGACAGAGCAAGAACCTGTCTCAAAAAAAAAAAAAAAAAATCATGTATCTCCATGTCAAGGATGGGAAAAAACGAGGAACCTCTTACATTGCTGGTGAGAACATAAACTGATACAGCCACTTTGGAAAACTTTGGCAGTGTTTACTAAAGCTAAACATGCATACACTCTGTGACCAACAATTCTATTCCTGGCTATATCCTCAACAGAAATGAGTGCTTCTGTCTAGCAGAAGACAAGTACGAGAATGTTCATAGTAGCTTTATTCATGATAGCTTACACTGGAACAACCCAATGCGCATCAGCAGAAGAATGGGTGGATACATTGTGTTGTACTCATCCAGTGGAATATTACGTGGCAATAAGAAAGAACAAAGTACTGATAATAAAACAACATGGGTGAACCTTGCATAATTTTGATTGAAAGAAAAAAAAGAGGTCAGATACAAAAGAATACACACTGTATGATTGCAATTATATGAAGTTTGAAAACTGGTGCAACTAACCTATAGTGGTAGTGGCCAGACTGGGTTAACCAAGGGAGTGGTATTAACTTGCAGGGGACAGGAAAGAGTCCTCTGAAGTGTTGGAATTGTTCTACTCTTGATCTGGGTTGTGAGTACATGGCAGTATATGTATTTAAAGTTGATTTGTACATATTACTGTGTCTAAATTATACCCCAATAAAATGGAAAAAAATCATATAGATGCCAATCATTAAGTGTTGTTACTAAGTCAGATCTTTATGTCAGATGCAGCCTAAGTTTCTCTTATATTTGACATTTTTCATAGGCGTATTGTAAGAAAGGAAAGAAGCAAGCTGCTTCTTCTATGATATTGGGAGTACTCTCCAGTTGGGCTGTTCCAGAAATCATTAATCATTAGATTTGGGCAGCTGTCATCTGATTTCTTTTCTTAAAATAATCACTTGGATATATTCTGACTCTGCTTATGGGGTTTAGACACAGCTTGAGAATAATAACATTCTGCTTTTTATGGGCAATTTTATTTTCTTCAACCATAGATTCAGAAAGAATGAGTTTGTATAGTATGTCAAAATCTATCAGCAAAAAGACCGTAAGGGCCATACCTATAGTTAATAAAAGTTAAGTTTATCTGGCTTGCTGCAGCAGGAAGAATGCATGAATCTTGGGACCATCTTAGTAAGGGAGACTTGAGTTTGTGCTTGTGTTGGATGCCTCTGAGAAGGGATTAGGGAAGCCAGAGCCAACTCTGGATTGAATGCTGTTAGGAAGCCGGGAGGATTGAGTGCAATTCACAAGGTTAGCAGGACCACGGGTCAGCAGGGCAGTGCGGGGCCAGAGCAGAGTGGAAAGTGGACCAAAAGAGGCACATGGAGAATACCTAGCACAACTGCCTATGTACCCTCCCTAAACTAACTGCCAGAGGAAGCACTTCAGCCAAATGAAAAAATAAGTGAGAAGTTAGCTGGGAAACAAGGAAGGCATAATATGCTAAACATGGCAACAAGGGAAAAACCAGTAAAATTTATTGTTATGTATATGTAATTATTGATATTGTTACTGTGGAAAGATTCTTAACTAAATTCTCATAAAAAGATATATGCTTATTATAATAATTAATACAGAAAGTACTGAAAAAGTTTTTTCAACTGCCCCAAATGCAGCTACCCCCAACAATTATCTTCAACATTTGTCGGTTATCATTCTAGACACTTTCTATGCAAATCCATAGAGAAGCCTAGATATAAATAATTTTATGATGTAGACTGTGAAGAATTTCATATTAGGGATGCACTAAAGCTTAGCTGTGGACTTAGTATTTGGCTCAAATCTGCTATTCAACTATGACTTTGGCTCTAGCCCTTACAAGGTTAAATAGCCAAATACCTTCTTTGGTATCATTTGTGACATCCCTGAACCTGTGTGTGATCCATGATCACGACTGTGTTGATTTTTGTCATATCTGATCAACATAACAATATCAGTAAATGAACCAAGCCATGTTACGTGAATTTATTGTTAATATCTGAATATTCACCTTCACATATAGGTAACCATTCAAGATACAGGTTCATGAAAATGTCCTTTGCTTTATATGCCAAAATTCTATTAGTCATTTGAGGTATACATGTATATTTAATATTTCATGAGTAAAACGTTATAATAATTAATGATTATTTGAAAGCTGCTAATCGTGTGCACAAAAACAATAAGAACTTTCAAATAAATATGGAAATAGATTGGAAGTTAATGCAATTTTAATGAGAAAGTGTGCTAACTAGGTATCTTTAGAAGAACTTTATATTGTTTTAAGGTCAAGAGATGTTTATAGGCTGGGCGTGGTGGCTCACGCCTGTAGTCCCAGCACTTTGGGAGGCTGAGGCGGGCGGATCACGAGGTCAGGAGTTCGAGAGCAGTCTGGCCAACATGGTGAAACCCCGTCTCTACTAAAAATACCAAAAATTAGCGGGGCGTGGTAGCGCACGCCTGTAATCTCAGCTACTCGGGAAGCTGAGGCAGGAGAATCACTTGAACCTGGGAGGCAGAGGTTGCAGTGAGCCAAGATCATGCCACTGCATTCCAGCCTGGGCGACAGAGCGAGACTCCATCTAAAAAAAAAAAAGAGAGATGTTTATGACAATTTAAGTAATACAAGCCAGAATACTAGTGATTATATCATAAAATTGTCGGCATAATAGTATTCATAATATGAATCAAAATAATCCTTGGTTTTTTTTTTTTTTTTTTTTTTGAGCCAGAGTCTCCATCTGTCACCCAGGCTGAAGTGCAGTGGTGTGATGTAGGCTCATTGCAACCTCTGCCTCCTAGATTCGAGTGATTCTCATGCCTCAGCCTCCCGAGTAGACGGGATTACAGTTGAGCACCACCACGCCAGGCTAATTTTTGTATTTTTAGTAGAGACGGGGTTTCACCATGTTGCCCAGGCTGGTCTCGAACTTGTGGTCTCAAGTGATCCCCTGCCTTGGCCTCCCAAATTGCTGTAATTACAGGCATGAGCCACTGCTCCCAGCCTAAAATAATCCTTAATAGCTGTATTACTTCTGTTTATTTATTATACATTAGAAGAAATAAAAATACATGCCACAAGCAAAGAAGATATTTATAACATATATAATCAGCAAACAGTGTCTAGTATGTGCAGATAATGCCTATAAAATAGTAAGAAATATAGAAGTAATTCAATAGAAAAATTAGCAAATTTCCTTCAGAAAAAGAAACATGAATGGGCAATAAATGGATGGAAAATACTCAACTTTATTAATAATCAGGGAAATGTAGTTAAGTCTAGAATAAGATATCATTTACATCCATTCAATTGGCAAAAACTAAGAAGTATGGGCTGGGCACTGTGGCTCACACCTATAATCCCAGCACTTTGGGAGACCGAGGTGGGAAAATCACTTGAACTTAGAAGTTCCAGGCCAGCCTGGGCAATACAGTGAGACCCCCGTCTCTACAAAAAAATTTTTAAAAATAGCTAGGCATAGTGGTATGAACCTGTGTTCTCAGCTACTTGGGAGACTGAGGTGGGAGGATTGCTTGAGCTGGGAGGTCAAGGCTGCGGTGAGCCATGATTGCACCACTGTACACCAGCCTGGACAACAGAGTGAGACCTTTCCTCAAAAGAAACAAACAAAAACCCTCCCCCCAAAAAAAACAACAAAAAAATTAAGGGGTATGATAATACTTTCCTTTTTTTTTTTTTTTTTTAAGAGATGGGGTCTTGATATGTTGCCTAGGCTGGTCTTGAACTCCTGGGCTCAAGCAATCCTCCCACCTCAGCCTCCCAGAGTGCTGGGATTTCAGGAAAGAGCCACCATGCCTGGCCAACTTTCTAAAGAGAATATTGGTCAGTGAGATCTCTTATACATTAATGGTTGGTGTATAAATTGAATATCCACTCTGGAAAAACAATTTGTCATTATCTTGTGTTATTGAACAATCACATACCCAGATATTCGACTCTTGGATATATACCCAGGAGAAATTCTTGCACAGGTACATCAGAAGACATCTGACAGGAGTGTAGCCAGTAGCGCTATATGTAAGAGCACAAATAAAAGAACCATTCAAATGCCTGGTGACTACAGAGTGGATAGACTGTAGTGTACTCACACATGGAATATGACACAGCAGTAAAAATGAATGATACTCCTATCCATGCCACAACATGGATAATCTTAGTAACATAATTTTGAGCAATAAAGCAAGTCTTGAAGAGCACTCTTTTTATAAAGATCAAAAACAAGCAAAACAAAACAATATTTCATTTAGGCATCTATATAGATGACGTTCTCAAATAGTGGTTACCTCTCGGAGGAGGTATGGGTAGAACTAAGTGATCGATAACATTTAACTCTTGGGATGAGTGTTGAGCTCATTTTTTATTATATTATTTTTAAAAACAAACAATATATAATGTCTAATCCTCTAACGCTATTAGAATCTTCATTGCCTTCAAACTCAACTGGGTCAAGAAGTCCCCTTCTAGGTCAGACTCCCACTCCCTTGAGTGATGGTTGCTGCAACCATTTCTGGTGTGAATCATTTTATTGATCAAAGTTCTTGGCTTTGCAGACAACAGGATCTGCAATACTCTGTTTAAACAGAAAGGGATGTATCACAAGGTATTAGGTACTAGATAAAGCTGAATTTTGAGACAATGTATTGTGGTTGATGTAGCATCTTGGGCGATACTGGTTATGAGTGACATAAGGAAGGCTCTTAGGTCAGGTTCCCGAGAACAGAGTCTGACATGAATATTCTTGTTCCAGTGATTTATGAGAGGAGTCCTCTCAGAAGAAGAGGTGGGAGAGAAACAGGATAGGACAGAGGAAGAAAGCTAAGCAAGTGTGTGGATACTGTCTTCAGCCTGGACCCACAGGGAGCACTGGAGCATAAATTATACCACAGAATTTGTTTCTGTTTGAGGCTGGTGGGATGTCCCTTTGTACCCCAGAGAGGGTGCAGAACTTCCTGAAGGAGTTGACTGCATTTGGTTGAGAATATGTGATTATTTAGAGAAGGAGCAGCTCACTGTCACAGCAACTGGGGCAGGGTGCACTGACCAGGGCAGAGCACCAACAGTGAGCCAATGCCACCCTGACCTCATGGGGGAAGGGTGGGGATAACCTGGGGCCAGATCAGAATTAGGTGGGGGTGGGACAGAGCAGGACAGGAGAGGCTGGGAGGAGCAGAACCGAGAGGGTCTGTGTTTCCTGTGTACCCTGGAAGCACAAGCCTGGGTTCTCTGAGCCTCAGGCAGCACTGACCTTTCTTCCCCATCTGGGCATGAGAAGGACAGGAGAAGCCCTTTCCTCAGCACTTTTTTTTTCTTTCTCTTTTTGAGACAGAGTTTGCTTTGTCACCCAGGCTGGAGTGCAGTGGTGTGATCTCGGCTCACTATAATCTCCGCCCCCTGGGTTCAAGCAATTCTCCTGCCTCAGCCTCCTGAGTAGCTAGGATTACAGGTGCATGTCACCATGCCTGGGTAATTTTTGCGTTTTTGGCAGAGATGGGGTCTCACCATGTTGTTTAGGCTGTCTCAAACTCCTGACCTCAAGTGATATGCCCACCTCTCAAAGTGCTGGGATTACAGGTGTGAGCCACTGCGCCCAGCCCCTTTCATCAGCGTCTCATTCCAGTTTCTGGGTCCTGAGCACTTCACCTTGAGGCCCCTCTTTACGGGAAAAGTCTCACTGAGGTGAGGACATACCAGCCAGGAGTGGGGTGAGCAGGAGAGCTCCTGGGGCAGGGCCCTCCAGTTACTATGTAGCCCCCACCACCTCCCTGTTACTGGGGCAGAGAGAACCAAGCTTCTCTGTCAGCAGCCTCCTCCCTTCCCCTGCCCTTCGGCCTTGGCCTTGATCTCAAGCTAATGTGTTATCTGATTCATTAGGTGGTGGGCAGTTTTTCCCAAGCTGCCTGCCTCAGTCTGGACTGGAACATTCTGGCCTCACAGGAGGGCTGGCCCCTGCCCTCACAGGAAGCTTTAACCCTTGCTCTGCTAGCATGATTCTCCAGGGTCACAGGCTGGGGTTATGTTTTCTCCAGAGTGGCACCAAACGGAAGCTTGTGGAGAGTTTAGACACTCAACACACTTCCTCATTCTCCCCCAAGCTAGGCAGAAAATGCCTAATCTGAGTAAAAATAGTTTGTCCCCTGGCCCATCCCCTGTTGTAACACAATTGTGACCCTGTGCCCTTTTACATAGAATTTCTGGGGTCACCACTGGTGACATCACTAGCTGAGTGGCCTTAGAATCCTTACCTCTGCTTTCTGCATTTATTCCCCTCCCCCAGCCACATGCCTCCTCTCAGGGGTCAGGGCCTGACCCCCTCCCCTCACAGAAATGTGTATTTTATTTTAATGATCACTCATGTGGAGAGGTAAAAGTCTGCAAACTGAGGCAGGTCTGGGTGGGAGACATTTCAGGACAGGGTCTTCCAGTCCTCACATCCTACCAGGAGATGGATAGGACACTCCCTGGCAGGATAGGGGTGGGGGTTCAGCATGGGAGGAGGGCTTTCCTGGGCAGGAGGCCTTGGCCAGAGGGGTCCACCCCAGTCTAGCTGGCTTTCCTTCTCCCCTTATGTGTTAGTCTGTTCTTGCTTTGCTATGAAGAAATACCTGAGGCTGGGTAACTAATAAAGAAAAGAGGTTTATTTTGGCTTATGGTTCTGCAGGCTGTCAGGAAGCATCTGCTTCTGGGGAGGCCTCAGGGAGCTTACAACTGCCATGGAAGGCGGAGGGGAGCCAGTGTGTTACATGGCGAGAGAGAGAGAGAGAGAGAGAGAGAGAGAGAGAGAGAGAGAGAAGACAGGAGGAGCCACACTCTTTTAAACAAGCAGATCTCTAGTAATTCAGCGAGAAATCACTCATTATTGCAAGGACAGCACGAAGCCATTCATGAGGGATCCGCCTCCGGGACCTAAACACCTCCCACTAGGCCCCACCTCCAACACTGGGGATCACATTTCAACTGAGATTTGGAGGGGATGAACACCTACACCATATCACCCTAGTCCTAACTTTGGGGGATGCTGAGGGAAAGACGGAGTCTGTTTTTTAACCCTCGCTGCTTTGGTGGGAAAGTACCCTGTGTTCTGGGTCAGGATGCCATGTTCCAATCCAAAAGGTGCCAACTTCCTCTTTCTCTTTTCCCTGCTCTTGTCCAACCTTAGCATCTGCTCCTGCCCCAGCGTCGGCGATGCATGTCTCTGTGGCCGCTGTGCTCGGTGGGTGTCTTTTGCCTCCAGTAGCCCATGGGTAGGGGAGGGCGGAATCTGGACGCCACACCCTCAGCCCGTCCCTTCTGTGCTCTGCATTCCCCCCACCTTTGACCCTCTGGTTTTATTGATTCATCCTTCTTTCTTGCATTTTAGTCTCTAAGTCAATTAGTTCTTGTCTGTAGCCTATAAACATGATAAAGCCTCCATTATTTTAAAAAGTCCCCAAATCTCCCTCTACCAAACCTCCTTTTTAATTTTTTAAGTGATTTTTTAAATTTGTATGCATTTATGGGGCACAAGTGTAATTTTGTTACATTGATATTTTGTATAGTGGTGAAGTCAGGGCTTGTGGTGGATCCATCACTGGAGTAACATACATTGAACCCATTAAGTGATTTCTCATCATCCACCCCCCTCCACCCTCTCGCCCTTCCGAATTTCCATTGTCTGTCATTCCACACTCTACTTCCACATGTACACATTATTTAGCTCCCACTTATAAGACAGAACACGTGGTATTTGTTTTTCTGTGTCTGAGGTGTTTCACTTAGGATAATGGCCTCCAGTTCCTCCCATGTTGCAGTAAAAGACATGATTTCGTTATTTTTTATGGCTGAAAATCCATTCTACCCCACATTCTCACCTCTCCCTTTTCCCTTGTCTTTTTTTTTTTTTTTTTTTTTTTTTTGAGACAGGGTCTTGCTCTGTTGCCCAGGCTGGAGTGCAGGGGCATGATCACACTGTAGCTTTGAACTCCTGGGCTCCAGTGAGCCTCCCACCTCCCTTGTCTTTATCAGAGCCAAACCCTACGGGATTACCAAGTAGACAAACAAAGCACATGTTTGAGGCACCAACAAAGAAGGACAACACAGCAAATAAGCATTATTGAACAGGGGAAGGGGAAGGACAGTTATTTTTAATACAAATTTGCAAGTAAGTTAACTGCAATTAAAATAATTTAGAAAGTTTATTTTAATTTTAACATTTATATATTTTTATGTTATTTTGAAAATAAAAAAACTCACTTTGTATTACTTGTAGGAGGATGGGAACCATAATCTTTTAAAGGTGTTAATTCAGCCCTGCGGTCAAACCTCTTCCTCACCTCTTATTCCTCAACCCCCTGCAACTTCAGACACCATCATGTCCTAACTGCTCCTCCCGAGGTTACCAATGAGCATCACTGTGATAAATCCAATGGGCGTGTTTCATGCTCAGCTGTGACCCTCTCAGCAGAAGTCAGCTGTATTCTCCAACAGCTCTCCTGGTTCCCTTCCACTTCTTACTCCCCTCCTTTCCTGACTTCCTCAAGGTTCTTCTTCCTGGAAATGTTTGTGTTGTTGGAGCTCTGAGCTGGGTCTTTTCTATCCCTCTCCACAGCTCACCCCTCCTATGGTTTCAGTCACAGTCTACACTTAGGTTACTTCTAAATATCTTCCCAGCTCACCCTTGGCTCCTTAGCTCTAGGCCTTTATATCCAACCATGAACTCTTTCAGGTACTTAAATTCACTAAGTCCAAAATTGATTCCTTATCTCCCCCATGATCCCTTCCTTCTCCAGCCTTCCCTGTGTCAGTGAGAAGCATCTTCATCCACTCAGGCCCCAAGCTCAAGCCTTTCTCTCCTATGACCCTGCCTACAACCAACAGTCCTGTTGGCTCCCCTTCCTCAAAAGCTTGAATTTGCTCACTTCCCTCCACTTTCATGGCCACCTCCCTTGTCCTAGTCACTGCTACAATTGGCAGGTCACAAATGCCTCCTATTGGGCTTCCCAGTCTCTACTTCCTCAACCCATTTTCCGTGCTGAAGCCAATCTAGTGAGGTTTCTATGGGTCCTCGTTGGCTCAGCATAAATCCAAGCTCCTAGGGTGGCATTCCAGACTTCCCACGTTCTGGTTCCTGAGACCACCTCAGCATAGCTCTCCACACTCTTGGCTACCTGCTGTCTGCTCCGGTAGTAGTTAACTACCTGGAGCTTCCCCTCCACCCCCATCACACTGTTGCTCCCCTCTGCCACCTGGGCTGCCCTTTGCCTCCTCCTCTTCCTCCTACTGTTTTTTTTTGGGGGGGGACGGGGGGACAATCATGACTGGGCAAGTGATCATGGTGACTTGGACTTGGGTGGTAATGATGGAGGTGGTGAGAATTGGTAAGATTCTGAACATATTTTGAAGGCGGATACAACAGGACTTGTTGATGGATTTGGGTGTGTGGGGAGAGAAAAAAGAAAGGAACCCAGGTTTTTTTTTTTGTTTTTTGCCTGAGCAACTGGAAGGAAGGAGTTGCACTGAGATGGGAAGATAGTGGGAAGTGTGGGTTTGGGTGGGAAGACAAGGAGGACAGTTTTAGATGTGTTAATGGAAATGCCCCTTAGAAATCCAGTCAGGTCTTAAGAGTCTGGATTCAGGGGACTAATCTGAGCTGGAGCTGCACATTTGTGAGTCATCAGTGTGTGGGTGGTATTTAAAACCACAAGAGTGGGCCAGCTGCAGTGGCTCATGCCTATAATCCCAGAACTTTGGGAGGGGTGAGAGGATCCCTTGAGGCCAGGAGTTTGAGACCAGCCTGGGCAACATAGCAAGATCCTGTCTCTACAAAAATAAATAAATAAATAAATAAATAAATAGGCCAGCATGATGGCACATGCCTGTAGTCCTAGCCACTGGGGAGGCTGAGGCAAGAGGATGCCCGGGAGTTCCAGGCTGCAGAGAGCTATGATCACACCACTGCACCCCAGCATGGGTGACAGAGCAAGACCTTGTCTGTAAAATAATAATAACAAAAATAATAAATAAAAAGAAATAAAACCACAATAGTAGATGCGGGCACCAAGGATATAAATGTGAATAGAAAATAGAAGAGGCCCAGGAGCCCCCAGAGCCTCTGACAGTAAGAGGCTGGAGAGAAGAGCTGGAGAAGGAAGAGGTAGTCATGTAGGAGGAAAATCGGAAAACGTAGCATCCCAGAAGCCTAGAGAAATAGGTGTTTGAAGGAGGAGGAAGTGATCAGCTGTGTCAAAGATCAAGTAAGCAGAGGTCTGGGAATTGAGTGAATAAGATTTAATAAGAGGAAGGTCATTAATGATGGTGACAACAGCAGTGTCAGGAAATGGTGTCAGCAAAAGCTTATTGTAACATGTTCAAGAGAGAAAGGACAGACAGGAATTGGAGTAGTTGGGTAGACAATTCTTTCAAGAAATTTTGCTGTAAAAAGGTACAGTAAGATGGGTGTGAGCTGGAGGGAAAGTTAGGATCATGAGAGGTTTCTTCTTCTTCTTCTTCTTTTTTTTTTTTTTTGAGACAGAGTCTCACTCCGTCGCCCAGGTTGGAGTGCAATGGTGCAATTTCGGCTCACCGCAACCTCTGCTTCCTGGGTTCAAGCGATTCTCCAGCCTCAGCCTCCCAAGTAGCTGGGACTTCAGGTGCCTGCCATCACACCTGGCTAATTTTTGTATTTTTAGTAGGACAGGGTTTCACCATGTTGGCCAGGCTGGTCTCCAACTCCTGACCTCAGGTGATCCACCCACCTCGGCCTCCCAAAGTGCTGGGACTACAGGCATGAGCTACTATGCCTGGCCCATGACAGTATTTTTTTTCAAGGATATGGTAAATAACAGCAGATTATTTCTGTGTATTTCTGAGATCGATCCAGTAGAGAGGGAAAAGAGAGGCAAGAGAAGAGAAATATTTGAGGAACTGAATCCTTTTGTTGAGAGAGGAGGAGATCCATTCCCCAAGCAGAGAGGCTGGCCCTGGCTGGGAGGGACCTGAGCACTGCTGCACTCCCCTGGGGAGCCCTTCCTAAGGCACCTGCCTGGCTTCCTGTTTCACTTCCCTCGGCTCCAGTGTCTGCTCTTTGTAGAAGTCTTTTCTGACCACCTTTCTAGAATGATGTTCTCCATCACTCTCTTTGCTTTACTTTTTTTTCTCCTTTACTTTCATATGTAGCACTTCTCATTATAATATAACAAATTTATTTTCTGTTTTCCTTACTACCACAAAAGTTTCATGAGGGAAGAGACTTAGTCTTATTTGCCACTGTATCCCCAACTCTTAGAATAGTTCCTGGCACGCAGTAGCTGCCCCCCCAACAATATTTGAGAAAGAAGGAATAAGTGAGTCTCTTCTCCATGTCCATTGCAACATGCTCAGTTCTCATTCTACCCTTATTTTTATTCCGTTCATCTATAACTCACATCTCTTCCCATTCTCCTTCCCCATCTGTCCAAGCAAACATTCAGGCCCATTTCTGCTGTCATCCTCATCATGCCCCTACCATCATCCCCCGTACCATCCTCACCCCATGTGTACCCATCTTCATCTCGTTTATGTTTTATCTCCTCCTCCCCTCCCCTAATTCCCCTTCTAACTCCTTTCTCCTCTCTGGTCTCTGTCCCCATCAACATCCCCTCTCCTCATCCTCATTGCCTTTTGATGCCACCATTGTGGCTAGCCGCCTTCTGTTGCCATTACCAATGCCGTGTCTGTTCCACCTCTCTCCCCTTCCGTTCCTTTGTCATTGACAAGAGATCTCCATCTCTGCCACCATACCTTCCCCATTCCAGTCTGCCCACCCAGGGGAAGACAGACAGCTTTGCACTGTGTGTCTAGAAGCTGCCAGGGACATAGTTAATATAAGCAACTGTGGGAAGAAAGACAGAGGGAACTGCTTCTTCTCACTTAGTGACTTCAGTAAATATTAACAAGCATATTTCACGAACCAGCACTATTTCCTGCAACAGACATAATAAATGACTTTCTGAAATTTTCTAAAGTATGCTTTTACAAATATTGGCATTATCACAAGCATTGCGACTAGGGTTCCAAGCCTGAGAGATTAAAATAGTCTTTGTGCTAAAAAACAATCTGACTTCTCAGAAGGCCCTTTTCTTCTTTATTTATAATATCAGGAAACCCTGGAACAGTGTCTATAAGTCATGAAAAACAGAGCAATTGAAATGGAATCTCACTTGGGACCCCAGTCACTGCTCCAGACTGACCAGTCAGTGGACAAGGCTTCTCGCATTGCTCACCAGGTTATAACTACTCTGTATTCTTCTTACCTTCAAGAGGAATTATCAAGGTGGGGTGCGACGGCTCATGCCTGTAATCCCAGTGCTTTGAGAGGCTGAGGCAGGCAGATGACTTGAGGTCAGGAGTTCAAGACCAGCCTGGCTAACAAAATGCACACACACACACACACACACACACACACATACACGTATACATTAGTTATTGTCACATACACACAAAGCTATTATTCCCAGTATAATTATAATTCCTCATGTAACTTTGTTTCTAGTTATCTTAGTAAGCTACCAACACAACAGCATAACAGCATAGGTCTCAATTCTCAATCTGGTGTTTGATACTTTGGCATTTTCTGGAATGTATAGTAGTGTTATTTACTAAGGAGGGCACACATTTTTTTCATGGCTAGAATAAAATCACAACGCATGTGGTTTTGTAAAAATCACAGTTGAATTTGCTACCATTCCTGTTGTATGTAAATTTGACTTATAAGAAAGAATGCTTATTTGAACCAGGTATTCAAATATTATTATTTGACCAGGGTCAAATACAAATATTATTAGACCGGGGTCTAATAAGTGTTTCTAACATAGTGTCATTAAGGCCAGCCAAGTAGAGTCCTTGAAGTCCGTCATTTTCTCTTCTAAACAATATTTGGATTTGCCTTGCCAATGTAACAATCCTCTGAGAATCCTATTTTGTTCAAGGTCCATATTAACCAAGCTCCTTCAGACTGACATCTTTTTCCCTATTTTCTGTAAATTATGAAACATTTTTTTCCTCATGTGTATGGTGAGAACAAACAACAATTTATTTGCTCATTCTCCCTTTGATGGGCACCTGAATTACCTCTACTTTTTGTCTACAACAAAACATGCTGATATTAACATTTTTGTTTATGTGATCTGGTTCTGTAAATCTGTACACAAATTTCTAAAAGTCATGAACCTAGGAGTAGAGTTGCTAGGTTGTAGGGTATTACATTTTCAACTTTAGCATGCACTGCCAAACCTTTCCCCAAAGTGGTTGCACCAATTCTGTATTCCATCAGCAATGTATGAGAATCTTATTATGACACAAACTTCATGTGCCTTCTCAGATTCCTCTAATTGCCTTCTTTTCTCTTTCTAAGCACCCAAACTGCACCTGGTCACCTGTCTACATTCAGATTTAGATGAAAGCCACACCATGGAGGCAGCCAGAGGCCCATGGGAGATGTCTGGATTCGCAGAGGAATAGCTCCATGTGATGCAAACCTTGACTAATGGGAACAGGAAAAGGGAGGAAACCAGGAAGATAAATCTCCCTCCCTTCTCATTGCTCCTTGCAACCCTTCCCACTTGAAGCATGACCACATTTAATGAACAACCTGCTGTGTCTCTTGGAAGCTTGCTGCAAGGCAGCAATCAGCACAATAACATTGTATTGTATCTTCCTCTGCTTCACTTCTCTTCCTCCCTCACCCTCACTGCCCTGAGCTGGCACATCCCAAAGAAAGCATTACCACATTAATCCTTGTCTCAGACTCTGCTTTCAAGAGGATCTAGGTGAAGGAAATTCCTATTACTCCACCTCTTCATCACCTCTTCAAATGTCAGACTTTAAAAATGGTGTCATTTTGTTGAGTGTATCTCATTGTGGTTTTAATTTGCATTTTCCTGATTATGAATGGGGTTGGCTAACTTTTCCTATGTTTATTGGATTTCTTCATTTTTGAAGTGCTTGTTTAAGTTTTCTACTAATTTTTCTATTGGGTTGTCTTTTTTTTTTCTTTCTTTCTTTTTAAGACAGAATCTTGCTCTGTTGCCCTGGCTAGAGTGCAGTGATGTAATAATAGCTCACTGAAACCTCGAACTCCTGGGCTCAAGCAATTATCCCATCTCGGCCTCCCAAGTAGCTGGAACTACAGGTGTGCACCACTACCACCATGCCTGGCCTTTTTTTTTTTTTTTTTTTCCCATAGAGACAGGTCTTACTATGTTGCTCAGGCTGGTCTTGAACTCCTGGCATCAAGTGATCCTCCTACTCAGCCTCCCAAAGTGCTGGGATTACAGGTGTGAGCCACTGCACCCAGCCTTTTTCTTTCTTTTTTTTTAAAAAAAAAGAAAAGAAAAAGTGGCTCACTCCTGTAATCCCAGCACTTTGGAAGGCCGAGGCGGGCAGATTAGTTTAGATCAGGAGTTCAAGACCAGCCTGGCCAACATGGTGAAACCCCGCCTCCACTAAAAATACAAAAATTAGCCAGTTGTGGTGGTGTGCGCCTGTAATCCCAGCTATTTGGGAAGCTGAGGCAGGAGAATCGCTTGAACCTAAGAGGCGGAGGTTGCAGTGAGCCAATATTGTGCCACTGCACTCCAGCCTAGGTGACAGAGCAAGACTCTGTCTCAAAAAATAAATAAAAAAGAAAAAAGAAAAAAATGGATTTGTAAGATGTTCCAGTTAACTACTGCTATATAACAAATTACTCCAAAACTCGGTGGCATAAAACAATTATTTTACTAGGCTCGTGAATTCTATGGTTCATTAATTTAGACGGGACACAGTAGGTATGGCTTGTGTCTGCTCTGTGATGTCTGGGGATTCAGCTGGTAAGACTCAAAGTCTGGAAGTGACTCAGTGGCTGAGGGGTAAAATTATCTGTAGGTATTTCACTAACATGTCTGGTGGTTGATGCTGACTATTGTTTGGGGCCTCAGCTGGGGCAACTGGCTAGAAAACCTTCATGGAGTTTCTCCGTGTGATCTCTGCTTCTTCAAGCACAGGCCTCTACACAGTCAGAATTCTTACATGTCAGCTCAGGGCTTCAAAGGCGAGTGTCCCAGGTAAACCAGGCAGCAGTGTATGGCCTTGAACATTACTTCTGTTGCATTCTGTTGGTTATAAGTGAATCTCTAAAGGTGAGCAGATATAGGTCTTTTGTCTCAGTGGAGGGAATGTCAAGGTCACATTGTACAGAAGTACGTGGAATTGGAGTTATTGTTGCAGCCGTCTTTGGAAAATACATCTGCCACATCCTGCTCTTTATATTTTCTGGATACTAGTCCCTTATTGATTATATATGCTGCAAATATCTTCTCCCACTCTGAGGATTAGTTTTTTTGCTGCCTTAATGATGACTTTTGTTGAACAGAAGTTTACTTTAATTTGGCAAAATGATCAATCAGTTCCTTTATGGTTGGTGCTGTAGATGTCTTAATAACACTGAAACCATGAAGCAAGCTATTCTTTTATAATGCCTTCTGAAAGCTTTATGATTTTGCCTTTCACATTTAGGTAGTTACACAGTTACTATGCAATTTATTGCTGCTTGACTCCAAATCCAATCTTCTTTGCCCTGCTTTGTGATACTGGAGCCAGACCTTGTAAACATTTCTGCTTTGTCACCTGACACAATGGTAGATCTTGCCAGAAGAAATTGCTGGAGGGTCATTGCCAGAGGAAGGGGCTCCTCTTCCCGGTTCTGGGGCTTTTCCTTCTTCTTTTTTTTTTTTTTTTGAAGGAGTTTTGCCCTGTTGCCAGGCTGCAGTGCAGTGCAGTGGCGCAATCTCGGCTCACTGCAACCTCCGCCTCCTGGGTTCAAGCAATTCCCCTGCCTCAGCCCCCTGAGTAGCTGGGACTATAGGTGCGTGCCAGTACGCCCGGCTAATTTTTTGTATTTTGGTAGAGACAGGGTTTCACCGTGTTAGCCAGGATGGTCTCAATCTCCTGACCTCATGATCTGCCCACCTCGGCCTCCCAAAGTACTGGGATTACAGACACGAGCTGCTGTGCCCGGCCGCTTTTCCTTCTTGTTCCACTGGTGTGGATGCCAGCAGGCAGCTTCCCAGCTAGGCACCCCCACAACAGGTGGTTTCCTAGCAAGTTTCACCAGTGCCCCAGTGGACCGTTTCCTTCCTGCCACCCTGGTCTGTGGTACCTTCTCTCCCATCCAGTGGAGCACAGTGACACCCTCTACAGGGAGGTCTGAATCTCAGCCTCAGCCTCCCAAAGTGCTGGGATTACAGGCATGAGACACCGTGCCTGGCCCCTCCATGTCTTAATTATCATATTTTACAATAAGTCTTGGTAGCTGATAAAGTATGTTCTTCCTCCATTTTAATTTTCTTTAACAGTATGTTGAATTTTTATCAAATCCTTTTTTCTGCCTTTAATTAGATGATCTCATATTTTCTTCTTTAATTCATGGGCAGCTCTATTCCAAGCTTACTCCTTTCCTTGGTACTCTGCCTTCACCATAGAGAGGGTGTCTGCTCCCTACATCTGCTATGCCTGTATTATTCGGAGTTCTCTGCACATATAATTTAGTTAACCCCTTGTGACTAGTTAATCATTCTTTTCTTTTCTTCTCCTTTTTTTTTTTTTGAGACAGTCTTGCTCTGTTGCCCAGGTTGGAGTGTGTTGGCGCAAATCACAGTTCAGCCTCGACCTCCTGGGCTAAAGCAATTCTCCCACCTCAGCCTCCCAACTAGCTGGGACTATAGGCACATACCGCCACCATGCTCAGCTACATTTTTTGTTATTTTTCATAGAGGTGAGGTCTCACTCTGTTGCCCTGGCTGGTCTCAAACTCCTGGGCTCAAGCGATCCTCCCACCTCAGCCTCTCAAAGTGCTAGCATTACAAGACGTGAGCCACCACGCCTGGCCTAGTAATTCTTTATATTAAAATTTCCCTGTTCAAATTACTGGTATGGTTTCTTTTTCCTGACCGGAACCTGATTGACAAATCAGTCAGATTTAATCCTCCTGGAAAATATTTCATATATGGTATGAGATCAGAGTTCAACTTCATTTTTTCCATCCAGATAGCCAATTGTCTGAGTGCCATGTTTTGGAAAGAACATCCTTCCCCTATTGTTCTTTGGTGACGGCTCTGTCATATATCAGGAATCCATATATGCTTGGGTCCATTTCTAGCCTGTCTGTTTTACCCATTTTTCTATTTGTGCCTGCACTAATCCCTCCATGTCTTTTTTTTTTTTCTTTTTTTGAGACAGAGTCTCACTCTGTCGCCCAGGCTGGAGTGCAGTGGCGTGATCTCGGCTTACTACAACCTCTGCCTCCTGGGTTCAAGCAATTCTCCTGTCTCAGCCTCCTGAGTAGATGGGATTACAGGTGCGTGCCACCATGCGTGGCTAATTTTTGTATTTTTAGTAGAGATGGGATTTCACCATGTTGGCCAGGCTGGTATCAAATTCCTGACCTCGTGATCCACTCACCTTAGCCTCCCAAAGTGCTAAGATTACAGGCGTGAGCCACCGTACCTGGCCCCTCTGTGTCTTTTTTTTTTTTTTTTTTTTGAGACGGAGTCTTGCTCTGTCGTCCAGGCTGGAGTGCATTGGTGCAATCTAGGCTCACTGCAAGCCCCGCCTCCCGGGTTCACACCGTTCTCCAGCCTCAGCCTCCCGAGTAGCTGGGACTGCAGGCGCCCACCACCACCCCTGGCTAATTTTTTATATTTTTAGTAGAGACGGGGTTTCACCATGTTAGCCAGTATGGTCTCCATCTCCTGACCTCGTGATATGCCCGCCTTGGCCTCCCAAAGTGCTGGGATTACAGGCGTGAGCCACAGCACCAGGCTCTCTCTGTGTCTTAATTATCGTATTTTACAATAAGTCTTGGTAGCTGATAAAGCATGTCCTTCCACTATTTTAATTTTCTTTAAAAGTATGTTGAATTTTTATCAAATCCTTTTTATCTGCCTTTAATTGGATGATCTCATATTTTCTTCTTTAATTCATGGTGAATTATATTGAATTTTTTTTTTTTTTTTTTTTTTGCAGGATCTTGTTCTGTTACCCAGGCTGGAGTGCGATGGCGTGATCTCGGCTCACTGCAACCTCTGTCTCCTAGGCTCAAACAATCCTCCTGCCTCAGCCTCTCAAGTAGCTGGGACTATAGGCATGTGCCACCATGCGTGGCTAATTTTTGTATTTTTTGTAGGGATGGAGTTTTACCATGTTGCCCAACCTGGTCTCGAACTCCTGGACTGAAGCAATCCACCCACCTTGGTCTGCCACAGTGTTGGGATTATGGGCAGAAACCACCGCACCCCACCTCAAATTTACATAATTTAATCTTATATGTTAATTTAATCAAAATGGACAACTAATATGAAAGAAAATCTACTGCATGAGGAAGTATACCACTGTAAGATAGAGTAACAAAACAGATTTAGTTAATCTGTTGTGCCTAGGAGGCAGAGGTTGCAGTGAGCCAAGATAGCGCCATTGCACTCCAGCCTGGGTAACAGAACAAGATCCTGTAAAAAAAAAAAAAAAAAAAATTAGTTAATCAGATTCAGTTAAACAGATTTAGTTAATCTGTTTTGTTATTGTTGGTTCTGTAACACTATCTCATGTTAAACTAAATCTGTTTAGTTTAAAGCACTAGGTTTAAACGAAGCTTAGCTCAAAACTCAAAGCTCTAGGTTTCTAGTATTGGCATTTTCCCCATGGTAGTTTTTTTTTTTTTTCTTTTGAGACAGAGTCTCATGTCACCCAGGCTGGAGTCCAGTGGCACAATCTTGGCTCACTGCAACCTCCACCTCCCGGGTTCAAGCAATTCTCTTGCCTCAACCTCCCAAGCAGCTGGAACTACAGGTGCCCACCCCCGCACCTGTCTAATTTTTGTATTTTTTTTCCCATAGAGATGGGGTTTTGCCATGTTGGCCAGGCTGGTCTTGAACTCGTGACCTCAAGTGATCCACCTGCCTCAGACTCCCAAGGTGCTGGAATTACAGGCATGAGCCACTGCACTTGGCCTCCCCATGGTAGTCTTGTTTCCATATGGGCACATCACCGATTTCAGCTTTTTGTGTTTGTTTCAGGCTCCTAGAGATTTTCCTTAGTTCCTTGTACTCCTAAGTGTATAAATATCTATTTGTTGAAATGTATCCACTATCAATATATTTTAAAGAAGAGCTTTTCAAAATATGTAGTGAGCCATACCGCTAGTGGCAGAAGTCTTTTTTGTTGTTACATCATCTAGAATGTTATTATATGTGACATTACCAACTTGTTCTAAAATGTTAAATAATTTTTCTTAATGGACCTGGCAACACCATATATTGGGAAAGTTAATGTCCAGAGCCTTTCCATTTCAGTTATTTCTCCGAGATTCCATAATTTTGCTTAGGGGAGAGACTAGAAGTGGTGCATAACCAGAATAATATCCCCATAATCACATAAGCCAGACCAATTCCTTAGGAACCAAAAGTAAGCTCATGTACCACAGATGAAATAAGTCCCAGTAAATGATCACCAACAGTCTAATTGGGTAATTGAGCAACTGAATAGCGGAAGATTAAGATACAGTGATGTATTGAACTCAGGGAAATATCATAAGGATTAATACAACATTCATTATAATTACATTGGCTATTGGCCACAGGAACTAATCCATTTTGAATGAAACATTAAAACCCTTTAATGGTGGTGGCTATTTGTGGAAAGAGTGTGGAAGTATTGGAAATTACACCGGGGACTGTGTGCATTCGGAGGGTTTTATTGGTCCTAGACCAGCAGCAGTCAGAAACAATTTTGTGTATGTCCCCAGGCTTCAAAAGCCTCCCTAGATGAGGGACATTGGTATCATGGGGGTTCCCTGAGAACAGATTCAACACTCAGAGATAGGAAGTTTCTTTATGAACAGAAGGGATAGTTTAAGAAAAGTGTCATATTTTTATCCCTGGATTTTTGACACACAAAAGCCATACACCAATATTCAGACAAAGGTCCATCAGTCATTTTGAAACTTTTCTTGATCTTTTTGATAATTCTGTTCTTTCTGGAGGGGAAGATCCTTATTACCTTGGTAAGGCAAGTTGTCTCTACCTTAGAAACGCGACCCCAAACCAAACTGATACATTCAGAAGGGAAAATGTGACCAGCACTGTGATAACTGCTTGGTAAAGCTGACCTCGTCATTTGGTCTCTTGTTCATAGAGCAGAGGGGGCCAGCACACTCACTGTGTCTTTAAACTTTTTTTTTTTTTTTTTTTTGAGACAGGGTCTCACTCTATTGCCCAGGTTGGAGTGCAGTGGTGCCATCATAGGCCACTATACCTTCAAACTCGTGAGCTCAAACAATCCTCTCACCTCATCCTCCTGAGTAGCTAGGACTACGGGGCATGCCACCACACCCAGCTAATTAAAAAAAAATTTTTTTTTTGTAGAGATGAGGCCTTGCTATGTTACCCAGGCTGGGCTCAAACTCCTGGGCTCAAGCAAGCCTTCTGCCTCTGCCTCCCAAAGTGCTAGGATTATAGGCATGAGGCACCACACCCAGCTACCTTTAAACTTTTGAGGTGAGAATTGAGTAGGGTTTTTTTTTTTTGGTTAAATGAAAGAAAATTGTTAATTGCTTAAGTTTTTTCCTTGCAGAAGAGAGGTTGGTGACAGAATTATTCTCTTGAAAGTTGTAACCTCTTACCTTGCTCACAAACTAGCCCACTCCCAGCCTCCTGCTCAGTTGGCATCCAAGGAGCAAATAATAAGCCAATAGAAAATATCCAGCAAGTTGTTCTTAAGGCTAAAAGCTCATGAAATAGGCACAAGAGCCAGGCGCGGTGGCTCACGCCTGTAATCCCAGTGCTTTGGGAGGCTGAGGAGGGTGGATCACAAAGTCAGGAGTTCCAGACCAGCCTGGCTAACATAGTGAAACCCATCTCTACTAAAAATACAAAAATTAGTTGGGCATGGTGGCGGGTGCCTGTAGTTCCAGCCACTTGGGAGGCTGAGGCAGGAGAATCCTTTGAAGACGGGAGTTGGAGGTTGCAGTGAGCCAAGATGGCACCACTGTATTCCAGCTTGGGAGACACAGCGAGACTCTGTCTCAAAAAAAAAAAAAAAAAAAATGGCACAAGAAGCTGCCATGCCCCTGAGGCAGACATCTTCTCAAGCTGAGAAGCCTGGTCCAGGGTGCATGGGTGGTGAGTACAAGCCGGGATCGTCCTCTCTAGGAAAGTTCAAGTGACGCTTCTTTCCTCTGATTAGTCTTCATGTATATTCAACCTCCAGCTCAGTTTCACCAGGGTGATTGTTTAGACTCTTGTTTCTGTGCATGGAAAGTTTGGACACACTTCAGTAATGCTTTGTGAATATCTAGCAAAATCCCATTTTATACATAAATGTTTTCCAAGTGGATGGTCACTGGAACTGTAGAAGGAAGTTGCATGTGCCTGTACACAATTCTTGAGAATTATAGGCAAGACATCTGGCCATTTTGGTCGATACATTTTAACCAATTTATGTTTCAAAATCCCATTTTGGCTTTCTACTATCCTCAGCTAATTGTGGGTGGTGTGAGCAGTGATGGGATTAGTGTGTCAGTAAGACATTACACATTTCCCTATAATCGGATCTGAAAACTAAGGGTTATGATCACTGTTGAAGGTTAAAGTTGCCTAATCCTGGAAGCGAAGCTCTTAAAAAGTTTTTGCCAGGTACAGTTGCTCACGCCTATAATCCCAGCACTTTGGGAAGCCAAGGTGGGAGGATTGCTTGAGCTCAGGAGTTTGAGGCCAGCCTGGCCTCAAAATTTTTAAATTTAAAAATTCAAAAAATTTTGAAAGTTAGCTAGATACGGTGGCTTGTACCTGTGGTCTTAGCTACTTGTGAGGCTGAGGTGGGAGGATGATTTAGGCCTATGAGGTCAAGACTGCAGCTTGCTATGATCCTGCCACTGCACTCCAGCCTGGGCAACAGAGCAAGATCTTGTCTCAAAAAAAAAAAAAAAAGTTTTTGATTGGTGGTGACTGCATAAGCCTTTGCTCATTGCTGAGCAATGAGCACATTTAGAACACATTTTCTCTGTGTTCTAAAAACATACATGAAGGCAGGCACGGTGGCTCATGCCTGTAATCTCAGCACTTTAGGAGGCCAAGGCAGGCAGAATGCTTGAGCCCAGGAGTTCAAGACCATCCTGGGCAACATAGTGAGACCCTGTCCCTAGAAAAAAAATAAAAATTAGAAAAAAAAAAAAAGAATTACCAAGCCATAATCTGGGTAGAAACAACCTAAATATTTACAAATACCCTTTGTGGTAAAAGATGAGGTACTTGTATTTATGGGCAAGTGAGCATTACTGTTCATTCATTCAGTGAATGTTTATTGAGTGCCTACTATATATATATATGTATATATATATGTGTGTGTATATATATGTGTGTGTATATATATGTGTGTGTATATATACATATAGTTGTAGTTGCTGGAGATAAAGTGACTAAAGCAGGCAAAAACGCCTTCCCTCATGGAGCTTATGTTCTAAAGGGGAAGACAGAAAGCAAACAAGGTACAGAAGTAAATTATATGTTATGTTAGGTCACACCTACAGAGAGAAATAAAGGAAGGAAAGCAAATAGAGAGTATGTACATGGTAGACAGAAGAGGATTGCAATTTTCAGCTGGGTGGTCAGGACAAAGCTTCACTGAGAAGTGGATCTTTGAAGAAAGCTGGAAGGAAGTAATGGTGAGCCATGTGGCTATCTGAGGAAAGAGCATTCCAAGGCCATGAGTAATAACTTTTGCCTAAATTCCATTAAGAAAGAGAAGTTGGACACGGTGGCTCACGCCTATAATCCCAGCACTTTGGGAGACCAAGGTGGGAGGATCATTTGGGCCCAGGAGTTCAAGACTAGCCTAGGCAACATAGTAAAACCTCATCTCTACAAAAAATAAAAATAAAAAATAGAAAGTTAGCTGGGCATGGTGGTGTTGCTTGTAGTCCCAGCTATTCAGGAGGCTGAGGTGGGAGGATTGCTTGAGCCCACGAGTTCGAGACTGCAATGAGCTATGATCATGCCATTGTGCTTCAGTCTGGGTGATAAAATTGAGACTCTGTCTCAACAAAAAAAAAAAAAAAAAAAAAAAAAGGAGAGAGAGAGAGCAATGGCATGGTACATTCCTGTTATTACTGGAGGTCTGGGAGATGTGGAGGAACCAGTAAAGCTTTTCACTGAGGTAGACTGAGGAAGACAATAAGCAGGAGATAATGCTGTTCTGGAAACCAAGTGAAGAAAAGGTGTCCAAGGAGGAGAGAGTGACCAACTCTGTCAAATGCTGCTGGTCTTCCAGTAAGACGGGAAGCAAGAGCAGACTAGCCCTGGAGGAGCATGGGGTGAAAACCTGACAAGGGGGCACTGGGAAGACCAGATGGAGGGAAAGTGGAGACGCTGAGTATAGACACTTGTGTTGAGGGATTGTGCTTTAAAAGAGAACAGAGACGGTGGGGCGTGGTGGCTCACGCCTGTAATCCCAGCACTTTGGGAGGCCGAGGCAGGCAGATCACCTGAGATCGGGAGTTTGTGACCAGGCTGAGCAACATGGAGAAACCCCGTCTCTACTAAAAGTACAAAATTAGCCAGGCGTGGTGGCGCATGCCTGTAATCCCGGCTACTCGGGAGGCTGAGGCAGGACAATCACTTGAATTCGGGAAGTAGAGGTTGCGGTGAGCTGAGATCGCGCCATTGCGCTCCAGCCTGGGCAACAAGAGTGAAGCTCCATCTCAAAAATAAATAAATAAATAAATAAATAAATAAATAAATAAAAATAAATTAAAAGCAGAGAAACAGTACAATAGCTGGAAGGGGGAATAAGAAAAAGCTTAGCCTTTGCCTTTTTGTTTCCTGGGTTTTTGGAGAGTTCAGAAGCTAGTACAGCATCTTTGCATCCTGATGGTGATTATCCACTGGAGAGTGAATAACAACAGTATAGGAGAGTTAGGGAAATTGCAGGAGCAAAGAGAGGGCACAGCCAGCCCAGAGAGAAGGCAGAGGATTTGTGTAAGGATGCTGTTGGCTTGGTGAATTTGATGGCTGTGGGAGTTCTCTCCTGGTGGCCTCCATTAGTGAAATAAGAAACAAGGTCATCAGCAGAGAGTTAGGATGGAACATGTATAAAGAGGGAGGAAAAGCTGTGAAATAATTAACTCAGAGAGGAGGAGAGTTAATGGACTAGAAAAATGTAGAATAATTGCCAGGAAGTTAAGTGCCCACTTGAGGTAAGTGGTCATGAATTTAAAGCAGTCCAGTCAACACAGTTGCTTTTCTTCAGCCATATTCGGCAGCATCGATGTAGATATAGAAGAACTGGATTTCACAAGGGTTTGGGTTTTGCCAAGCAACTAATACAAATTGAGGGTTGATAATACAGTTGAGGGTAATTGCAATGGCTGATTATGATTGAGCATGGAATTTAAACTGGGTGAGGAAGTGTATTGGTCAGTTCAGGCTGCCGTAACAAGATATCACAGAATGGGTGACTTAAACGACAGACATTTATTTTGTCATCTTTTTTGTTTGTTTGTTTATTTTGAGATAAGGTCTTGCTCTGTCACCCAGGCTGTATTGCAGTGGTGTGATCATGGCTCACTGCAGCCTCCACTTCCCTGGGCTCAGGGGATCCTCCTACCTCAGCCTCCCAAGTAGCTAGGACTACAGGTGTGCACCATCACACCCAGCTAATTAAAACAAAAAAAAATTTTTTTTAAAGACAGGGTCTCCCTATGTTGCCTAGGCTGGTTTCAAACTCTTGACCTCAAATGATCCTCCCACATCAGCCTCCCAAAGTGCTGGGATTATAGGTGCGAGCCACCACACCCGACTATTTTCTTCTAATTTTAGAAGCTGGACTTCCAGGATGGAGGTACAAGCAGGGTATGGTAGGTTGCTGGTGAGGCTTGTGACATCTGCCTTCTGGCTGTCCTCACATGACCTTTCCTCTGTGACTATGCAGAGAGCTCTCTGGTGCCTCTTCCTATATATTTTATATATATATATATATATATATATATATATATATATATATATATACACACACACACACACACACACACACACACACGCATATATAAACACACACACACACACATATATATAATATATATGAAATTATGAAATGAGAAATGTGTGTTTAATGGCAAACCTTGGCACATTCCAACACCAGGAATGGCATGAGGTCACAGAAGCAGGTATGGGTAGGTGATCTCCATGGAGCTTCACATGATGAAGAGGATGAGGAAGACCACCATCAAACAGAAGAGTCCCATGGACTCAGACAGGACAAAGCTGACAATGGCACAGGAGAAGAGCTGCTGCTTGAGAGATGGGTTCCTGGCATAGCTTGATCAAGCTGCCAAGCACTCTTATTTTTATTTATTTATTTATTTATTTATTTTTGAGGCAGGGTCTTGCTCTGTCACCCAGGCTGGAGTGCAGTGGCACAATCACAGCTCACCGCAGCCTTAACCTCCCAGGCTCTAGCGATCTTCCTACCTCAGCCCCCCAAGTAGCTGGAACTATAGGCGCCACTATGCCTGGCTAATTTTTGTATTTTTTTAGTAGAGATGGGGTTTTGTCATGTTGGCTAGGCTAGCCTTGAACTCCTGACCTCAGGTGATCTGCCCACCTCGGCCTCCCAAAGTGTTGGGATTACAGGTGAGCCACAGCACCCAGCCTGCTTAGGCTATTTAGATGAATTCTCTGGCCTGTTCAGGAAGGAGGCAGATGCAGGCCGGATCAGAAATGGAAACAGAAGTAGAAGCCCAGTGGTCTGCATCTTTTCAGTCTGCACTCCCACTGCCCTGCAGCCCTTTCTCAGCCTTGTCTAAGGTGATTTCTTCGTGTTCTTATAGGGACACTAGTCCTATGCGATAGGGCCACTCTTACAACTTCATTTAGCTTTAATTACCTCTTCACATGCCCTATTTCCAAATGCAGTCACATTGGGGGTTAGGGTTTCAATGTCTGAACTTTGGTGGGGGGCACAATTTAGTCTGCAACAGGAAGGAGTGAGATAGATGAGGGCACAGTGGTAAGATGAATGCACTGTAGGTAATGATCACTGGAGCTAGAGCGTTAGGTGTGAGCTGAAAATAGGAGGAGCTGATTGGAGAATGGGGTGTGTGAAATTGGGAGCAAAGAAGGGTTGCAATAATTTGTCATAACAAAATCTAGGGTATGACTATGGGGATGAGTGGCTGACTTAGTGGATAAAAAGACCACAGGAGGAGGGTATGCTAAGGAACCGACAGGCCAAAGCATTAGAAGGAATATCTCTACTGAAATTAGCAGGAATTATCACATGAATGGTGCTGAAGAGAGTCACAGTGAGCCAGGTGTTAAATCTTCAAGAAGGAGGGAGCATAACCTAAGGTAAAATAAGGGCAATAAGGCAGGGGTACACTGTGTTGGGGGAAAAATGCAGCATAACCAAACACAAGTCATAGAAGAAAATATCTGCAATGCATGTAACTACTAGGAGGGTCACAGATTGGATTCTCCAGATGCAGATGCTGAGATGGAATCTGAGGTGCAAGAAGCTTAGTAGGGATCAACTCTTGTGAAAGGAAGGAGAAGGAAGCAGGATTGGGCAGAGGAAGAACTTGAACTGAGAATCAGGCCCCACAAAGCCTCAACCAACCCAGCAGGGAGCTCTGGAGCAAACACTGTACATCAAAGTGTTCTAAGTTAGGCCAAAATAGCTGGGCCTTTCTACCAGCTACGGATTGCTGGGAAGCGTATGACCTTGGGTGAAGCAGCTCTCTGCAGATGAGGCAGATCCTGAAATAGCTGACAGTTGGAGGCTGTCTGCCTAATGCACTCCCTGCAGCTGGGCAACAAGTTCTTCCTTGAAGGGGGATCTGGGCAGTGCGTCTCTGTGTCTGCCACAAAGAGAGTTGTATTTTATTTTGCAAACATAAAGAACCCGTACAAATCACTATGAACTTCTGAGTTGCCAAAGATAATAGTGGCTGTCCAAATCGGAATCGCTTCATATCCCAAGCAACCATATAGAACAAAGGTCAGCAAATAACATCCTGTGGGCTAGGCACCTGTTTTTGTCAACACATCAATTAGTTCATGCATTGTATGAGTGCTTCATGTTACAAAGGCAGGTTGAGTAGTGTGATAGACAGTATGGGATGGGTGCGGTGACTCATGCCTGTAATACCAGCACTTTGGGAGGCCAAGGGGGGCGGATCACTTGAGTCTAAGAATTCGAGACCAGCCTGGCCAACATGGTGAAAACCTGTCCCTACTAAAAATGCAAAAAGTTAGCCGGGCGTACTCGGGGAGCTGATGCGGGAGGATCCCTTGAGCCTGGGAGATCAAGGCTGCAGTGAGCTCTGACCATGCCACTGCCTGGGTGATAAAGTGAGACTCTGTCTCAAAAAAAAAAAAAAAAGAGAGAGAGACAGTATGGCCTGGAAGCCTCAATTATTTACTATATGGCCCTTTTAAGAAAAAATCTGCTGGCCAGGTGCTGCCACACCTGTAATCCCAGGCAGGAGGATCTCTTGAGGAGTTCTAGACCAGCCTGGGCAACACAGTGAGATCTTGTCTCTACAAAAAAAAAAAAAAAAAAAAAAAAAAAAAAAGAAAAGATTTGTTGACTCCTGGTTCTTGATACAGAAAAAAATAATAACAAAAACTAAATTCTCAGCATAACTGGATGACAGAGAATTCCTAAACTTTAAATTACCTGTAAGTAGAAAAAATAAACACCAAATTCCAGTGAGATGGCTTTCACAGTTCTACTGCAAATCTTTGTGGAGAGCAAGGGCAGTCCTGGAAAAACTGTGGAAGAGAAGAGGGGGCAGGTAACAGCAGGCCAAAGATTGATCTGAAATCATTGTGTTAAAGAGAAAGTCCGCCCTAAGAGAAACAACACGAAAACGAATCCTGTAGATCAGAGCACTGACCACGGGGAGGGACTGAAAAGGGCAGCGTAGCCTCAAGGAGACAACCTCAGAAAAGTCGCGCTTCTGGGGAAATAGAATGCAAGAAAGGAAAGGAGAGGCACACTTTGAAGATTAGGTGGTGAAGGGGAAAAGAATCAAAAGGTGCTATAACCAGTGAGTACCCAGGGGGAGAAAAAAAGAATCAAAAGAGGAAAATGTAGGGCATGTAACACAAAACAGAACCCAAAACTTGCAGGAGATACAATTCCCACCACACACACACACATGCACACGCACACACACACACACACGCACGCATGCACACACACACACAGAGCCATCCATTAAAGCAGCAGTTGTCAGACTTTTTTGTTTTCAGGACTTTGTTATACTCTTAAAATGAGTACCCTAAAGAGCTTTTGTATTTGTAGGTTATATCTATCAACATTTACTATATTCAATATTAAAACTGAGAATTTAAAAAGTATTTTAGGAATTAATTTAAAAAGAATAATAAACCAATTCCATATTAACATAACTAATTTTTAAATGAAAAATAACTATATTTTCCAAAACAAAAAATTTCATGAGAAGAGTGGCATTTTTTTTACATTTTTACAAATCTGTTAATATCTGGCTAAACAGAAGACAGCTGGTCTTATATCTGCATGTCTAAATTCAGTCTGATGCAATATCACATGTCCTGTAGCTCCTAGAAAAGTCCATACCTCTGGGCCAGGCACTGTGGCTCACACCTGTAATCCCAGCACTTTGAGAGCCTGATGCAGGTGGATCATTTGAGGTCAGGAGTTTGAGACCAACTTGGCCAACCTGGTGAGACCCTGTTTCTACTAAAAACATGAGAATTAGCCAGGCATGGTGGCACGCACCTGTAATCCCAGCTACTTGGGAGGCTGAGGTAGGAGAATCTCTTGAACCTGGGAGGCGGAGGTTGCAGTGAGACGAGATCGTGCCACTGCATGAGACTCCATCTCAAAAAAAAAAAAAAAAAAAAGAAGAACAAGAAAAGAAAAAGAAAGCTCCATACTTGTTAAGAGAATGAAGGTCAGAAAGACAAAAGCATATTAGTATATTCTTAAAATAGTTTTGACTTTGCAGCTACTTGAAAGATTTTGGGGACCTTAACGGTTCTTGAATCACACTTTAAGAACTGCTGTATTCATTGCTTGAGCCTAGGAGTTCGAGGCTGCAGTGGGCTAGGATGGCATCACTGCACCCCAGCCTGGGGGGTGAGAGAGAAAAACTCTGTCTCAAAAAAAAAAAAAACCCAAAAAACAACAACAACAACAACACACACACACTCTCTCTCTCTCTCTCTCTCTCTCTCTCTGCCCACTTCCCTCCCCCAAATTTAAAAAGAACTACTGCATTAAAAAAAAAAAAAAAAACTTGCTCTTTGGGTCAGGTGCAGTGGCTCACACCTATAATCCCAGCACTTTGGGATGCTGAGGTGGGCGGATCACCTGAGGTCGGGGGTTCGAGACCAGCCTGACCAACATGGAGAAACACCATCTCTACTTAAAATACAAAATTAGCTGGGCGTGGTGGTGCATGCCTGTAATCCCAGCTACTCGGGAGGCTGAGGCAGGAGAATCACTTGAATCCGGGAGGCTGATGATGCGGTGAGCCGAGATCGAGCCATTGCACTCTATCTAGCCTGGGCAACAAGAACAAAACTTCGTCTCAAAAAAAACTTGTACTTCACTACACTGACAGAAGGGGACGCCATTCAACTAAGAATCTTGGAGACCACTCTCATTCCAAAAAATAAATAGCCAAAAACAGATTAAACGTTTCTATAAGAAAATAGAAAATGAGAACCAAAATAGTTCAAGTGATGAACATTTCTACATTTCCCCCCAAAAGAAAAATTACCATGAAGCAGAAGAAAAATGCTGTAACACAACACACCAAACTCAATGAATTGTCGTCTTCAGGCAAACATTTGAGGATATGACAAATCACTCTTTAGCTTTTTTTTTTTTTCCTTTGAGACAGGGTCTCATTATGTTGCCCAGGTTGGACTTGAACTCTTAGGCTCAAGCAATCCTCTCACCTCAGCCTTTCGAGTAGCTGGGTACCCTTTACTCAAGGGGTACAATATATGTGACTTGAGTGATAGACCCCCTAAAAGCTCTGACTTGACCACTATGTAATCTATTCATGTTACAAAATTATACTTGTACTTCAAAAATTTATCAAAAAAAACCCCAAAAAAACAAAAAAAGGAAAACCATCTTGAAACCAAAATTCAAAAATTAAAAGCAAATGGGCATCCCCCTGCTCTGAAGGAATAAATTAAGAGTTCACTGAACTCAGGAAAGAAGGAACAGACAAAATGATTTCAGAAATAAAGCCTACATTATAAGGTACTCAAAGGAGAATAAATTCAAGTGGAAATGTAATAAGGGGCATTGAAGAAAGACAGTTTTGCTTGATGTGATCCTATTTGTCCATGTTTGCTTTGGAAAAACCAAGAGGATGAAAATGAAATCAAGAGAAAAGTGTTGGGAAGAAAGACTTCTCCTCTACCAACCTAAGTCCAGCTGGTTGGGGGCCTGTGAATTAAATGGCAATAGAGTAACAGGGGGAAAATACACATGTGGGCGTACCCTATAGAGAGAGTAGCTCCCTGAACAGCTGGGGGTAAAAGTTTATGTACCAACCTATATACTACCCCAGCGGGGCTTTAGGACTTCAAAGAATGGAAGCTTCTTATGAGTCTTGTTTATACAATTTTTTATTTTTTTGAGACGGAGTTTCACTCTTGTCCCCCAAGCTGGAGTGCAGTGGTGCGATCTCTGCCCACTGCAACCTCTGCCTCCTGGGTTCAAGCGATTCTCCTGCCTCAGCCTCCCGAGTAGCTGGAATTACAGGCATTTGCCACCACATCCAGCTAATTTTTGTATTTTTAGTAGAGACGGGATTTCACCATGTTGGCCAGGCTGGCCTCAAACTCCTGGCTTCAAGTGATCCACCTGCCTCTGCCTCCCAAAGTGCTGGGATTACAGGTGTGAGCCACCGCACTCATCTTTATACGATTTTTTAAAAAGTGTCTTGATGTTCAACGTCAGTGCTTCTGTGACCAGAGACCTCTGGAGGAGGGTTTGTGGCAGCTATGTCTCCTAAGGCTCTGAGTTAGTCAGATAAGGGAAGTTTCAGATAAGATTTCTCTCTGCGTCTGTTGTAGCTCAGATATTTTTCATTGGAAGTTATCTCTTTACCAAGTTAGTGTACTGTTTTCTTCAGAAGTAAAAAGAGTCAGAGAGAAAGTGCTTGAAATGGAAGACAGAGAAGAAACAGTCCAAGTTAAACCTTGGACAACCTGAGTCTGAACTACGTGAGTCCACTTAGATGTGGATTTTTTTTGATCAAACAATATTCGCCAGATGCAAAACCCATGTATATGGAGGGGTGACTTTTCATATACCACGATTTTGCAGGCTGACTGCAGGACTGTTGACCATTAGTATGTCTTCTTTTGAGAAATGTGTATTCAAATCTTTTGCCCATTTTAAACACAGGTTATTTGTTTTTTTTTTCCTATTGAGTTGCTTGAACTCCTTATGTATTCGATTATTAATCCCTTGTCAGATGGGTAGTTTGCAAATATTTTCCCCCATTCCATGGGTTGTCTCTTTTCTTTGTTAATTGTTTCCTCTGCTGTGCAGAAGCTTTTTAGCTTGATGTGATCCTGTTTTTCCATTTTTCTTTGGTTGCCTTGTGCTTTTGTGGTCTTAGTCAAGAAATCTTTGCCAGACCAGTGTCCTAGAGAGTTTCTCCAATGTTTTCTTTTAGTGGTTTCATAGTTTCCGGTCTTAGGTTTAAGTTTTTAATCCATTTTGATTTGATTTTTGTGTATGATGAGGGATAGGGGTCTGCTTTCATTCTGACTATGGCTATCCATTTTCCCCAGCACCATTTATTGACAATACTATCCTCTCCCCAATGTATGTTTTTAGCACCTTTGTCAAAAATGAGTTGACTGTAAATGCATTAATTTTATTTCTGGGTTCTCTATTCTGTTCCACTGGGCAATGTGTCTGTTTTTATTGCCAGTACCATGCTGTTTTGGTTACCATAATTCTGTAGTATAATTTGAAGTCAGGTAATGTGATGCTTCCAGCTTTGTTCTTTTTGCTCAGGATGGCTTTTACTGTTCTATGTCTTTTGTGGTTCCATACACATTTTAGAATATTTTTTTCTAGTTTTGTGAAAAATGTCATTTTATTTTTTTATTTATATCTTTTTTTTTTTTTGAGACGGAGTCTCACTCTCACCCAGGCTGGAGTGCAGTGGTGTGATCTCGGCTCACTGCAAGCTCTGCCTCCCAGGTTCACGCCATTCTCCTGCCTCAGCCTCCCAAGTAACTGGGACTACAGGTGCCTGCTACCATACCTGGCTAATTTTTTTGTATTTTTAGTAGAGACTGGGTTTCACTGTGTTAGCCAGGATGGTCTCAACCTCCTGACCTCATGATCCGCCCGCCTCGGCCTCCCAAAGTGCTGGGATTACAGGCATGAGCCACCATGCCCGGCCTATTTATATCTTTTTTTTTTTTTTTTTTTCCTGAGACAGAGTTTTGCTCTTATTGCCGAGGCTGGAGTGCAATGGCGTGATCTCAGCTTATCACAACCTCCACTTCCTGGGTTCAAGTGATTCTCCTGCCTCAGCCTACCGAGTAGCTGGGATTACAGGCATGCGCCACTGCATCTGGCTAATTTTGTATTTTTAGTAGAAACGAAGTTTCTCCATGTTGGTCAAGCTGGTCTTGAACTCCCGACCTCAGGTGATCCACCTGCCTTGGCCTCCCAAAGTGCTGGGATTACAGACATGAGCCACCATGCCCAGCCTTTTATATCTTTTTTTTAATCCCTCAAATATTCTTCTATCCAAATTATTGGTATTTTGATAGGGATTGCATTTAATCCGTAGATTTTTTTGGGTAGTATAAACATTTTACCAATATTGATTCTCCAATCCATGAACATGGAATATCTTTCCATTTTTTGGTATCCTTTTCAATTTATTTCATAAATGTTTTACAGTTTTCATTGTAGAGAGATCTTTCCCTCCTTTGGTTAAGTTCATTCCTATCTATTTTTGTTTGTTTGTTTGTAGCTATTATAAATGAGATTACTTTCTTGGGGTTTTTTTTTCATATTGTTCAGCTGTTGGCATATAGAAATGACAAAGTTTGTATGCTGATTTTATATCCTGCAACTTTACTGAATTTGTTTATCAGTTCTGAGAGGTTTTGGTGGAGTTTTTTGTTTGTTTGTTTTGTTTTGTTTTTTTGAGACAGAGTCTTGCTCTGTTGCCAAGGCTGGAGTGCAGTGGCCCAATCTTGGCTCACTGCAACCTCTGCCCCCCAGGTTCCAGTGATTCTCCTGCCTCAGCCTCCCGAGTAGCTGGGACTACAGGCGTGTGTCACCATGCCCAGCTAACATTTCTATTTTTTGTAGAGACAGTGTTTCACCATGTTGCCCAGGCTGGTCCCAAACTCCTGGCCTCAAGTGATCCACCCACCTTGGCCTCACAAAGTGCTGGGATTACAGGTGTGAGCCACTGCACCTGGCCTTGGTGGTCTTTAGGTTCTTCTAAATCTAAGATTATATTGTCTGTAAACAAGGATAATTTTACTTCTTCAAATTTGGATGCCCTTTACTTCTTTCTCTTGTCTAATTGCTCTGGCTAAGACTTCTAGTACTACATTGTTTTTTATTTTTATTATTTATTTTTCTTTTTTTTTTTTGAGAGGGAGTCTCGCTCTGTCGCCCAGGCTGGAGTGCAGTGGCGCGATCTCGACTCACTGCAAGCTCCGCCTCCCAGGTTCACACCATTCTCCTGCCTCAGCCTCCAGAACAGCTGGGACTACAGGCGCCCACCACCACGCCTGGCTAATTTTTTTGTATTTTTAGTGGAGACGAGGTTTACACCGTGTTAGCCAGGAATGTCTCGATCTCGTGACCTTGTGATCCGCTCATCTTGGCCTCCCAAAGTGCTGGGATTACAGGCATGAGCCACTGTGCCCAGCCTACGGTTTTTAAAAAAAAATTTTTTTAATTTTTAAATTAAATAAATTTTTGTCAGATGGATAGATTGCAAAAAAGTTCTCCCATTCTGTAGGTTGCCTGTTTCTTTTCCTGTTCAGAAGCTCTTTAGTTTAATTAGATCCCATTTGTCAATTTTGGCTTTTGTTGCCATTGCTTTTGGTGTTTTAGTCATGAAGTCTTTGCCCATATCTATATCCTGAATGGTATTGCCTAGGTTTTCTTCTAGGGTTTTTATGGTTTTAGGTCTTACATTTAAGTCTTTAATCCATCTTGAGTTAATTTTTGTATAAGGTGTAACGAAGTGGTCTAGTTTCAGTTTTCTGCATATGGCTAGCCAGTTTTCTTAACACCATTGATTAAATAGGGAATCCTTTCCCCATTGTTTGTTTTTGTCGGGTTGATCAGATGATTGTAGATGTGTGGTGTTATTTCTGAGGCCTCTGTTCTGTTCCATTGGTCTATATATCTGTTTTGGTACCAGTACCATTCTGTTTTGGTACCAGTACCATGCTGTTTTGGTACCAGTACCATGCTGTTTTGGTTACTGTAGCCTTGTAGTATAGTTTGAAGTCAGGTAGTGTGATGCCTCCAGCTTTGTTCTTTTTGCTTAGGATTGTCTTGGCTATGCGGGCTCTTTTTTGGTTCCATATGAAATTGAAAGTAGTTTTTTCTAATTCTCTGAAGAAAGTCAATGGTAGCTTGATGGGGATAGCATTGAATCTATAAATCACTTTGGGTAGTATGGCCATTTTCACGATATTGATTCTAATGTAGACGACAGGTTGGTGAGTGCAGCAAACCACCATGGCACGTGTATACCTATGTAACAAACCTGCATGTTCTGCACATGTACCCCAGAACATAAAGTATAATAAAAAAAGAATGAAATTAAAAAAAAATTTGTGGGTACATTATAGGTATATTCTAGTACTATGCTGAATAAAAGTGGTGACAGTAGTTTTCCTTGTCTTGTTCCAGATCTTTGAAGAAAGTCTTTCTGTTTTTCCCTTTTCAGTATGATACTGGCTATGGGTTTGTCATATATGATTTTTTATTGTGTTGAGGTATGTTCCTTCTATACCCAGATTTTTTTAGTTTTTAACATAAAAGGATGTTGAATTTTATTAAATGCTTTTTGATATCTATTGAAATGATCTTATGGTTTTTGTCCTTCATTCTGTTGATATGGTGTATCATATTTGTTGCTTTACATATGTTGAACCATCCTTGCATCCCTGGTATGAATTCCACTTGATCATGATGAATGATCTTTTTGAGACAGAGTCTCACTCTGTTGCCCAGGCTGGAGTGCAGTGGTGTGATCATGGCTCACTGCAGCCTCAAACACCTGGGCACTCTCTCCCACCTCAGCCTCCTGAGTAGATAGGACCACAGGTATGTGCCACCATGCCTAACTAATTTTTTAGTCAGTTTGTTTATTCAGGTTTAGGATTTCTTCATGGTTCAATCTCGGTAGGTTGTATGTTTCTAAAATTTATCAATTTCTTCTAGATTTTCCAATTTACTGGCATATAGTTGCTCATAATAGTCTCTAATGACTCTGAATTTCTGTGGTATCAGTTGTAATGTCTCCCTTTTCATCTCTGATTTTATTTATTTGGGTCACTCTCTTTTTTAATTAGTCTATCTAAAGGGTTGTTAATTTTGTTTGTCTTTTCAAAAAGACAACTTTTTGTTTTGTAGGTCTTTTGCACTTTTTTAGTCTCAATTTTATTTATTTCTCTTCTGATCTTTATTATTATTTTTTTTAAAAAAGATTATTTTTAAATCTTTTTTGTGATGTATTTATTCATGTATTTTACTCATATTTCTTTTTTTTTTTTTTTTTCTGAGACTGAGTCTCGTCCTGTCACCCAGGCTGGAGTGCAGTGGCACGATCTCGGCTCACTGCAAGCTCTGCCTCCTGGGTTCACGCCATTCTCCTGCCTCAGCCTCCTGAGTAGCTGGGACTACAGGTGCCCACCACCACGCCTGGCTAATTTTTTGTATTTTTAGTAGAGACCAGGTTTCACCATGTTAGCCAAGATGGTCTTGATCTCCTGACCTTGTGATCCGCCCACCTCGGCCTCCCAAAGTGCTGGGATTACAGGTGTGAGCCACTGTGTCCAGCCATCTTTTATTCATATTTCTAACAGATTTTAGGTCTTACTCACTTTAATTTTTTTTTTTTTTTGAGACAGGGTCTTACCATGTTGCCCAGGCTGGTCTCAAACTCCTGGCCTCAAGAGATATGCCAGTCTTGGCCTCCCAAGTTGTTGGGATTACAGGCATGAGCCACTGTGCCAGCCAACCAATATACAGTGTTACATGAAAAAAGCAAAGTGCAAAAGAGTATCTATAATGTGCTACCTTTTGTGTGAGAAAGAGAAAACAAGAAAATGTGGGCCAGACAAGGTGGCTCATACCTGTAATCCCAGCACTTTGGGAGACTGAGGCTGGAGGATTGCTTGAGTTCAGGAGTTCGAGACCAGCCTGGGCAACACCATCAAACCCCGTCTCCACAAACAATAAAAAAATTAGCCAGGCGTGGTGGCTCACACCTGTGGTACCA